>NC_000020.11:39951082-40254112 GCF_000001405.40 Homo sapiens | reverse complement strand
ACCCTGGGAGAGACAAAGGTCAAGAAATAAAGGTTCCCATGTGTCTGGGTGCCTATTTAGGGCCTCGCCTCGTCACACACACACACACACACACACACACACACACACACACACACACACTTGAGGAGTTATGACTTACAACTATTCTTATTAGAAGAAAAACAGGATTTGGAGTTGAGGAATTTGCCATTGTCTGAAAGTTATTTGAGTAGTAACTCAGATGGTTCTAACAAAATCTAGCTTGTTGACAAGCAGATGCTCAGTTTTGGCTTTCACCACAGGGAGAGTTTTCTTGGATTATTAATGAGGTTTAGCTTATTTTCTCACCTTTACTTAATGGTTCTAGTTCATATTTAGTGAATAGTCCTCCATTCATGTTCTTTGCCCTTTTATCTATAACGGTGTTATGTTTTTCTTATTGATTTATCTATGTTATTAACCAAACAAATGTAAAACTATTCCATCTGCAATATTACTTCATGAATACTTTCATGATACATAACATTCTACATTTAAAAGTTTACATATTTAGGATACATAGAAATATTTAATCTGTTCAATTACTTTTATAGCTTTCCAATTTCTTGTCACTTACCTCAAGGTTTTAACAAATTAGTAAATCTATGCTATACAACTGTTCAGTTTTGCTTTTCACATTGACATTTTAATCCATGTAAAATGTATTTTGGTATATGGTATGAGAGGACAGAAATTGTTTATTTTAACTGTTAATTCATCTTAGTAATATTTATGGCATAATTCTTCACTTCCCAATGATCTGCAGTGCTTTGTTTGATATTAAGCCTTAGTACATACAGGGAGGAATTTTCTTTGGTTTACCACCTAGTCCACCTCCTTATCAATTATTCTTTTCAAATATTCTTTTTTATGGTGTATTAATCCATTCTTACTCTGCTATGAAGAAATACCAGAGACTGGGTAATTTATAAAGGAAAGAGATTTAAATGATTCACAGTTCTGCAGGGCTGGAGAGGCCTCAGGAAACTTACAATCAAGGCAGAAGGGGAAGCAAACACATCCTTCTTCACATGGCGGCAGCAAGGAGAAGTGCAGAGCAAAGGGGCAGGGGGAAGCCCCTTATAAAACCATGAGGTCTCATGAGAACTCACTCACTATCACAAGAACAGTATGGGGGAAACCACCCCCATAATTCAATTATCTCCACCTTGTCCCATCCTTGACACGTGGGGATTATTACAATTCAAGATGAGATTTTGGGTGGAAACACAGAGCCAAACCATATCGGACTGTGACTTATTCATCCTTACATACAGACCTTAGAATATTTCTTAAGACAAAAATGCTTCTGTGTTATATTTGGAATTATATAGTGAATGAATAATGATTTCGTCCTTCCTTACCTTTATGTACACCTTTTCTGTCTTTTTTATGTATTTCTCCCTTGACCACAATTTCCACAACAATGTTAGTAATAATAGTGGACATTGTTCTTTTTTGCTGATTTTTAGCAGGTATACCTCTGGTGTTATCCATTAAATATGGTCATGGATATAACTTGGAAAAAATAAATCCTTGTATTTTGAAGATATAGCTTTCCTGGTTATAAGAAAGAATATATATTTATACGAAAAATATAACAAAATTTAAAAATGTAAAATAAACTCTTTATTTGTATCATTGTCACAACTACCCAATTTGTTGTGTGTGATAAAATCACCCTTTATCATAGTTAAAAGTATCATTCCACTTCTATACTGTAATATTTTGATTAATTGTCTTGGTGTTTTAACAAATAGCTTTTTACTTTTTACATATTAAAAATAAAAACACCAAAAATTCAAGAAGATGGCTAAAACAAATATTCAGAAGTGGAACTTAAAGATGTAAAAAATTGCCAACTTTACTAGTGATCAAAAATGTAAGAATTAACTTGTATATTTTTAAAAATCTAACAATACATATTTAAATGTGGTACTACTCCTTGCTGATGAGAATGTGATGAGATGGACATTCACGTATGCTTCTGTGGAAATATAAGTTGGCTTTATAATTATGAAGAGCAATTTAAAAATATATAGTAGGATTCTTAAATATGGTTGAAACTTGAAACCAGAAAATCTACTGTGGGTCTTTATTTTAAAGAATTTATTCAAGATATACATTATCTGTAATAAAGAAAAAAATAAAAATGTAAATACTTAAAAATAGAACAATACTTAAATAAGTATTCCCTTGTGGAATATTATGCACCCAATAAAAATCATGTGAAAGATAATTTTTAGTTATAAAACATATCTTATGATAAATTGAAAAGAAACTTAGTTAAATTGACTTAACACATGTTCTTAGTTGTTTAAAAAATATGTAAAGACATTACCCCTCCCAAGTAAATACAGGTTATAGAAGATTTTTTGAAATATCAGTAGAAGATTTTATTTTTGGTTGTTGGGATTGTTGGTGATCTTTATTTATTTGTTTTTATATTTTTTTGTATGTGCTGTTATCAACTTTTGCCTCTTAGCTTCACGTTCACCCTTCATTGCCCTGCTTGGGACAAGAGTACTTTTCCTTTGCTTGTGGACACAGGGATACACTTTGTCAGTAGAGGGCGCAGGAGAGACACTGGACTGGGACGAGGGATTCATCCTGGTTCCGGTATTCTGTCTTGCTCCCCTGGCTGGAGGCAGCTGGAGGGAGGCGGGCAGCAGGACACCCAGTGGCACACACCTCCAGGGAGTTTCAGCCACACTACCACCCGGGGCATGACGTTTTCCTACGCGGCTTCCTCCAGCACCCCAGAGGTGCACACCTCAGGGAACTCTTCCCTCATCCAGTGGGCCAAAGCAGCACAGCCACCATCCAGATGTGGATGTCAACTCTGGAAAGGGAGTGTCTTCCATATTTGTTCCTTCCTTGGGTTCTCTGCCTTAGTCCTAGAGCTGGTGGCTGCTTTCTTTTCTTCCATTCATTTGTTGTTTGGAATTCTCTTCGCTTTTTGTAGGTAATTCCATGTTATAGTTAATAATTCTTTGTATTCAACATTTCCTGTTCAAATTGCTGTGTGGTTTTTGTCTCCTGTTTGGACCCTAACTTAAAAATTTCATTTTTTTCCCCCACATTTTCCACAATTCCCATCATAATCAGAAAGCAAACTCAAGTTTATTTCTCTTTATTAAGATGATCCATAGTTAATAGATAGATAGCGGTAGCTAGCCAGCTATCTAGCTAGATTGATTTGGTAAAGGGAAAATAAGCATGAATTTATTTTCTGGTTATGATGGGAATTGTAGAAAATGTGGAAAATATATTGGGACATGTGTGTACGTGGAAAATATTATCCACATATCTGTATACAGAGATCTGTGAATGTGTGTTTCTTCCAATATAGAACTCTTTGTTGCATATGATAAAGCATTCTTTTTATGATAATAAATATAATTATTTTCATAAGCTATTCAGTACTTGTACCTAATCTTGCTATAGCATACTTATGTCTGTAATGATAAATGTTAGTTTTCTTTTGGGTGACTCAGGTTTTGCCATGAGGATTTTACTGAATTTTTGTGTGGTTTTCTATCAGTTTACATGCCCCTTGAAAGTGAATATGTTGTGGAGCTTATCATATGGAAGCCTTAAAGCGGTCACCAGTAAAATCATGTGGGTTTCAAGATATTTAGGGAAGTATTTTTTCTTAGGTTATTGGCACCACCATGCATTGAACTGATGATGCCCCACAATGGACTCAAGTTATGATCAATTGTTAAGAAAACTCAGCTCACACTCTGGCTGATACTCAGTGAAAGGTAGTATAAATCCAACCTTCTTCTTTTTTAAAAAATCAAGATAGGTTCTCCTCCTCTCTCCTGACTATGTTTGAGTTAGTTCAAATCAATAATGTCTTTAATTTTTTTAATTATAAAAAAATTTTGTGGGTACATGGTAGGTATATATATGTATGGGATACATGAGATGTTTTGTACAGGCATGCAATGTGAAATAAGCACATCATGGAGAATAGGGTATCCATCTTCTCAAGCATTTATCCTTTGAGTTACAAACAATCCAATTATATTCTTTAAGGTTTTTTTTATATAATTGTGATGGAGCCATGAAAGATGCTGAGTCATACAAAGCCTGAACGTACCCTCAAGGAGTTTGCAGTCTAACCGAAGACAAAGAAGTACATTCAACAAGAGGCAAACACGATGGTTGATGCTTTCTATCTAGTTTTTCATTTAACTTTCAGTCATGAGAAGTGTGGATTATTGTTTTCTCTTTGCAGAAAAGAAGGTGTAGTCTCAAAGGCAAAGGAACTTGCCCATGGTCATTCAACTAGCAGATGGCAAAGATGAGCTGTAAAGACATGTATATTGACTCCAAATCACTTTTTCTTTCCCCCAAATATCATGTTTCATAAACATATAATTATCAAGCAAATCACTTGTTCAGGTTACTGATTAAAGGCTTAAGAAGCCACAGGAATGCAGGGAGAGCTGGGGAGTTCATGGAGGAGGCAAGGTGGTGGTTCTCCTTTGCCTTCTCAGAGCATTAGCTCCTGGCTCCACTAATTTGACAACTCATCATGTGCTGCTTTCTGAAATGTCTTGCGTTGGTATCTTGGGCAGTCATTTCTACCTTGCAGTATTAATTAACTATTCCTATCTTGTCTTCCTTCCCCAGGAGGTTATCAGTACCCAAAGACTTGAGCACAAGTCTTTGGAATTTAAATCCAACGTCCCGTCCATCAGAGTAAATGCCATCCAAGGGCCAGAGTTTAGTGCTTGGGTTTCTTGAAAATATTTGGGATCTTTTTACGGCCATCAATATTAGTATAATACCACCTTACATTTGTGCTGTAATTCCTGTGAGAAAGATTGGCTTTAGCCTTGACTCTGCCACTAATTTACTTTGTGATCTTAGATAAGTTACTTCTCTTTTAAGGGTATCAATTTCTGGATTTGTAAGTGATCAATTTGATGTTCATGGTCTATAAGTCCCTTTCTAGTAGCAGCCTTGCATTTTTCTGGTAAATTTCTTGATCTAGGGGCATGCAGAAGTAGAAAAATTGGGAGGATCTCACGCTTGCAGATTACAAGGGTTGCACTGTCCATAGAGGATTTGAAAACAATAATAAAACTAACTGAAATCCCTCCCTTTTTTCAGAGTCTTGACAATGTAAGAAATAAAAACTTATCTCCATTAGGGCAGATAGCCTCCCTCCCTGATTTTGGTAGGTCATTGCCTTATTCACAACTGCACACTGCTGTTACAGTAGACATTGCTATGCCATCTTATAAACAAAAGGGTTGAGGATACAAAGGAGGTAAGTGTTAGAAGCCATGTTGTCCAGACATAGCTGAGGGTTGGGTTTAAATTCCTATTTCTCAGTCCAGGAGTCTCTCCTTCAAGTAATATCCTTTGTGAGCTGATCAATCCTACTAATGACAATGGACTTTGCCAGGACAGACAGGAAAATCTCCTGGCCTAGAAAACAGCATTTCCTGGCTCTATCAATAGAAAAGTCTAGTGGTACAGTCCAGTTTTATGATTTCTAAAGGCCACTTGAGAATAATCTTAGTGCAAAGTCTCTGTGTTCCATCAGTTAGAAAATATCAAATAGGCCGGGCGCGGTGGCTCACGCCTGTAATCCCAGCACTTTGGGAGGCCGAGGCGGGCGGATCACGAGGTCAGGAGATCGAGACCATCCTGGCTAACACGGTGAAACCCCGTCTCTACTAAAAATACAAAAAAATTAGCCGGGCGAGGTGGCGGGCGCCTGTAGTCCCAGCTACTCGGGAGGCTGAGGCAGGAGAATGGCGTGAACCCCAGGGGGCGGAGCCTGCAGTGAGCCGAGATTGCGCCACTGCACTCCAGCCTGGGCGACAGCAAGACTCCGTCTCAAAAAAAAAAAAAAAAAAAAAAAAGAAAATATCAAATAGTTAACTAGGCTTTTAGAGACAAAAGATATGAGCTCAAATTCCAACAAACCTGGCACACATACATCAACCAACCCTGGGCAACCTCTGTAAAATGGGGATAATATTACTTTGACAGAAGCATTGCTGGAAAGAGTGAATAGATAATTTCATTAAATCGCTAGTTCAGTGTCTGGCCGACAATAATAAATGCTAGTTTTCTGTTTCTGATGCCACGGTTAAAATTAACAGCCAGCTCAGTCCAAGTATTAAAGTAAACAGTGGGTGAAGGATCCTTCTTGCCCCAGGGTTCAGAGAGTGAGAGCGTTACAGAGGGCCTTGGCCTCAACAGTTCTGTGCCTCCATAATTCAACCCGTGTGGGTAACTTTGTGTGTGGATACATGCTGTGCTGAGGCTTGCAGAGCATTGAGCTGGGAGCAAGACTGGGAGGGCCAGCTACAATTTTAGCTCCAGCTTGGAATTTCCTGGTTTCGGGGGGTCTGGAGTCCGAACCTCCTCTGGTGCTGGTGCTGCTTTTGCTGCCAGAACCAGGCGGTAGACACAGTTTATTTCCACCCGACCGCCCAGGGTGAGGCAGGAGCCCTCCTCCTGGGCCCTCCAGCACTCAGTGCTGGCCTGGCCACCTGGGCAAGCTCCAGCAGCTCCTTCCTGTGCAAATGCATGTGGGCTCAAATAATCATATTGCTCAGTCAGGCCTGGGAGGAGAATTGTTTGTCTCTGCCGGGGGAAGAGGAGGCAGGGCTCATACCTTCCCTAATAAAAGGTTAATTATCCTGTCCTGCATCTGAAATCTAGTTAAATAAATTGTGGCTTCCTTGAACCTCGATTTTTACTTGAATAGAAAAGGCCTTACAGGTCCTGAATGACTTATGGTCTCCGCGTTGCAAGAAATAGAATCCACATCAGGCTGATGGAAGCAAATAGAAAGATGTAGTTTATGAAGTATATAGTAGATATCTCACAGGAGTGGAAAGAAAAAAAAAGCTGAACTGCCAGGCTTTGAGAAAGACAGAAACCAGGACATCTTCAGGGATGTCAGTGGCAGGTACTCATGGAAAGTCTCAAAGATTTCCTCCAGAAATACTTTGTTCCAATGATTTATAAATTTTTATACTTTGCTCAAGATTCACATTCCCCCAAAGAGGGAGTCCAATTGGTCAGAGTAAAGAAAAGAGCCCTTGATTGACAGCTCTGTCAACTTTGCATGTCCTGAAATTGACTTGATTGGTTCTTGTTCTGATGATCAAACTCATGGAACCAATTCATAGTAATTAAACTCATAAACAATAGATGTATAAACCAGAGAACATTGAATCAATTTTCAGAGTTGCCTCTACCTTTAGGGTGTAAAAGTTACTTCTGCTTTTTATCAAGTATCTTCTCCACTTCTTTCATGGTGTTAACATGCAGGAAAGACTGAATCAGGTATTAAAAAGCTGTTCAATGAATGTAGGGATAGGCGATCTTGAGGGGTACTTTTATTCATTCTGGGGAATAATTCCGACCATCTTGTTTCTTTGTTCCATTTTCTTCTAGTTCCATTCATATTACAGCTCACTGGTAGCCATCCCTTTGGCAGACATGACATGATACCAGTAGGTCTGAATCCCTTGCCTTGAGGGGTCACCAAGGCTATCCCAATGGGACTCACCGTGTATTACTTTCACTCTAAGATAGTGGTTCTGTCTTTCCCTGTAACTGGAAAATGTCTTCTTTAACACAGTTTTTCTTTCCACAGCTAATGCTGTGCATAGAGACATCTGTGTGGTTGTTGGAAGCCTTCAAGGAGGGTTGTAGAAACTATTTGTAGCAGATATGTTACTGAGAGAGAGTGGAGAACAATATGTCATCGCACAAAAAAGAAAGCGCATTATTGTTATAGGATTTTACTGAGTTGTCTTAGTAAATCACACCCCACACCCCATCCCATGTCAAACGAACACAAAAACAAAGTAAAAAGATCGCTTACCAGACCATTCTTCTTGAACACATGTCAAATACAACAATTAAAAATGAGTGTTCTTCAAAAGGCATGAAAGACACTGTTCTGGGCTAGTATGTGTATTTTGAAATTCTACTTGGTTGTGTGAGCCAGTTGGATCCTTACATACCACAGCCTGCAAAAATTTTGCTTATTCAGATTGGGATTGCTTCAAGAATTGCAAGACTATTAAAGACACATTGATAATATGTAAAAGAGACATTTATGCAGGTTGTTAAGTTAAATAGGAAACATAAGGCCTTGGGCTGTGTCTGGTTCTGCATGATGCCAGGAGAGTAGATATTTCCAAATATAGACAGATTGTGTGACACTTTAAATCATGTTGAATTACATAACATCTCCTCTGTAAATCAGAGTTCAGACTTCCAGCATTTCCAAACATCTGGAATACTGCACAGGTAAATCATTTAGTAAATAGAGAGACAGACAAATAGATGGATACAGATAGAAGCACATCAAGTGATAAAGTATCCACAAATCAGCAGTAGGACATTTACCTCTGGTGGGGTGGCATATCCATACAGAATGAAGAAATGAAATGTAGATGGGAAATCCAGTTATGAGAATGCTGTTAAGATAACTGTGTCCTAGGAACAAAAGTAATCTCTCTAGGGAGGTCTCAAGAGGTTAATCTAAGAAAGACTATGTTGCGTGCTTGAAGTTCTGGACACCCACCGCTCTTTGCCCCACCTTCATGGTCTTGATAGTTTTCTGTTCTGTTGTCTGAGGCCCAAGGCAATGGATCACAGTTATAGTCACAAGTTCAAGGGGGTATCTGTTGTGCTGTGACACAGAAGGATTGGGAACAGGCTAAGTCTTACTCATATGCTATGGCTGGAATATTTATGTTCCTTCAAAACTCATGTTAAAACTTAATCCCCAATGCAACAATTTTAAAAGGTGGGATCTATAGGAAGTGATTAGGCCACAAGGCCTCTGTGCTCTTGAATTAATTAGTGCATCGTAAAGGGCTTGGGAAGTCAAGTCTGCTCATTTTGTCCCTTTTTAGGAGATAGAATTCATCCGCTCCAGAGGATGCAGAAACAAGTGTCCATCTTGGAAGCAGAGAACAGCCCTCACCAGACACTGAACCTCTGGGTAATTTGGTTGTGGACTTCCCAGACTCCAGAACTGTGAGAAGTAAGTTTATGTTGTTGATAAACTACCAAGTCTCAAGCATTTTGTTATAGCAGCACAAAAAGATTTAGACACTCATATCTTGGGGACTTCAATGTGTTTCAGAGTGTCTTACACTGAGGGAGACAAGCCAGCCCATATGGGTAATCTGGGATGTGTCGTGGCAAATTTAATCCTTTATCTAGTGGGAAAATTTACTATTCTAACTGCACATTTGAGGCCTGGTGCATATCTAAAGGTGCCAGAGGAATAATTCAAAGATGCGAAAGCCAAGCTTCCTTAAGTGCAAAGAAAAATAGTAAGTGATACAGATGCCCACAAAGGGATCCCTTTGGGAAAAGGGATAATAAGATGGTACTCTGATGAGAGCCCCGTATATTTTTCTGGAGAGGATCTGCTGCTATTCATTTATTAGAAATGTTATTCTTGACAAAAAAGGTGGCAGTAAGAATAGGGCTGCAGCAACATCCCTGGAAATTGTATAAATGGTTGGTAAAGAAACAACTTCCTGGTCCCCAAGTACAGGCCAGAGAATGCCCAGGGGAGCATCAACACAAGTCTGATGAAAGCACCGCAGCTGAATGGAATAATCAGAATAGTTCTGGAGAGTGAGTCAAGTGTATAGAAATGTAAAATTTGAAAACAAAGTAAAAGCGAAAAATGTGAGAAAATGAAAAATTGTTGGGACATTTGAGGGAAAGTGGAATTTAGGGCGATGAATTGGTGGAGGAGAGTGAATCAGAAATATAGCCATGTAGAGCAAATGTGATAAAGGTCTGCTTTTATGGGAGCTTAGTTTTGGGGGCTTGGTTGCATCTCTCATCCTATCATTTAGAGCTAAGGAGCCAAGTAGGAGGTATAGAAGATAGGAGTCAGTATGTGAGCAACAGCTGCAACCAGGTGGGAAGATGAGTGTATGTTCAAGTCGTGGAGTGCTTGGTTCTGGTGTGTTCAAGGGTTCAGTTATCATGGCTGGGTTGAGGGTTTGACTTTTCTGTGTGTGGATGACAGAGGCTACCATCTTAGCTCTCTTCTTTACCTCCAAGAGGTCAATGAGGCCCAAGAGTGACTTCAAGTTATCCCATTGCTGAGAATAGACTCTGGGCTGATACAGAAGCAGCTGCCTGTATGATAAACTAAGATTGGTTTTGCAATTAATGCTATGAAAGAATGGACTTGCCCCTTTCTGTTTGGCATGAATTTACTTACTGGTGAGACAACATGCATTATCTCTTAGGTGTCCAAAGACAAGGTTTTCTGCACTGTCCTGTTGCAATTTAGCACTATTAAGGAATAGTCTTTTCATAGCCATGGACTTAGTAGAGCAGAAACTTCTCCAGTGTCACTTGACTCAAGCCCCTGGAACTGGAGAATAATGTTCTTTTTTCCTTCATTACCTCATGATGTACACATGATACAGGTGAAGGGTAACTATGGACCAAAAAGGGAGATGTTTGACAACTTGAAAGACACTGTTCAACATGGGCATGTCTGTAAAGAGCTTACAAGACATAGGGAATTGGTTTCTCTGGCCGCAATGATGCATGTTTTGTGAGAGATAACCACATAGCTATCACTTCATCTATGTGAGAAAGAGAAAGACTGGAAACACTTTTCAAGATTACTGGTTTTTTTCAGAAAGCAAGAGCTAAGATAGAGAGGGAAAATAAGTTTTATCTCCCATAGAAAAACATTTGGATTCATATGGAGGTGGAGGAATGAAGGGAAGGAGATTATTCTATGATTCATTAGTGTTGTCTGGTATGAATATATAAATAAGGAGTTGCATATATCTCTTCTACATGACATGGGTGTCCTCTGGTCATGTGGTCCTTAGGTCCCATTAAATCTGATAACCACTCTGAAGAGTTTTAATCCTTAAGAAAATTTATATAAAAGAAAGAAAAGTCCTGAATGCATCCTAAGGACATACTAAGTACTGGTTATGGAAGAAGGTATGTTCAATGATCTCTTTTGTAGGACAAGGATAGATCTATTCATTTTTAGAAAAAAATCTGTTGGGTAAAATTGGAAATAGGGAATTGGGGGCTGAGAGTGATAAAGGAGGTAGACTAATAATTCTGTAGGAAATAATGGCTCGGCTATAAAGAAAATGAGATAAAATATATCTCTTGGCTATGAAACCTTATCCTATCACTTTAGGGGTAGGGAGCTGAGAATTGGGCAAGAAGGATGGGACCAGAGAGCAGCCCTAAGGTTCCCTTAGGATGGGAACCTAAGTGGTGTGTTTTAGTGCAGTTTTGTTCTTGATTCTGGTGTGCTCAAATGTTAGGTTATTGTGGATGGGGTAAAGTTCTGAATCTTCTGCGCATGCATGATGTGGGAGGCGGGCAGTTCCTTTATGTCAGTGAGGCATGAAATCTGAACCCCAAGAAATATTCTTTGAGAAAATGTTCAGTGAGAATCCTAGGAATTTTTTATATATACCAACATATACATACCAAACAGATTTAGCTGTTTGAATCTTAAGTTCTGTATAGTGAAATGTCCTTAGTTAACATTTCCACTCAAATTGTTTCACTGAGAAACTTTTTTTCTTTCACATAAAACCATAGAATGGGTGTTATGCAGGAAATCTTACCAGAAACTCTGATATAGGCAAATATCATGCCACCCTGCTAAGTAAAATAAAGTTGTCTTATTGTATGTACTATGCCTACCAACTCTATCTCTCTGGGACAGATTCTGGATGGAAGACATGAGCACTTATATTTTCCATCAGCAAAAGCCTACAATTATTTGTATTATTTGTTAATCTAATTTTAGTGGAAATGCTTATTTTGTGAGATAAGGAACTTCAGCTAATCAGAGTACTTGGTGCCTGGAGGATGGTGCTGGGGGTGTCTTACTAATCAAACACATCTGTGTTGAGAAGAGTTTTTCACTTTCCATTGCAAAGCTTGGTGTTTCATCCACACACTCAGAATCGCTCTTATGAAATTGATCTGCTCTTTTCCTTCCTGTTTTTCCAACTTCCTCAGCACCAGAGCCAGCAAGGGGCAAAGTGTGGCACACGGAGTTAGAAGGAGGGGGCCTCGTCCTCACAGATGTTGACGTTAAGGAGCGCCCACCCCAGCATTTTATTCCAGAGCCGTTTCTGTGGGTTAATGAAGATGTAAGCTCCCAGCCTCAGCCACACTATGTAAAAGAACTACTTATTGCCTGTTCCATCTCACTGACTTTTATGGTGATACTTAAACCAAAATGGTGAACTATTACACTTCATAGCCTGCAAATAAAAGCAGGATGTTAAAAAGTAGGGGCCATAACCCCTGATAGGGCTGAAATGGCTTGTAATCTTGAGACGACTTTGTTCAGCTCCCCTGGGCCAGGGCCCAGAGCACTGTGTTAGACCCAGACAATGAATCCCCGGAGTCTCTTGGCCCAGCCTGTGAGCCTGTGTGGAGCTCAGCAAGCCTTGGTAACGGCATAGTGATGAGCATGAAGCAGTGTTCAACGAAAGATGGCTGGGGATGGGGTAGGGTTGGGAAACAGAGAAGCAAAACATGGCACCTTTTTACAACATGGTGTGTGTGGGTGAAACCCTGTTTTCCAAGCCTTATTGGAAAGACCCCCCTGCCCAGAGACCACTTTTCCTCTACGTCAGTTGTGGCCCTCAAAATCTCTTCTTCTCTATTGGTAGGAGCTGAAAGGCTACTCAGAGCCACGGCAACAGACCCAGAATGTGCATCAGGGAAAGGGCAATCCACGCTGCATTAAATACTGTACTTTTCAATGATCCTATTCATTTAAACTGGAGTTGATGTTGCTTGCCTATTTGTGTGAAAATTATGTGAGCATATTGCAAAAATTCAAATAGTGTTTGTCTTAGTTTTGGGTTCTCCCAAAAGCAGATACTGGGATAAGGGACCTGATGTAACAATTTATCTGGGAGGTAATCCCAGGGCACTTGGTGAGGGAATGGGAAGTGAGGCAGGGAACATAAATAGCATAAATAGCAACCGGTGCACAAGGAGAGGGACACTTCTGGGGGCAACCGGTGCTGTATCCCACTGGGGCCCCTGAGAGACTGTGAAGAGGACACGCTGGGAAGAGGACACACTGAGAGGTCAGAGAATGTATCCATAACGGCTGTCCCTCATTGGTTAAGGTTTGTTTCCAAGCACTGCTGATCTGCCCCAAGCCTGCACAGCAAGATAAATCTATCTATCTATCTATCTATCTATCTATCTATCTATCTATCTATCTATCATCTATCTCTATATCTATCTATCTATCTATCTATCTATCTATCTATCTATCTATCTAGAGATAATAGGGGGTAGGGAGACACAGAGATCAAGCGAGCGAGGGAGAGAGAGAGAGAGAAAGAGACTAAAGTTATGCAGGGCTTGAGGGCAGAAGCCACATTCATGTATATAAAGTCCTATATTGTATATAGGAAATGTAGACAAGGCTGTAGAGAACCTTAGGGGTGGGCTGAGGGAATATGGGCAGGGAGGGGACAGCATCTGCTATGACGCTAAATAATAAAGTAAAAAAAAAAAATGGAGTTCTGTCAAAAAATTCAAATCCAATTTTCCAGTGTTAACTACATGTAACAGTTTCTGATGTATCTTATTGTGGAAATTTTCTCTTTCTCTGTATATATGTTAGTGTGTGTGTATTTTATCTGTGTGTATGTATCTATATATCTGTAACTTTGTTTTCAAAATATAAATAGGCACCTACCTCATTCTTTGTGATAGTTACAGTGTATTCCATAGAAAGAATATACCATAATTTATTATGTGGAATATTTTAATAAACTAGGATAAAAATAATACAAAATTAGTAAAAATTAAAAATTATAATTCATAAAATATATAATAAAATATAATTTAATATATTTATATTTGCAGATTTTTTTCTAGTACATAGCAGTTTAGAGCTCAGTCACTGATATTAGCTAAATTGGGTTATTCTCATTCATTTGCTACTTATATGCTATGAAATCCAGGAAAAGTCACAAAATTCTCCAAGCCTTACTCTTCTTATTTGCAGAATTCAAGGACACAGATTATCTACCTGAAAGGTTTGTGGAGGGGTTCAAATTCAATCATTTGTGAAAAGAGCTCAGCATGTCAGAAATGCTCAATAAACATGACCTGTTAGTATTCTGTTCCCCAAACAGAAAATAAAAATCCTGTCAGGCTGTGCATCTTAAAGCAAACAGGAAAAGGAATCAGTCATCATAACCACACAAGCTGTGCTTGAGTTTTAAAGAGTACTTGACTGCATGTTCTTTACATTATCGAAGCACTGATTATATGCTAGAACAGTAGCAGGTGCTATTAGATATGGTATTTTAGCCAATTCATACAGAAGTTGATAACTGTCTTCAGTTCCTTCTGTGTACAGTTCTTTCTGTGTACTGTTGATGCTCCTTGCATTGAGAAGTTGAGTTTAATTCCCTTTCTCTTATATCTGGACTGGTCCTAGAGATCTTGACCAATAGAATGGTAAAGTTAACTTTCTGGGGCTCCCAAATCTATGTTATAAGAAACTTCAGGCCAGGCGTGGTGGCTCACGGCTATAATCCCAGCACTTTGGGAGGCCGAAGCGGGTGGATCATGAGGTCAGGAGATCAAGACCATCCTGGCCAAATTGGTGAAACCCTGTCTCTACTAAAAATACAAAAATTAGCTGGGCATGGTGGTGTGCACCTTTAGTTCCAGCTACCTGAGAGGCTGAGGCGGGAGAATTGCCTGAACCCAGGAGGCAGAGGTTACAGTGAGCCGAGATCACGCCATTGGGGACAGAGTGAGACTCTGTCAAAAAGAAAGAAAGAAAAAGAAAGAAAGAGAGAAAGAGAGAGAGAGAAGGAAAGAAAGAAAGAAAGAGAGAAAAAGAGAGAAGGAAAGAAAGAGAGAGAGAGAAGGAAAGAAAGAAAGAGAGAGAAGGAAAGAAAGAAAGAGAAAGAAAGAGAGAGAGAGAGAGACTTCAGAGACTCATCTGGGTCCATTGGAACTCTCACTCTAGGGAAAAGCAACCATCATGGGAGAAGTCTGACTATGCTGGACTGGCCATGCTTTAGGGGAGCCAAGCTAGCCACAGGGAAAGGCTGCTGAGAGAGAAAGATGCCCCACGAGCACCCAGACATTTCAGTCACTTCAGTCCCCTCAGACAAGGCATCAGACAGTTAAGAAGCCTTTCAGATAATTCCAGCCCCATTCATTGTGACTGCACCAGAGACCCAAAGCAAAAACTACTAAGTTGAGGCCAAGCACCGTAACTGTGTGAGAAAATGATAAAGTTCAGGCGTGCTTTGTTACAAAGCAATAGATCAGTGGAATTGGCACACAGACCAAAACGCAAAAGAAGGGCACCCAGGCTCTGCTTACCTCATCATCATCATTTTTCCATTTCCTTTTATGCATCTCTTGTGCAACAGTTTTTATTGCAATCTAGAAAATATCTATCTTCAATAATGCCAATTAGTGGTTTTATAAAGAATAGGAAAGTATTTCCCCATATGTTAATGCAGAAACTTCAAGTTCTATGATAATGTTTTGTTTAGAGAATTTTATGCAGATTAAACAATGCTGTTTATATATTTTAAGGGATGTATATATGAAAGTTCTTGTAACTAATGCGTTTGTATTGTTTTTGGCAATAAAATCTTATAACAAAGGAATGTTTTTAAATACCCAATTTTGAAACACTCTCCATAGCCTGCTCCATTTACATAGCAGATATTTGTTCCACATTTTTAAAATGTCACCTTAATCTTGAAGTGAGAGATTATATTTATTATTATTTACTATTATTAGCATCATTGCTACTATTACCATTTAATTATCTGCCAGATGACATTATACTGAAAGACACTCCCATGGCAGAAAGTAATTTCAATAAACTTGGAATACTTGTCATTTTTTTTTTGAGACAGAGTCTTGCACTGTCTCCCAGGCTGGAGTGCAGTAGAGTGATCTTGGCTCACTGAAACCTTTGCCTCCCGTGTTCAAATGATTCTCCTGCCTCAGCCTCCTGAATAGCTGGGATTACAGGTGCCCACCACCATGCCCAGCTAATTTTTTGTATTTTCAGTAGAGACGGGGTTTCACCATGTTGGCCAGGCTGGTCTCGAACTCCTGACCTCGTGATTCGCCCGCCTCAGCCTCCCAAAGTGCTGGGATTACAGGCGTGAGCCACTGCGCCAGGCCATACTTGTCATTTTATAAAAGAAAAATAGATAACTTCAAATCTGGCAGCTCTTTTAAATTCTTGTTTACATTAAACAAATAATTTTAATGTCGCTCTACCTCCTTATAAAGGTAAATATTCTCTTACATTTTAAAGATCTTCTCTTATAAAATTAAGCCTGTTGATGACAACATATAATTATTTTTGTGCATTTATAGCTTCGAAAATTTTTTTTGTCTATCGACATGATAATGCAATTTGAATTTTATGTCCAAAGCGATCTTTGTAATCTGACTTGGACATTTTTAAAAAGTAAATTCCAGTCAGTCAGCCACTGTATTGATAGATCCACTTCCAGTTATTTGATAAAATATTGCTTTCATAATGAAGTTATTTATTGCTAAAATATTTCTTCCCCATTACATGTACTCTATAGTATAAAATAAAAAACTATTCTGCATTTCAAGTGGCAAATACCATAAGGAAAGAAATGTTAGAAGCATCCATACTTGCACCCAACTGGATAGCAAACCTCACACACCAAATAATTTCTTTTAGCAGTTGACTCATCAAATCTTCAGCAAGGTTTTTCTCTGTATCTTCAGACAGAATCTGCTAACAAAGGAATGCATTTTTATTTGTCACCATATTGTTTTCAGTGTCTTATTTTAGCTGTTTTTTCTCATGGTTGGAAGATTGAATATTTCCCCAGTGATTTTTTTTCTTTTCTGGCTTTGCTAATAAGCAATAAAACTCAAAATAAGCTTCTACACATTTAACAATAAGTTTAGTAAAATTTCATCAAGTAGTACTTCATTAAGTATTGCATGACTTTAAACATGGCTGAAAAAATATAGTCCCGTTTTCATGCTCTGGATCCTTAATTTTCAAATGCCTTAAAAATTGTGCCCAATTGTGCTAGCTTTATTGGCTATTTTGCAGGTGACAGATGAGAAGGGAGTAACACTGAGTTTAGTGAGGACAGGAGGAGGCAGGTGCAATAATTCAAGGAGAGCTCAGAAGATTAAAGGTGGGCAAGAGTTTTAGGGATAAAAAGAGAGGGATGGGTTTGAGAGAGGAAACTGAATAGTTCCTGATATTGTTACGTAAATTCTATTTGATAATAATCATAATCACTGTCATCCTACACAAGGCATTTTGAAATTATAAAAAATAAACAGGGAAAAGCAATGGAAATCTTTATTCACTTCGGGATTATAAAGAGCAAAACAAATAGGAAAAGGATATTAATTTTCTTACTGAGGTCTTTTTAGAGAAAGACAGAGTGGGACAAGCTGCAAAATATACAGAAAAAGCTTTTAAAATTCTGTTACCTAGCTGGGTGCAGTGGCTTGTGCCAGTAATCCCAGCACTTTGGGAGGCCGAAGCAGGCGGATCACTTGAAGTCAGGAGTTCAAGACCAGCCTGGCCAACAATACAAAAGAATTAGCTGGGCATGGTGGCAGGCACCTGTAATCCCAGCTATTCAGGAGGCTGAGGCAGGAGAATTGCTTGTACCTGAGAGGTGGAGGCTGCCATGTGCTGAGATCCTGCCACTGTGCTCCAGCCTGGGCGACAGCAAGACTCCGTCAAAAAACAAACAAAAAAATCTGTTTCCCTATAACCATCATTTTCAGTATTTTCTATATCCTTGGCAGTTTCTCTTTCAGGATTTTTCTCCTCTTTCTGAACTCCTCAAACAAGGAAACACTTAATACTAATGGTCTTTTGTCCTGCAGGGTCCTCCTTGTGCTGTATCATTGGTTCACTGTCCCCTCACCTCTGGATTTCCCTTCTTATATCAATGGATACCCTGCTGTCCTTAGGAGAATGTTCTCTTCCCCTGATCTTCAAAACAGGAGCCAGGAAGGAGAGCGCCAGGGGCTGGGGGAGCTGTGAAGGGAAGTGACAACTCCAGATTTCTTTGAAAGAGCAGGTGAAGAGGCTGAGAATACTTAGGTTTTATTTTCCTTTGCCTTATTATAAACAACCTGCATACATAAAGGTTGTAACTTTGATTCTTATCACAGAAGGAGCCTCTGATTTCAGTCTTAGACAAGGTATGTAAAAAAACGGGGGTTGTGGAGGGCATTGTCCTTGGATGTGGGAATGGAGCCAATGATTGTGTCTGAGAATTTCCATCATTTAGGTTTCTGGGGCTGAAAAAAGTGCTTGAGGAATGAATGTAACCAAAATGCTTCTCCCTCTTCTCTCTCTTCTTTTAAAAAAATATGAAGGGAGAGGATTATTATGGCCAGGGGAAGGAGGAGGATCCCAGGAGATGTGGGTTGATACTGTGAGTTGTTTATCTTTCTTCTCCCACTCTGGGTCATCAACTCTTAGTGATCAGAGATGACATTCGTTCATCTTCATATTCTTGGTGTCCAGCAGTAGCCATGCTTAAAAATAAAAGATTCTCCCTTATAAATTTTTTTCACTTTCAAAATTATCTGTATGTTTTATAGATATAGAAATCTATAAAATTTTCTATATTTTCTATTGTTTGCTGTAAATGAACGTGTGGATATGAGAAGGAGGAGATATCTGAGTGAACTCTTCCAAGCAGAGATGACTCGGTATGCCATCCACCCATGTTTGTTAAGTTTCCTATTCCTTCCTCATGTATCTTGGTTGCTTTGGCAAAATCCAAATTGCCCAGGATCCTGGCTGCTCCATCCCATCCCATTGACTTATAGCCAGAAGGAACACAGTCTCATTTCTTAACAACCCTTCCTGCATGCCCCTCCGACACACATTCACTCTGTCCCATCTACCCATTCATCCTCACTCTTTTTCTACCTAATGTACACTTTCATCTATTAGCTAGAGTTTTGCTAAGCTTCCTCCTTATTTCTGATCCATGTCCCCTCCCTTCCTTCCTCTCTCTCTATTTCTTTTCAGGTTAATTTATCTGATTATATGCAACATGCTGCAGCCATGTTAAGACACCAACTGAGTTTCCACTTGGAGGCTTGGAGGAAAGATTACCATTAAAACGTGACTTCCATCCACTCAGCTGAAATTACTATTGATTGCCAAAGAAAAATATTTGTGCTGTGAAGCTGGGAGCTATGATGTTGAACCATATTAACATAATGTTAGCATAGCTACGGGTGTTTAGTAGCATGCAATCAGATTTGAAATGAACGTTGATTATAGATGGAGATTAATGTTCACATATTCATAGGAACACAATGAGAAGAGCAATTTCCTTTCTACTACAGATCAATGGTTTCCCCATTCAATTATACAGCTGTAATAATTGCATTATGCTGAAATATTTCTTAATGGCTAATTTCTTTCCTTTTGTGTGTGTGTGTATGAGCTCTTTTGTCAGTGATAGCTTCTGCAGCCCGAGGACAGCATAAGATGTTTTAATCACTGGTGCCATTTTGCAAGCTTTGACCAAGCCAGTAATTTCCCCTCTTTCCCCCTTTTTTGCCAGTCTCTCTTATTATCACCCAGAATTGCTTCCTGGATGATTGAAATCTAGAGACTTGCCTCAAGTCTTTTCCTTCCCTGTTCAGAGAGTGAAGACAAAACTGGAAACCTACAGGATCATGGGTTGCTCAATCTGTTTTTGCACATTTGCTGAAGATTCTTTGAAGGAAAAAGAGATGAAGATCCTCAAATATTATGCATAGGATGCCCATCCCCCAAATGACTCTTATTTAATATAAATATATACATATACATAGATATTAATTTGGAGACCATTCACTGATTAAAAAGCAGACAAAATACCTAGTGTCTTCTCCAATACTCCAAGCAGACCTCTGAGGGCTGATAGGATGTCAAAGTTTATATTTAATGAATGTAGTTACTGTAGTGAAGATAATATAAATGAATGTAAATCAAAAAATATATATTTATAAATGTATAATATATAGATATAAATTCATAACAAATATTAATTTATAACTTATAAATATAAGTTTACAATATATAAATGTATAAATATAAAGGTTATTAAAAATATTAAGAGACTGTAAGCTCTCCTCTGTTTCTAAAGACAATGACGTTTTCCTGCTTACCTGGCTGTGTCTCAGAGGAAGTCTGGCTAGCATTTTCTTCTTTAGATGAGCACTTTCTTATAGATGAATTATAATATTCCTGTCTCATGCCTTTCTCAGCTGTCCATGGGTGAAGACTGGGCTTTCTCAAATCTGATTTCTTTCATCCTTGTGCATCGAGGCTTGTTCATAACTTAGTTGAACAGAGTGAGTCACAATAGAAAGCAAGCTAAATGTGAAGCTCTTCCTCTAAACAGAGGTCCCAAGGGCACTGTTTACTGTGTGCCTTCTGGCAAGTCATTGACAATTCACAGCCTCAACCTTTCCAGCTAGAAAGTTGAAAACTGATCTCCTAACTCACAAGGTCATGGTGAAGAAGGAGGAAAAAGAACTTGAGCTAGAATAAGTGTAACAGAGTTGTTGGTGTCAGTGGCCGGCACCGCATCCCTCAGGCCACCTACACACTCAGCTGCAGCTGTGGAGTCCGGTTCATGAGACTCATGCTGACGGCACCTATTTCATGCATTTGCTAAGCTTCTTTCTGCTTTTTGACTCAAAGTCTTTTTCAGATTCTCTGGAGTCTACTCAGCCCTCTTCAGACACATCCTGAAAGTGGAAGAGAATTAACACCCTTACGAGCACATTCAACCAGGCAGGGACTGACGCTGGTGGTAGTAACTGCCCTGGTCTCTAAGAGATCCTGCAGAGTTAAGACCTGAAACCACAGCAAGCACCCTTATGCTGGTGTTTCCTACCTTCTTGCCTTGCTCTCCCAGCTCCTTCACTCCTGCCTCCTGAGATCACCCCCCACAAAAACTACCTACACTCAAGCTCTTTCTGAGTCTGTTTCCTGGAGAACCCAAACTAAGGCAGTAAGTTTGGAGATTTACCAAATCCTTTGGAAACAGTATGACCTGGCTTAAATCCCATCCTGATTGCTCATCTGTCATGTGATCACAGGCAAGTGACTTCCCATCCCTGAGCCTCTGTTTTCTCATCTGTAAAATGGGAATCATAATAGGATAGACCTCAAAGCATTATAAAAATTGAATGAGATCTTGCAGGCAAGCACTCAATCTTATTTTCTATCATTAGTATTTTCATTAAAAGTGTCAAGCACAACATAGACACTCAGTGAACCATAACTTCCTTTCTGTCTTTTATGCCTGAAACAAAATGTATCTGGGAGCAGCAAACACAATCAATATGTTCATTTTCCCACATATACAATATTATTTTCTGCTGGCTTGCTATACACAAAGAAGCCATGTGTGGGATATAGTTTTCTTGGTCAAGGGTGTTACAAAGTCTTGGCTGTCAATTCTATTCTCTAGAGTATTTTTCAAACATGTCCCCAGGGAAAGATAGAATTTTGTGCTTCCTGTGCTGTCTCAGTGGGGTACAAGCTGCACAAAAGAAAAACACTTCTGTTACCCAATGAAGGACAGGATATAAGAATAATATGTAGCTTACATATTTTAAAATCCTTTATTGGCAGGGAAGGCATGTGAATCTGGAGAACTTGTCCAGAGCAGGAAAACTGTAATTGCGTCAGCCTGAGATGCAATGTGTCATACTAGGTAGGAACCAGTGGCCCCAAGGAAAGATGTTTCTTTTCTGTGGCCCCACCAAAAGCCACTATTAAGTTTTTTTTTGGTTTCTCATTCCGTCACTCAAAAATAATGTCTTGGGTGCCTACTATGTGCTAAACAATAAGCTCATTGCTGGAGACAGAATCTTGAGCAAATAGACTGAGTTCCTGGTTCTTAAGGTTTTTATGATCTCGAGAAGATCTACTAAACAATCACATGAACATTTAGGAAATTGCAATTCTGGTGATAAGAAGGAGAAATTCATTTAAGAGAAGGGAGAGCTCCAGAAGACAGAGACCATGAAGGATTGATGCATAAACCTACACCTGGAAGAAGAACAGGAGTTAACTTACCTGGGCAAGTAGCCTGGGAAGATGAAGAGATCTTTCCAGTTGGAAGGAAGGATGTACATCTCTTGTTATATTCTATTTCCTTGTCACCCTTTATTTTATCTTTATAGTACTGTTGGCCACCTTACAAATTATAAGGTTGTTCTATTTTTTTTGTCTCTGCTTCCCCACCTCCATTAGAATTTAAAGTTCTTTAGGGCAGAGGCTTTGCCTCTATTGATACCTCTCCAATTCCAATATACAAATAAATGTGCAATTCCCTAGGTATTGAGGGAAACTGACAAACAGCACACAAAGCTGTGCTTTCCTAAACTACACACCCTTTCTCATGGGACCTCTGCTCTTGGGTAGTTGGACATTAGATCCCTTTTCTCAGGTTTAATGCAGTCAGTGGGTTCATATATTTAGCGGAGATGGCCTCTTTGGCATGGGCACAAATGTGTTATGATCAACTGCTGCAGAGGGATCATGATGATTAACCAGGATCCCATCTATCTCTAAGGGCCAATATATGCAACGGGGGTCCCTTCCCCTTGCCAGAGACTGGTCTAGAAGTAGATCTGTGATCTGTTTTTGTTGATACAAGCAAGAACTGATGGGGGTTCTAGAAAGGTTTTCTTACCCTTAAGAAGAACACATCAAAATAGACGGTCTTCTTTCTCTGAATGTGTTTACATCTGGATGTGAATTCTCAAACTACTTTGCACTGAGGGACATCATTTAAAGGCAAAGTTCATAATTTAAGATGGCAGAGCAGAGAAATGGAAAGAATTTGGGTCTCTGTTGAGGATTGAGCATTTGAATTAACTAAATACAGGGTCTCTCTATCTCTGGATTATTTATTGAGCTCCTTTGGGTTTTCTTTTACCTGCAGCTGCAGGTGTCCTTAAAACTCAACTTATCTGCAAGTGACATCTGACACAAGCTGGTGTTTTATCTCTTCCCTCTCTCTCTCCCTGCCTGACTCCCTCTCTCCCTCCTTCCTTTCCTTGCTTCTCCTTCCTTCCTTCCTTTCTTCCTTCCTTCTTTCCTTCTTTCCTTCCTTCTTTCCTTCCTTCCTTCCTTCCTTCCTTCCTTCCTTCCTTCCTTCCTTCCTCCCTCCCTCCCTCCCTCCCTCCCTCCCTCCCTCCCTCTTTGCTTCTCTCTCTCTCTTTATTGTTTGGATCAGGGTGCAGCACTATACTTACATTAGTGCTATGGCTGGCTCCCCAAAATGCACACACTCCCATGTGGTTCCTGAAGTACTTACACACACATTTAGTCCAGCCCTAATCCTCATTAGGCTGAGACTCCAACAAGTGTACATTTGTACTTCAGAGAATCTGTGTTCTAGGAGGTGCCAACCTCAGGATGGCTTTAGAGCTTAATCAAGTGAGCTTGGAATCAGATTGCTTCAGCTTCTTCAAGTATGAGCAGCATGGCTGTGGGCAAGGTATGGCATCTCTCATACCTCAGATTTTTATCTTGAAAATAGGAATAATGGCAATACCTAGCTCAAAGGGTTCATGTGAAATGTTAATCAATGTAAAGCACTTAGCACAGAGTCAAACACCAAGTAAGGACTCTAATTAAGTTCTTCCAGAGGAACTCAAGCAGAAATGTTCTCATTTCACCTCCTGCCCCTTTCTCTTTGCTCTCCTTTCTAGCCTTGGGCCCCTTTGAATCAGCTCAAATGAGTCTACCAAGGTTGTAACTTATGCCCTCATTCTTCTTTATCAGCACCAAAATGGAATCTATGTATGTGTAAATTAACAATTTAACTGTTTCCTCTCAATATCATCTAATAGCAAAATCTTTCTAATGGGCACCAGCTTTTGGTGAGTATGGATACAAAAAACTACATGCTCCATGTCAACTTTCAGACTAAAGCATAAGATTTCTCCAATTACATAATTATACACACATATGCATATACATATACTATATTATTGTATATATATGCACATATACAAATACATACATATACATAGTGTTTTATACATATGTGTATATATATGTAGTGTTATATAATGTGTGTGTGTATGTGTGCATGTGTGTGTTAGCCTTTCCTTTTAACAAGAATTGTTTAGATTTTATTCTTCATGAAACATCCAAAACAATAGCTAGTATTCTGCAATGGGGCATTGTCAGAAATTACTAAGGGAAAGGACTGAGAAGATAAAAGAGGAGAAGCAACAAATGAACAGGGTAGATACTCTAGATTAGCAAAAATACATAATGATATGCGCTACATTAAAAATAAAAAAATCAAAAAAATCAAAAAAGAGATCTCCACAATTTCCCAGACTTGCTTATTTGTTATCTGTGGTGATTTTTTCAGGAAAAGGATGTAAACTGAATACAAACCAGCCTCAGCCCTTGCCTCCACCATCTGCATTGATGTCTTGGGCCATGGATAGTGATTTCTAGAAACAAACCTTCCAAAACTAAAAAGTTAAGAGAAAGAATCACTTTTACTACAAACATTTTTAAAAATCAATAAATAAGTCAGTAGAGCAGAACATGTAAAAGCCTAACCTGGGAGTTGAACAGATCTGAGTTTGCTTCTAGATCCTGCTGTTTCCTCACTTTTTGTTCTTTGACAAGTTACTTAAATGTTCTGAGCCTCTGTGTCCACATCTGTAAAACAGGGATACTGCTAGTTCCTACTGTATTACTACTCATTGTGAAAAGTCAATGATGTGGACAACTGTGGCACATACTGCATAAGACCTAGTACTCTACCTGATCACCAAATGTGGTGCTCACTACTATTATTTCTGCTTTACAAATGAGGAAACTGAGGCACAGAGAAGTCAAGTAAACTCCAATTTCTATACCTGGTGAAAGATGGACCCCGAATTTGAAACTAGGCAGTCTGGCCCCAAGTTTATCTGCCTCACCATCAGGCTGTGTGAGTTCTGCAGTAAAGCATTAATGTAAGCGGGTGGGCTTTTGTTTTAACATAAAATTTTGAAGATCCAATGCTTCTTATGCAAGTTAGCCAAAAATTTCAGGAATGTCTTTGGCATTTTAGGCCTCTCACAATTCCACCCCAACCTCTCGTCACCATTCCTTCCCCAAATACACAGATGATGCCAAATGCGTCTTTCAAATACGTATGGCCCTTGTCTTTCTCAAGCCAGGAGAGAGGCACAGAGTTCAGCAGAACATATTTGGTTCACTTAAACAATTGCACCTTTCAATTCTCTAAGTCAAGCTACTGCCCTATTAGCTCCTTTCCTTTCCATTTCATATGGGCCTTGCCACTGCTTAGCTGCATTCAACTTCCAGTGGCCTCTAACTGATTCCACACTGCTTACCTCATGCCAACTGGAGACAGAGTTATAGTGGAGACAGGCTTGGTCGGATGAGGCCATGCTCTAGGGACAGTCCAGGTGCACAGATCATCAAGGTTAAGCCAGAGGTCAGAGGGGACAGTCCAAATACCAAATGCACACATTGCAAGCTGCCACACATTGAAGTCATGGCTGGTGAAGACCAGAAGCACAAGCCACCAAAGCAGAGAAGAGCTGGAAGGCTAGTGGCACTGCCCATGGAGAAGACTGAGGGTGGCACCAAGGTGTAGGCATGGAGTGGGCCCACCCATTCATGATGCACACACCAGGTTTGCTCTTATGCTGCACAACATCTTATCAAACATAGCTTACTGATGAGGTTAACATGCTATAAAATAGAAACATCTGGCTCTTTCCAGAGTGTTAGGATTTATGGCTGCAATGCCAGCGTGGGTAAGAAGAGGTAGGCATGAGATGAGTAAGGGCAGTAGAGGTGGACAAAGGGCTTGAGGTATAGAGTTAAGTGTCATGACAGATGCATATATGTAGGTAGCATAGAACAGTTATAACCTAACAGGCATCATTTCTTTTGCAAAATTCTTAGAGAAGTTAAGGCATGTGTAAAGCATCATTAGTGATATTAGGATATTTGGGGACATGGCCTTCACGTTTTACTGGAATACTAAATGCAGGAGAGGCCCCAGATTTGGATTTGGATTTGATCAAATAATGAGAAAATGGAAAAAAATTCTTAATTTTAGCCATCTCTCAGCGAAACCTTTCATTTAATGAGGAAACTGAGTCCCAATAGCAGTTCTTATGCTATTCTAAGGTAGGGTTTGGCAAATCTTTTCTGTAAAAGACTAGATTGTAAATATTTTAGGCTTAATGGACCATATGGTCTCTGCTACAGCTACTCAACTCTGCTATTGTAGTGCAAAATCAGCCACAGATGGTATATAAATGAATGAATATGGCTGTGTTCCAATAAAACTTTATTTATAAAAACAAGTGCTGGGATAGCTTTAGCCTGCAAACGATAGCGTGCCAGGCCTTTTCCTAAAGCCTAGCAATCTTTAAAAAAATCATCATTTTATACTATAACATTAATAATACAATGTATTATAAACATATTTCAATATATTACAGCGTATATATTACACACTATATTTTAACAATAGAGTAGAATAAGATATAATAAACATTCTAACTACATAAGATTTCAGGAAATTATAGAAAACACTCTTTTTGGTCTATGTATGGCAGGAAGTATCAGTCATTTGAGAGTTAAAAGATGAATCCCAGGTTATTTAGAAGGTAGTTTTTCTATAGATTTGCACAGAAGTATGGAATTTGACCTAAGGCTTGAATTTCTGAATGTGGAATCATGAGGCATGACCATCAACTCAAAGGAAGCTAGGAGCAGTCAGCTTGACAACTTGGGGCTGGAGGTCATATCTGGAAAAGCACAGGTAAAATTCAAGCCCTTATTACAATCAAAGGGTAAACTACCTTTCCAACAATGTGTCTTCCCCTTACAGGCTGAGAAGAATTCATGGCTATTTCTTACAAAGGGTAGGAATCTCTAGAAATAGAAAGTTCTTTAGGGCTAGTTTTGGTGAAGTATTACCTTGGGAAATAGGTGTGTTTCTTGATTCTGTATCTTACTTGTTTTCTCCACATTTAGCTACCCCTACTTTAATCTAGTTCCACATGTCATTCACTAAACTGACATCACTATGACAGTAGCTTGGATATGAATATTTTGTAGCTGAAGAACAGAGCCAAACACATTTATGCCAGAGAGTGCTCCATAGCCAAGAGTGGTAAGAATATTGGAGAATGCTCTTCATGTCTTCCTGATCATTTAGCAGTGGCAAAAGGGATCCATGTTTCTCCTCCTTATAGAGATGTCCTAGCAAACACATTGAGATAGGTGAATTTCCCATCAAGTTTTCTCAGCAGAAGAAGGCTTAGATTTAGGGTAAAAATCCTGTCTTTACCCTAGAAAATAAAAATATTTTGGACTGAAAATGCAGGCTCCATACCCCACTATACAACTAACTGGTTATGGGACATCTTAGATATGAAAAAAGAGCCCCAAGTTTTCCTAGTATTAAATGAGATAAGACATGCACAACACTTAATCTGGATCCTGAAATCTTATGGGTAATAAATAAATGACAGTTAAAGATAATTATGTTACAACTTTCATTGATATTATTTGGTTTAAAAGTTTTGCTCTTTTCAGTTTCCTGATCTTTATATTTTAGTTTAAGACAGCTCCTTCAGATTTATCACCCGCAGTCCTACTCTGAGATAAATTCTTATAGAATGATGTCTCTCTATGTTATTTCTTTAAATCTGTGATTCCCATCTGCCTTTTTTCCTTTTGGAGTCTTTATTGCACAGACATCTCAATATCACAAATTTTTTTTCGCATCTGAGAGTCCCAAGTTTCCTAGTACAGCTTGTCACGTGAAACTTCCCAATATGTTGATGTGCAACCAACATATTAAACTTCAAATTTTCAAACATAAGAATCAACACAAAACAAGCCCTGTATCTATATGTAAACCATGTATGTTGCATATACGAAGTGTTATGTGTGATTTGAGCGCTTTCCAAGGGTGCCGTTGTCTATGAGATTTAAATCAGAGGTTGAAACCCATCTTCAATTACAAGGCAAATTCATTGTATTATTAAATGACTACTTTGCAGCAGAACCCAAACAATGAACTGTGGAGGATGCAAATCTATCATTCCCCAAAATGCCCTCAAGAATTAATAATATGGCAGAAGTGAAAAACCATTGCATTTCTTGAATTCTTTCGGTTTCCAGAGGCAGAGAGCTGCCTGCGGTTGTTTCAAGTCATGTGGAGTTGACTCTTTAAGATAGGGTTTCTCAATCTCACCACTGTTGACATTTGGGATGGGCAGATCTTTGTCATGGGGGTCCACTCTGTTCATTGTAGGTTCTTTAGCATCATCCCTGGTCTCTACCCACTAGATGCTATTAGTATGCCTCCATCTCCAGTTATGGTAGCCAAAACTGTCTCCACACATGGCCAAACATACCCTTGGAACAAAATCACCCCTGGCTGAGAACTATTGCTCTAAGGTTACAAATGGGGATGTCTGAATCAGGCATCTTGGTATGGCTGGGTCTCAAAAACCCTAGGGAACAGTTAATGGCCAGGCCTCAGGAAGGGCAGGGACCATGGGTTCCTGTCTTACAAGGGCTTTGTGAAATCAGGTATTGCTGGCTGCAGTAGCAAGAGACTCCTAATCCTCACTGCAGGACTGCCTCTAAAATCTGCTCACGTCTGTGTCTGCCTGGTTTTCACTCACCTCCTGGTTGGCTTTACTCACCACTCTATCATTTCTCCTCATTCATGGCTTTGACTATCACATGCTTCTACTTTTACCTCTGCTCCTGATTCTCTGTTGGTCATCCAATTTGCCACTCAAAGAGGAATCCTATGAGTCTGTCTCTTTCCATTTGGGTTTTTGCACCTAGTTCCTCAGAGGTCCTGAGCAAGCAGCAAGTCTTGGCTACCCTGCTGGTTTCACTGGGCAGGATGGGGTAGGGTAACATGACATGGCTCCCTGAAGTTTCTCTGCTTAGGTGGGGTTACTGGCATGTTAGCACCATACTTAATGCCTCTTGCAGTGATGGACATTAACAAGGGAACAAGTAAATGAAGATAGGGAAATTCCATTACCAAGTGTAGTCTGCTATGTGCTTTGTAAATATCATGAATTCTAAGAAATGACTAAAGAAGAACAACAGTCAAATTGTCCGCTAATTTCTTTCCACTGCAATCCTTGTTCCCTTCCACACTTCACCCCTCTCCCCAATCATAATTACTTGCAGCCTCATCTTTATGTAGAAATCATTACTTATATATCTATAGTATGGAATTTTCGTCACTCTATTACATTTAGGAGAAATACACTCCACCTTGTTATGAGATAGTAAAAAATTTTCAGGCATGTTTTCTATAACCTTACAACTAATATATACAAAATACCTGACACATAGTAGGTCATCAATAAATGATACATGTCTCTCTCTGTCCATTTCTCAATCTCCAGAACTTGGCAAACAGGGAATAATGACAGCTAACATTTAATGAATATTTATCATATGTTGTGGACTGGTTGAAGGGCCTTATATTTATTAACTTCCTGGGTCCTCATAACAGCTTCATACTAAATACCATTTTTGGCTCAATTTAGATGACAGAACTGAGGGACAGAATGGTTAAGCAACTTGCTCAGTATCATAGAACTAGGAAGTGGCAGAGTCAGGATTTGAACTTGGGCTGAATGGCTCTGAAGCTGTTCTTAATAGCCTGTCTACTACTTTCATCAATGGCAGAAAGCTGTATGGATTTGCAGAGAGCATATGCTCTTGCTGTCTTTTGAAATGTTCATTCTCAATCGTCCTAGCTCTATCTCCTCTGCCTATTCAGTAGGATTGAGCCTGCTGCTGGGTCATGCATTCAGTTGAGCCACGCCACCCATCACACATATCTGGTTGTGCTGGGTGCTGCTCTATAGGAGAAGGGCTGATGGGGCACCAGCCATTATGTTGTGCAAACAGCTCCCTTGCGGCTTTGGGAGCAGCAGCAGCAATCACAGCTTCTCTTTCTCCATCTGGGCACTTGACATAAAGCCACCAAAATTCAGTTTGGAGGAAGTAACTGCCTTCAAGTTCCTGAGAAGCAGAAAGTGGCTTATCCACAGTAGCCAGGGAGCCAGAGGGCCTGGATGAAAGCTGTGGTTGGGGGAAGAACACCTTGAATGCTAAAGCAACCAGCCAGCCACAGAAATCCTTTGATGTTATCCTCGCCTGTGTCTGGATTCTCTCCTGGAAGATGCCTTTAGTCCTGTTGCATGAGGATTTGCTGAGGCCCTGCTTTGCAGACTGCTGCACTCTGTACTTACACCCCACCTCTGGCTCACAGCCCTCTCCAGGTAGGGGCCAGTCCCCTCTCTGGCCTCTTCCTGACTCCTAAGCTCCACACCTGCCCTGCTGGACTGTGGTCCCTGTTCCCACTGACATTTCCTTGTCCATAAACACCTTTTGCCCTGACTCCCTCTGTTCCCCTGTGTGACTCCTTATGACCATCTAATCTCAGTTGGGAAGTCATCCCTTCCCGAAAGCCCTGTCACTCTGTACCTGGGCTTAGAGCCCTGGCTATGTCTTGAATATCCTGAACCTTCCCAGTGGAGGAACCCAGAAATTAATTTTCCACGTGTGGAACTGTAAACCCCAGGAGTCTGTAAGCTACTCGAGGGCAGGGACTCTGTCCACCTTACCATGGCAGCCTCAGAGTTTGGCAGCATGCCCTGGCCACAGTTAGTGCCTCTGAATTCAATGAATAAAGGAAGGTCCTTAGAATGGCAAATAGTCACTTGTATTTGGCTGTCTAGGACAGCAGCCACATGGCACCATGGGTGATCTCTTCTAAACATAAATAGAGCCATGTCACACTCCTACATAGAATGTGAGTGGCATTTTCGGACACCTTAGCATGGCCCACCAGACCCTGTGTGATCAGTCCCCTGTCGACCTCTCTGTCTTCATCTGTCCCCTTATTGCACTTGAGCCACACTGGCTTTCTTTGTTTTTCTGCCTCTGGGCCTCTCTGTTTATCCATTCCTCTTTCCTCTTCCTAGAATGGTCTTCCATCTAATCTCAGCAAGGCTGGCTCCTCCAGTTGAATATGTCTCCCTGTGGAGCCTTCTCAGATTGTCCCTGCTCAGTTGGCTCTGCCCCACCCTCTGCTACCCTAACTAAGAACTTTCTATCACTTGGAAGCGTTTAATTTTTTTTCCCAGAACTTATCAGAAGTAATCTCATTTATGTATTCTTTCTTTTTATTTTCCTGTCATAGTTTATTTTTTCCACTAGGATGTGATTTCCCTGAGGGCAGGGACTTCTTGGCCTTGGTCATTGCACAGGTCTGAGGCTGGAACAGTATCTGTCATATAGCATATGCTCAGTACATATTTATCAAATGAGTAGATCACCATGAACTAAGTATTTGTTGTTCTAATTATGATGTTTGGATGGATATTTTCTTGCTGTCTTAGAAATCTTTATGATTCAGCTTATTTGAAGCAGGTTGCATAGGCAAAAGCACTTAGTGACATGCTTGCTATGTTGTTGGTGCTAAGTCTCTCTTCCAGTTCCCTGACAGCATAAGGGTAAGGAGGTATGGCCTCTGACCTTGGAAAGAAACATCCATCAAGTAGGCATTGGATTTTGATCCCAGGAGCCCAACCTCATAGGGTTATTCCAACCTCTAAACACCTGTCAGAGTGCCTGGCATATCATAGGGACTCAATAAATGTTAGCTGTTATTGTTATTGTTACTGTTATTGTCATTATCATGCTATCCTGTTAAGTAATATGTATCTTCCCGAAACATTCCTCCAAGGTAGGGGTGGTGTCTTGCCCTAGTAAATAACACAATAGCATGATAAATGCTCACCAAAAATGAAAAAAAGAATAGAAGGTAGGAAGTGAAGGCCAATGTGTGGTACACCTTTGAACACTCAACTGAAGTCTCTGTTACGGACTCAGTGGAAGCCATGTCCAGATGTTACAGAGTTACTCATAGGAAGTTGGGAAGTTATGTATTAACTTTTATCCTTATTTTAAAGCTGAGGATATTTTTCAAATATCTAAATGTTGTTAGTGCTGTCTCTCCTGATTTAGTAATGTGGTCTCTGGAGATCCACCACTCAGCGAGAGACTGTTTACCTCACATCTACTGCTTGAGAAGGCTCTACTGCTTTCTAGTACTATCCATTACTGCTGCCTACTACGTTCATCAATGGCAGAAAGCTCTTTGGATTTGCAGAGAGCATACACTCTTGCTCTCTTTTGAAATGTTCATTCTCAATAGTCCTAACACTATCTTCTCTGCCTCTTCAGCAGGATTGAGCCTGATGCTGGGTCATCCATTCAGCTGAGCCATGCCTCCCATCACACATACCTGGTTGTGCTGGGTGCTGCTTGTCCACATCCCCCAGGTCTCCTCTCAGCTGAGTACTGAGGTGTCAGGTTTAAGGGTCACACACAGGTCAGGTGGAGTGCAGGGCTCCAAGTAGCCATCATACTGCAGCCCACACTGCTTCTCAGAGTAGAGACACCACTGCTTGCAAACCTTGGCTGGATTTCTGTGCAAATATATAGCTTCTGCACTCTAAGAGGCTCTTCCCTGTCCCAGTGCCATGCTAGTAAACATAAGTGAGTCTTTTATATTCACAAGTACCACCCTAAGGCACTGTCCTTAAGGTTAGTCCACTTGTATTTTGGCACCCACTCTATAGTATAGCTGTTTTTAGACTCGTTGTATTGTGGATAAATTCAATTTAGTATATTATATATTAAGAGTTTCTATTATGTTCCAGGGAGCATGCAAAACATTCACTTATGTTGGGATTAAAATACAATAATTCAGCAGGAACCAATGAGGACCTACTCTAAACCAGGTATTCCTCTAGGTATAGGGATAAGTAGATGCAGATAAATCACTTGCCTTTAAGAGGCCATGCTCCAAGGAAATCACAGCCTTGTGAAGAAGGAAAGAGGCAATGAAGAGTGTGTCAGTAAGACGGTAACTCCATGGCTGTGTTGACATTTTTTAAAAGTATATTTATTAATCTGGATTTAGGCTTGTGTTAGTTTAAACAAGAATCTACTCAAACCCTTAAAAAAACTGTTTTTACACTAACCTAGTTGTGGCTTCTGAAATTCCTCTGGAGGAACTAATGTCTCTAAAGCACCTTGCACAGTTCCTGGCTCATAACTCACATTTAATAAATACTACTTTTACTATAGTCCTCTCTGGGCTCCCAGGGCTGTGTTATGGCTTTGGTTGATCCATGGGAATAGAGGGGGAAATGGAGGTGGGGCAGTGCCAAATTCTAAGCAAGGGCCTCTGAAATCAAAGAATCGTGTGATTTTGGCTTTGATAGCTTTGCCCTCTACGGAACTTTATCTCTTCCAGGCTGATATTTTCCAAAAACAGCAAGCATGCCCCATTTTCAAGGAAGAGCTTATAAAAGCTCTTCTCTCACTAATGACTTTCTCAGATGGGCAATGCTGTATTCTGTGGGCATGAAAGGCAAAGAAAACTAAACAGTGAGTGGGACCTATATCTGGTTCCTTATATTTTCGAATGTTTTGATTTCCACCATCTCAGCCATTGGGGAAATCCTATCCTCGGATTAGGAACCATGCTCATGGAGAATTTAGAGGAGGAAAATCTTTACATTGAAGGTAAGGTAAGTGAAATCTTTGCAATGAGTTTCTTTTCTTTTTGGTGGGGGGAACAGGGGAAAGTGCTTGCGGGGACAATTTTCATCATGAATGATGGAGACAGCATTAGCTCAGCTTCTGACTCTCTTGGCTTTTGCAAAAGACTAAATTAAAAGAACCACCTTGAGCAGCTTTTGAAACAATGACAATCTGGAAGATCACAGTATTTCATAATTGGCAAACTTTTTTTAAATACAAAAGATAAAAGCAGAAACTACAGTGTTTACAAATAATTCGCAAATGAGTTATTAGGTGAAATTCGTTTCAATTCAAGGCAGTAATTTAAATTCTAGGCAAATTCCCTCACACATTAAGATTTCATTAAATATTCAATTACAATATCTAGTTTTCTCCCACCACCCTACAGGTTTGATTAGGCCAGGGTTTTTCACCCTAAGCAGTAGTGTCATTTAGAATTGGATGATGCTTTGTGGTGGGGGCCATCCTTCGCATTTATAGGATGTTTAGCAGAGTCCCTGGCCTCTGCCCACTAGATACCAGTGGCAACTCCCCTCACCCTCGTTGTGATAACCAAAAATGTCTCCAAATATTGTCAAATGTTCCAGGAGAATGGGTGGGTGGGCAAAGTTAGCCAAGATTAAGGATCACTATATGTTTGATTTAGCATCATTCAAAATGTTCAAGTCAAAGCATTTTTTCCCATTCTCTTAGGAGGCATAGATGAGTAAAACCCTTATTTAGTTTACTGTAAAATGTATCACATGTTAATCAACTCCCAGTATTAAAATCCAAGTTATTACAGTCTCTAGAATGTGTCTCCAAAATGAGAGACTTTACTTTTTTGGGGGAGCATATTTTAAATAAACAGTTGCTAATTGAAGGAGGAGTTTGGTATCACAATGAGCAATTGCTCTGGACTGATGACAACTGCTATGTGTTCTGTACCCATTGATTATTAGAAGCAGCCAGTTTATTGAGGCTTGAAAAGTAAAACCTACTTCATGCCAAAGATGATGCTGTGGATTTGGTCTTGCCCCAGGTCTCTCCCTGTTCTTTATGTTCATGGCTGACCTAATAATGACCACTAATATTAGGGAAGGACTCATTCTGCACCAGGCACTGTGCTGAGAGCATTAACAGAATCATCTCATGGCATCCTGGATACAACTTTATGACGTAACTGTTATTAATCTCGTTTTACAAGGATGGATCTATGTCTTAAAGGGAGACACCACTTGCCTAAGGTCATTTAGGCAGTAAGTGGGTGAGCAGAGATTCAAATCCAGGTCTGGCTCTTACCTCCTCTCAATTAGTACACTTAATTACCAGTCACCCTTACAATGCACACTAGTTGCCCTTCAGTACAAGCAGATTAATTCAGTTCTACAGTATATGTTTATTGCATATGCTGAAATTTCCATCAGTGTGCTCTTTAAAAAAATGGCATTGCATTGAGTCCTGAAAAAAATGATCTTCCCAGTGTCATGGGCATTTTCTCTCTTTGCTCTGTCCAGGAGCAAAACTGTTAGCTTGTCACACAATGGAGCCTTTGCTGTCAGACTAAACAATGACATCTATTAATCACATGAAGAGCGGGACCAAGAGAAAAGTTCTTTTTCCTGTGAATTGAGTTTTAAGGATTTCATGGTTTGTATCACAGAGGTGCAAGGTTTCATGCTTCAGCTTAACAGGGCTGTGTCCCCTGGGTTTCGACAGCTTACAGAACTGCGGGTAAATAGCTAGGGATCTTGCGTCTTTAATCACTGGAACAGAAGCAGAGAGGGAGGGGAGAAGGAAGGAGGCAGTGGGTGAGTGTGTGAAACTGACGTAGATAGATGGAGTCCTGGGAGGCAGAACTGCACACTCTACACCTCAGATGGGCTCCTGTGGTTATGCAGGCCCAGAGTTTATCAATCGGCCGAGCTGTGCATGGTCTGGCCTGGTCTTTATCAGAAGGAGCCCTGCAGATTAACCTCCCAGCTTCCTAATCAGGGTCATGTTAGTACATCATTTGTTACCTCTTAGGGTAGGCCAGGGTGTGGCTGTCAAAGAGCCTTGCAAGAAAAAGGGGTGGGGAAGATGGAATGCTCCTTTCACCCCAGCCTGCAAAGCATTACTCTTCTTTTCATTCCAGGAAATAGTAATAATAATAATAATAATAATAATAAAATAAACTGGATACTTCTAAAATCTGCAATTGCAGGCCCATTGGGACTGTGTGAGTAGAGAAATATTCCACCCATTTAAATGTGGCAGAACCATTAAGGAGGTTGACAGAGTTTAGGAGCCTTCCTTAAGGCCTTGAGACCGGCCCAGACTCCCAATTTTCTCCATCTTATTATTAAAACGAGTCGTAATCATAATGCATCCCTCCGAGCTCCTTTCTCTTTCTCCCCCTCTCTAACAACCTGAATCTAGCACACTTCCCTTCCCCTTTAACCCTCACGTGCTAAAAATAATATCCTTTTGGAACCAGCCAAAAAGTGTCAGTTGGAGGAGTTTAATTAGCAGGACTGGGCAGGAGATAGTTCTAGCCTTCCCAATTTGCTACATTCTCTCCAGGGAGCCAGCGCCAAGCACAACTGGAAAATCCCGGTTCATGTGCACCAGAGATGGGAGTTTCTGACTTGGAGGGAGAGTCGGCCTGGAAACCAAGCTGTATTTTATCTCTGTAATACCAGGTGGGGGCACTGGGGAAGCAGCGACTTGTGCATCCACATGGAAGATGTAGGGTTTTAGAGCCTAGATCCCTGGATTACGTTTTCAGGGCTTACTTCCTGCCCTCCTATTTGCTGGCCCTGTGACCTTGGGTAAGCTACTTAACCTCTTCATGCCTTGCCTTACTCATCTGTGAAATGGGGATAATCATAGCCCTTATCTCATACATTTGTCGTGAGAATAAATGAGTAGCATCAAGCACTTAGAAACCTGTCTGACACAAAGCAAGTCCTCGTTTTTGTTTGCTCATTTTTATTTTGATGAGTCTAGACCTACCCACCTGGCAAAACTTTAGTTGGGTCATCTTTTTACTGCTACCACTTAGATTAAAAGAGTGTGGTGAAAAGAGAAAGGTTTAAATCAAACAATACTTGAAATTCATGTAGAAAATAGGATTTTGCCTAATTTGCCTAATTCTGTTAATTTTAAAATGGAATTCAGTGCATCTGCAGGACTTCGGATGATTAAACATGGAAGGCACTTAGAAGTCCAGTCTCCATCTCAAATCATTCCTCTACATAGCAGCATCTCTGGCAGCAAGAACTGGATCATCATGAGATAATTATGATGGTAACACTAAGTCCTTGTAGAGTACTTTATAATTTATATATTTTTAAACAATGTCCGTGGCCTAACCCTCGGGGACCTTCTCATGAGATGTACTAGGACCTCTCGACTACAGAAAGAGACTCAAAGGTCTATTAGTGATTGTCAGAGGTGGGGTTACGGGAACAGACTTGATGTAGGGCTGGACTCCAAAGGGTGACAGGAGACAACCCCAATCATCACATCCATTTCAGGGTAATGAACATCAGTGGGGTCTAACTTTGTTGTTCAGAGCATCCAGCCGAATCGTGAGTGACATATTTGAGTAGAGTCTGGGTTCATAGGTAAGATGGTGCTGGTATCTAGCTCAAGGAAGGCTAAATAGATTGAAGTGAGAATAAAGATGGCAGTTCACGTGCAATGAGGCTCAAGGTCTCATTCATATAAGGACTGCTTGGAAGAGGCAGATGGGAGTGAGAGTCCTGTCCAGAGAGAATAAATTCAAGGTCAGGCTCCAACCTCAGCTGGTTAGAAAGACTGTGATAATTCATGTCAGTGGATATCTGTGGTACAGTCTAGGGATAATCTGAGATCCCACGGGCACAGGGACATCTGGGGCCCTAATTGAGAAACGTCAGCCCAAGTCTGAGCGGTAAGTGAGTCCAGAATTCACCTGTGAGTGGAGAATTTACTGGCAGGTCTTGTAGCGAGAGAACTATAGTCTCATCAGTATCACCATGCCCTCCCAAAGCAGGAGGCAGAGTAGTAGCTATTGGCTGCATTGTACACACTTAGATAAGAACATTATCTAGATACTTAGTACTAGTAAACTGGGATTTAAAACTCTAGCTCCAAAATCCCATGTTGTTGTTTTTTATTCATAACATTGGATGGTGCACAACAAGGATTTCATTCCATTTCTTTTTTTTTTTTTTTGAAGACTCAGCTCTTTATTAAGTCTAGCCTTAATTTGAACCTAGACCTCTCTTTGCATAACTTCTTGGGCGAACTCATTTTTTTCTGCAGCTAAACATTGAATCTTTATCCACACACACACACACCTTTATATCTTTTTCTCCATTTTTCCCTCTTAAGTTTTCTTCCTTTTTTCTTTACCCCAAAACTTGGTGGCTTAAAAATACTCCATGTATTATTGCTCTTGAGTCTAGGGATTAGTGGGACAGTTCTGATTTTGTAGGCCAGTCTCCATTGGTTGATACAGCTGGCTTTGCTTATGTGTCAGAGGTCAGCCAGAAGGTTGGTAGGAGGCTGACTAGTCTAGGATGGTCTAGGCTTGGGCGTCTCTCTGTGGTTGTGCATCCCCCATTAGGCTATCCTTGGTCATAATCATTCAACACTGACAGCAGAAGTTCACAGGATCTCTTCTGGCCTAGATGAGTAAATAGCACCAATGCCACTACGCCATTATTGCCTCTGCTGCATTCCATTGAGGAAAGGACATCACAAGGGGGTTGGCAAATACATCCTATCTCTTGATGGGAGGAGGTGCAAGGGGCATGGATACATGGAGAATAATAATTGCAGCTATCTTTTTCAAATAACTTACCACTCCTTTCTTCTCCTCTCTTAATAATTCTTAAATTATTCCAACAAAGTGAAAGTATTGCATTAAACACTGGTGTTTAACTAGTGTTTAATCAATGCTAGAAAGAAAGTATGTGGGCTATGGGCCTTGTTCTCCTGCATTCTAGTTGGGGAAGAGAAAAATAAATGAAATGATCCCACAAATAGATGTGAATTTACACGTATGCATAATGCTACCAAGAAAAGGGATAGAGTGCTGTGAGAATTTAGACGAGGGAAACTGACCTAGTCTTAGGAGGTGGGAAGCTCAGTGGAGAGTTCCCTTGAGAAGTGATATTGAGGTGAGACCTTCAAGAGTGGAAGACAGCTAGAAAAAGGGAGGAGTGGGGAGTTCTTTGCAAGAGAACAGCATGAGCAAATGCACAGGGTCAAGTTCTAGATGGCCAGTGTGGCTGAAGTACAGAAAGCCAGAAAGAATATGATTCTAGAAGAAGCTAGAGAGGTCAGCTGTGAACAAATCTTGGAGGCCGTGATGAGAGATTTGCACATTATGTTAAAAACAATGGGAAATCATTGAATGGTTTTAAGTACGATGGGGGGTGGGAAGGGGATGGTGTGACCATCAAGTATTATGCCTATATAGCCAGACAGAAATGGATGGAAAAGGAACAAATCTGAGATTGAACAGTTTTGGGAGAAAGAAGATATGTTTGTCAATTTGTAAAATCTTATGGGCACCTAACAATGGACTGGAGATTGCATATGCTAGGAATGTGAATTGGTGACTAAGAAGAAATACTCTGAATGTCTCTCTCAACCTTACATTATCATTTTGTGCTAAAAATACATCGTTACCTTTGGTTTGCTAATGTTTTGTTAAAAAATTTGAAGTGAATGATTAAGAGCAGAGGATCCCAAGCAAGACTGTTTGGTTCACTTTTGAGTGTGTACACAGGGTACTATCTGTGTGACTTAGGGGAGATTAGTCACCACGTTTCTGCCACGGTTTCCTCTTCTGTAACATGAGGACAACCATGTTACCTAAATCATAGATTTATTATGAGGAACATGTAAATGTATAAATCACTTCTGAAAGTGTCTGGAGCTAAATCACTTTAAGTTATTATTACTCCTACTGTCATTATTTTAATATGTTTTCTTGTGTTTTTCTTGTCAATTTTTCGTTTTGAAGTTATCTGTCTTATAAAAAGATTTTAGGAAGTGTTTCCTCATTTTTTAACAAATTTGTTTCTATGACTAGAACAGATCATATAATCTATAGATTCGTTATTATTTAAAGGAGACTCATCTCTAAAATCAACTGAAATTCATATTTCTTGTAATTATATTGAAAATTTAAGTTGTTCAGTGTAATTTACACTTTTCTAGCAGCTACGTTATACAAAGTTCAAAGAAACAAGTTAATTTAACTTTAATATTTTATTTTACCCAGTATGTCCTAAATATTGCCATTTTGACATTTTAATATGTAATCACTATAAAAAATAAATGAGATAGTTTTACATTCTTTTTCTTATGAAGAAAGTAAAATAAAATAAGTTGTTCATTTTATATAACTTTTCAAGATTATTGAATTCAAGTTATTCAAAATATTCTTTTTAAGTTTCTGCGATGTATGTATGTCTTTTTGTTTTTTAACATGTTTATTAGTGTCTTAATTTTGTTTGTTTCATCAGTTTTGATAGACCTTTTTCTGTTTTATTGATCATTTAGAGATTTAGCCTTTAATTCTGTTCATCTTGTTTTATTTTTCTATTTCTTTAACTTCTCTGATTTTCATTATTCCAACTTTGTATTTTCTTTAGTTTCAACGTACTCTTATAATTTATTGCACTGAACATTTAGCTCATGACTTTTCCACCTATCTTTCTTTCTTTTCTTTTCTTTCTTTCTTTTTTTTTTTTTTTTTTTTTTTCTCTGAGACAGTGGCTTGCTCTGTCACCCAGGCTGGAGTTCAGTGGCACGATCTCAGCTCACTGCAACCTGCAACCTCTGCCTCCCAGGTTCAAGCCATTCTCCTGCTTCAGCCCCTGAGTAGCTGGGATTATAGGCATGTACCACCACGCCTGGCTAATTTTGTGTTTTTAGTGGAGATGGGGCTTTACCATGTTGACTAGACTGGTCTTGAATTCCTGACCTCAGGCGATCTGCCCACCTTGGCCTCCCAAAGCGTGGGATCACAGGCCTATCTTTCTAATATTTGTCTTCAAAGCTCTTCACTTCCCTCCAACACTGCTCTAGCTACTTTGTATAGATTTCATCTGTGCTACCTTCATTGTCATTTAAATTCAACTATTTCACAATTTCCATTCTGGTTTCTTTTTTTGATACTTTTATTTAAACCTATAAAAATTATGTGAATTGTTTTCAGTTCTTGAACATTTATTTCTTATTTAATTACACTGTTATCAGAGAAGGTGATTTATGGTACTGGTTATTTTGGTATTTGTTGGAAAATCTTTTATAAATGTCCCATGTGGTTTTGAAAATACTTTTTATTCTCCATTTTCCACCTTATATGTTTTCTTTTCAGCTGCATCTACCCTCCTCTTTAATCCACTTATTCATTTTTTAATGTCTAGTGAACTATTTATTATTTGTTTCTAGAAATTCTAATTGGTTCCCTTTTGAATTCACCTATTCTTTTCAATAGGGTCTGTTATCTTAAAATTATATCCAGTGCTCTTATTCATCTTTGGTATTTGAATATTTCCATATTATTCCATTACTTCTAGTTCTTGGGTTGTTAATTTTTCTTTTTGTTGGGTCATCTGGCCCTTTGGATCTCATCAATCTTTTCCTTATTGCTTTCTTCTTTTTCATACCTTGTTCATCTTCAGAAGGAATTAATTATTCCGTCTTGCCTTATAAAAAGTTGCCACCACATGGTTTCATGATTGTTTATGATGAGAGAGTTCCCAGTGGAAACTCAGGGATTTCAATATTCCACACTAGCTTTTGGTTAGTTTCTGAGTTTATTGGTAATGTACTATTCAGCGAATTCAAATGTCTATCAGTGGTGTGGGTCTGGAGTTTTTCTTTTGTGCCAGTAATTTTCCTTCCCGTCATCCAAAACCTAAGACCTAATACTCACTATTTTTCTGAGATGACGGACAGAGATTTTCTAATCCATTTCCATTTCAGCTGCTTCTCCCTGAATGGACTTTAGACTCTCAGCACCCAGCTCTATAATCCATGCCTCCTCTAACACCTGAGAGCTGTCACTGAATCAGTTTCAAATTATTGCTCTGGCATTGATTTCATTTTTCCTTTCTCACACATGGAGATTTATCTTGTCTTATTTTGATTTATTTAATATTTGCCATTTTATCCAGAATTTCTATGTGCTTAAAGTACGAAGTGGGGCAAAGTTCATCAGTTCAGTTCTCATGTTGCAAAAAGTTAGCTTCGGAAGTTTCTACAGCAACATTTAATGCATGAATATAAAAGCACATTGTCAGCATCGTTCTAAAGTAAATAAGGTATGACAAAGTTGTTGGACCCAGCTTGTTAAAGTTTTAGGAGTATCATCAGACAAAAGTTAAACAGAACCATTATTTAAAACTAAATTATAGAAACTTGTAATGAAATACATTATTTTTAAAAAACAGAAGTAATAAATGCTTGACTCATTACTTCCTAATTATTTTACTACATTTTATGATTATACATGATTTTGCAGTTACTTATGTCTATTATGTCTATACAGTGGAGATACTGCAAAATATTACGTGATAGTGTGCTCCCAAGCATCTCTTTCCGTTTACTTTCAGTGGCACCATGTTGATAGCTTGGAATCAGCCATGATGAAATCATTTGTCTCAGGAAAACTGCCAGTGCTAAAATCTGGTCTTTTTGTTCCTTCAGAGAGCTAGTTGTTAAACATTTACTGACACATTTCCAGACCAAAGAATATCACAATTAATGTATAAAAGCAACATATATACATTTCAAATACAAAATAACTCAAAAAATAGAACATCCATTGGTCTCCTTTGGAAAATATCAATGACAAAATCAAGGCAATCATGAGACAAATATGAATTGAAAACAAAGGGTACTGAATTCAAAATAAATACAAGGTGATTAGTAATGAGTCAACTTAAACCTGAACTAAAGCAAAATAATCTTAAAAATTAGCGTTATGGCACACAATTTAATGCTATAAACTTTGGCATTATTCAAAGAATAATATATTTAACAAAAATAGAGGGTTGGAGAAATGAGATGACAAGAAGGTTAGTAGTGAGAATTTTATCATCTTTTAAAGCAAAAAGTACAGTGATATTGCTAAGTGAAAATATGGGTTAAAAATTATTGCCTCACAGAAAATTTAGGGAAACCTCATACTTAATGGTAACTTGCGAAAATCTTTCTATGATTCTAAGATTGAGATATTGACAATGAGGCCTGCTTTCCCACTTTTATTTAACATTGATAATGTAGGCCTTACCCTGTGTGGCAATGTGAGATAAGAATTGAAAAGGAAGAATTAAAACTGTCTATATTTGTAGACAACATGAATATTTGTGTGCTGCTGGTTTCTTTAATTTCTAGGACTTTTCAGTGGACAGAACGATCGTACACTAATGTTAAATATATTATATATAATTATGAAATTAATTTTAATTTTTATAAATGTCACAAACTTTTTTAAAGTTATGAGTTCATTTTGATTATTGTAATTCACCTTTCTAGGTTACTTCTATATGTCATTTATTTCACACAAGTAATCCTGGTTCTCAAGAAGTGAGGGGATGATAGAATTGGAATATTGCATAATTACTGCTTGGCTTTATATCACATGATACACACAATAGTCTCAGAATAACAATATCCATATTACTCCACCCATATGATAACTGCAATCATTAAATAGTTTTTTGAGCTTATTCCCTCATTCTTTCCTCATTTCTGAAAATTGTGGTACTTTGTATTGTCAGTGCTTATAATGATTGTATATTATGCATTCTTCAACTATTCTTAAAATTTAGGTATAAGTGGAATGATACATTTAATGCTTACCATCAATTCTTATTTTCATATCTTAAATAAAATAATTTTACTTTACTGAAGATTGTTTTCTAGTAGATTTCTCAGCAAGAGTGCATGGAAACATTACTTGACTTCTTGAAAGTGAGGGAAGTTTGTCTGTAGCCTTTACAAATGAAAGTTAGTTTGTTTGGATGCACACAAACTCTTTGGCTCATTTATTCCCCTTCAGTATTTTAAATATGTTATTCTATATCTTTATTTCTGGCATAAAACATTGCCATTGAGAAGTCTGATAGAAGTCTAATAGTCTTGTTTTGTAAGTCTTTTGTCTTTCTGCCTAGATGTCAGAATGATTGTTTATTTTTTTCAAGCCCAGTAATTTAACTAGAATTAGCTTTTTTAAAAATATATTTTTATTTTAGATTTAGGGGGTACATGTGCTTATATGTTACATTGGTATTACATACTTAATGGTGCGGGTTGGGCTTCTAGTGTACCCATGGCCCAAATATGGGACATTGCACCCAACAGGCAATTTTTCAACCCTCCCTGCCTCCTCCTTTCTTCCCTTTCAAGTCAACAGTCATTTTTTTCCTATCTTTATGTCCACATGTACCCTTTATTTAGCTCCCACTTATATATGAGAACACATAATACTGATTTTCTGTTTTTATGTTGGTTCACTTAGGATAATGGCCTCCAGATCCATCCATGTTGCTGCAAAGGCATTATTTCATTCTATTTTGTAGCTGCATAGCATTCCATGGTGTGTACATATCACAATTTCTTCATCTAATCAACTGTTGGTGAATACTTAGGTCAGTTCTATGACTCTGCTATTGTAAATAGGGCTGCAGTCAACATAGGACTACAGGTGTACTTTTTATGTAATTTCTTTTTCTCTGGGTAGAGACTCAGCAGCAGGATTGCTGAGAAGAAAGGTAGTTCTATTTTTAGTTCTTTGTGATATTTCCATACTGCTTTCCATAGAGGTTGAGCAAGTTTACATTCCTACTGATAGTATATGTGTGTTCCCTTTTCTCCACACCCATGGCAACATATGTTGTTTTTTGACTTTTTAATAAAAGCCATTCTGACTGGTGTAAGATGGTATCTCAGTGTGGCTTTAATTTGCATTTCTCTTATGATTAGTGATGTTGAACATTTTTTCATGTGTTTATTGGCCACTTGTGTTTCTTCTTTTCAGAAATACTGTTCATGTCTCATGCCCAGTTTTTAGTGGGGTTATTTTTTCTTGTTGAGTTGTTTTGAGTCCCTTATAGATTTGGGATGTTAATTCTTTGTTGTAACTATAATTTATTAATATAAATATTTTCTCCCATTCTGTAGATTGTTTGTTCTGTTGGTTACTTCTTTTGCTAAGCAGAAGCTTTTTAGTTTGATGAAGTCCCATTTGATTAAGTCCCAAGTCTATTTTTGTTTCTGTTGCAATTACTTTTGGGGTCTTCCTCATAAATTTTTTGCCTAGGCCAATATTCAGAAGAGTTTTTTCTAGGTTGTCTTCTAGGATTTTTATAGCTTCAGATCTTATATTTAGGTCTTTAATCCATCTTGAGTTAATTTTTGTATATGGTGAGAGATAGGGATCCAGTTTCATTCTTCTGCATATGGCTAGTGAGTTTTCCAAGCATCATGTATTGAATAATGTGTCCTCTCCCCATTGTTTATTTGTGTTGACTTTATTGAAGATTGGTTGGTTCTAGGTATGTGGGTTTATTTCTGGATTCTCTATTCTGTTTCATTGATCAATGTATCTATTTTTGTACCACCATCATGCTGTTTTCGTTACTATAGCCTTGCAGTATAATTTAAAGTCAGGCAATGGGTTAAATTTTTTTTTTCAGGTATGTGCTTTTTCTTTTCAATATGTAATTTAAATTATATATTGTATAATTTAGCATAAAATAAATTGCATATTTTAACATTTAGGAAAGTTTTCCTCAATTATTTTTCATCATATTTGTTATTCCTTTGCTTTGTTTTTCCTCTTCAGAGACTGCTATTATACCTCTATTGAATCTTCTTTGCTTATATTCAATATTTGCTACTTTTTCTTAAATCATTTTATCTTTCAATTTCTTTTTTTGGTTTTTAAAATTATTTTTCACTTTATATTTTTCTTCAGCCATTATCTGTTGTATTTGTTTGCAACTGTATGCCTTCTACTTTAGTTTTCATTTCTGAAGTTTTTTTTCTTTTATTTAGAATTCTTTCCTAAATTGTTACACCTCATTTCTGATATTTTTCCAGTTGTGATATATGTTAGTCTTTCATTTTATGTCATGTTTTTAATATGCTTACCTCATTTAGAAATAGCATGTCTTTGCTGTGGTCCTGTCCTTCTTTTTTTGTTCCTTTTGTACATGTGTTTTCTGTAGGGAGTTATGTTGTTGTCACTTAGGTTTTTTCTTGCTCATTTTTATGTGAAATTAGTGTTTTTTTCCTTGAACTTTTGCAAGAAGCCATGGTTCATGATAGTTTCTCTAATTTCACAAAGCTCATTTCTGTTGTTATGCAATATGTCAGCTTGATTTCTGTTATCCATTTCTTGGCCCTGTCCCTCTCCACCCTTTTATCTTTTATCTGGAGCTAGTGTTTTCTTTATCTCAGTTGTCTCAGATCTGCTCAACAACTCTTCATCACTATAGGCATCTTTCCTCAAGGGGAGTTGGGACAGTTTTGAGAGTTCACAGTGCCCAGAATTCTTCATACCTCTGTACATACTCACGATTGGAGTTAGTACAACTCATTTTTTATAAAATCAGCACACTGTGCTTTCCAGTGAGTCCCTTGGGAACATTTTTGGATTCTCCTATTTTCTGGTTTGTCAGATTTTCTATGTCTCCAGCTGCTACTTCTCACACTGATGTTGATACCACTCAGTTTCTATAGCTCTCTGTGTTTCAGCCAATTCTTGTTTTGGTGAGTTTCATGGGGTTGCCTAAGAATCATTTTATTGTACAGTTGTATGTCCCTTAACCACAGGGACATGTCCTGAGAAATGCATTGATAGGCAATCGTGTCATTGTGCAAATGTTTTAGAATGTACTTACACAAACCTAGCTGGTATAGCCTACTACACATCTAGGCTATCTGGTATAGCCGATTATTTTTAGGCTACAAACCTGTATAGCATGTTACTGTCCTGAATACTGTGGGCAGTTGTTGAAACACAATGGGAAGTATTTGCATATTGAAACATATTTTAACAGAGAAAATATACAGAAAAAATAAAATATTATAATCTTATGGGGCTACGGTCACATACGTAGTTCGTCACTAACCAAAATGTCCTTATCAGGTACATGACTGTATACCCACGAGCTTAAGTTTTTGATATGTAGCTTCTGTGGGATTTGGGTAGATTCAAGAGTTATGGCACCATTACCGCCAACTTCCCAGACTCCACCAGAACATTGTTTTAATTTATATATATATATATAATTCTAGCAATTATAACAATAATTAAATACTATTTATTTTCTAATATTTAATAACATCAATAAAATTTGAAAGGACATTTAAAAAATGTTAACACCATACAATTTCATAGAAGACTTGGAAAGCCACTTTTAATGGCTTTTTCCATGATTTAAAAATATCTATCTTAAAGTAAGAGGCACCACCATAATTGAAAGTGGAACACTAAAATTACTCTCATGCAATCAGTAGCATTACAACTATTTCTGTGTTGATACAGTAGTAGTAATATTAGTACATGTATTAATCTCACCTTTCATGAGCACAGGAGTACGGGTCTAAGATTAAAAGATTAAGTACAAGATTAATCTCAGAACCCACCTAATAGTGGGCCAAGGGCTAAATTTATTCCTTTTCTTCTCTGGTTTGTCTCAGACTAAACAAGTCAGAAAAGAAAGGTAGGGATGTGCTGTTATTTTTATAGCTAACAGAAGTTACAAAATGCCAATATGTATGTTCTGCACATTATCCCAAAAATTCAATAAAAATATTAATTTGTGCCTGATGTGGAGCCTATTTCAGTGTTCGGTTTGGTCTTGGTTCCACAGTTTCAGAAAATAGAGACTTTTTAAAGGATAGTTATTTATTTTTGTTTCAGAAAATAAAATAAATAAAAAGACCATGAGGCTCTAAAACACATTAGTGGAGTTGTATTTTAAATATTAAAGTAATTTCAAATGAATCTTAAGGAAAGTTTTATTAATAGGTTAAAATATGAAACTTCAAATCATTCTAAGGAGTGACAAAAATATGTCAGTTCCATATGAGAACCAATGAAGAAAAAACATTTCTTAATTAATATAGGCAAAAATATTTTGGTCCCGTTTTTCTTGTTTCCCCTCACAGGCAGGCGGTTTGGAATGTTGACATGTCACTCTAAGTGTGCTCTGATCTGGTGTCAGAATGTTTGGCTTTCAGGTTAGAGAAAGAGTTGTCATTTACTGAAGTGTACATGAAGTACTTATTCCCACAATATTTTCCACCCATGTTTCCTTCTGCCAAAATGTGATATCAGAAATAGTTGAAAGAATGGGAAGTGTTCAACCTGAGGAACAGAAAATACAAGGAAAGGAAAAGAGGGCAAGGGATCTGTATTTAATTAACTGAAAGGTTGTCACGGGTGAACAAAAACTTGTTTGACATTATTCCAGAAGGAACAACCACCATAAATAGACAAAAGTTATAAAGACGTGAATTTCACCTCAAAGACTGAGGAAGCTAGCCTCTCTGCTTCACAAGTTTTGCAAGCCCCACCCCTGTTCCCACCCAGAATCCCGTTTCTCTTCCAGGAGAGAACTGTCCCACAAATTCATATTCTCCTTCCCCTGAAGTTTCTCTTCTAGCAATAGAGGTCTTGCCTGCATTAAAGAGATAAACCCACATGGAGTGGATGGTTTAACATCAAACATAGTGTTGAATGCAGTGATGTCACTTTGACAGCAGAATGATTACAATGAGATATGATTACATTGCACTTGGCCCTGTGGTAAGTTAATGGGGGAAAAATGAACAAAGGATAGAGATTCTTTTTGAAAGCAAATGGAAGCCCCTTGGCACTAAGACTAAATCAGACTAAAAGTTATGGTTGCTGATCAATTATATATAACCACAAATAACTTGCCTTCAAGGGTGCCTTCACGGTCAGAGTGGGCATTACCATTGGGGAGACTAAAGTGGAGAGGAGACAGGAGGCAGATACTATTTCAGTTTGTTCCATCCACACCTTTGAAAACACTCAATGCTTGTTTTGTCATTTAATCAGTTTGGCTCTAACTTGTTCTCAGAATTAAAAAAAAAAAAGTACCTACACTGGTAAGGTCTTGGGTGGATCTCTTTCCTGGGTCAAATGTTCTGGCTCCCTAACCCTAGGCATGCTGAAGGGCAGATTCCTCTGACTGGCAGGCTTTCCCTCAGCTGGCATGTCTATGTAGTCGGGGTTGTGGCCAAGGGAGGTGGAGAGCTGAAAGGTTCTGTTGGAATGGGGTCTCAGGTACAAGGTCACTCCAACCCAAAGTGACATTGTTACTCAAAGGTAATGAGGATGCATGAAGCAATGCCTAGGCCTCTGTATTTTTGCACTGAAGGTGCGGGCACATCCTTAGGAAATCTGAGTTCTGTAGCCGGGCTCCAGTACTAAAAAATGTGCCATCAGAGATCTAGGCTCTTTCTCTTCTTCGTTGGTCTTCTATGGATTCTCACCTTTGCTCCAGGGTGATAAACTTTAAAATACAGCTTCAACCTATGCCTACCACTGGTCATTAACCTGTAAGGTCCAGGTGAATATAAATCACCTGATTTTTTTCACCACTGTATATTCTGTCCTTAGCAAAGTACTTAGTGTACAACATTTGTTCAGTTGATATTTGTTAAGAGAAGAAAGAAAGGCAGACAGAGAGAAGTAAAGAAAGGAAGAAGGAGGAAGGGTGGTGTAGAGAGACCAGAGAAATTGTCCATGCACTGACTTAATAATCTTTAAGGCTGCCTCCTTATCACCCTATAAATTCCTCGTATTCATTTGCATTGTGGAAGAGAACAACGTGGGAGGAGACAATAAAGATTAGAACTAAGACTAGTTAGCCTCGCTTGATCAGTATTGCTGGAACAGGGGTATCTTGTATAGTCAGGGGGAGGTATGGAGAGAGATAAAACAATCAAGTTTAATAGCTAAGATTTTCAGTTGAATCCCAGAGCTCAGATTAACTCCCAACGTTCAGGAATTAGAAGACTGTCAGAGGTCAAAGGCATAATGCCAGGTAGGCATGTTGAGCAGAAGAGAACCAAATACAGGCTGGAGTCAAAAAGTCCTGAATTTGAAAGGGACTTCAGCACCTCTGATCTGCATAAATTGTGAGCAGCTCAGTTTTAATGTAAACCACAGTGTCCTCATTGTAAAACAAAGAATACCTACACCATAAAGTATTGTATGATTTTTCTTTCATTCTTTTGTTTGCTTTTCTCTTCTTCCCTTCCATTACCTTTTCCTATCCAGAAACCTCTACTGTTCAGCTTCCACTTTGATATTAGTTCGCTTATCAGACATCTTTGAATCTAAAAATGATCCTGTAAGTGTGTCTGTATTGAGTCCTTGTGAATATTAAAAGTTGACTTCTGCTGACAGTGGACTATAACGTGCAGGTCAACCTCTTATAGAGAACAACTACAACAGCTGAACAGGGCAGTTTTTAAAAAATGAAGCATAGCAAGGCTAACATTCCAGAGAGGAAAGAAACTCAGAGAGGTGTAGCTCTTGGAGCTACCAGAACAGGCAGCTGAGAGGCTGAAAAACTGAGCAGATCTTTTTATAGCCTAATGGAACTCTGAGAACACAATTTGGAGGTCCAGGGCCTGTCAAGGATGGGGACCCCTAATAATATCCCCCCATGGTCTGGTTTGGGATTTAGAAGGACTACCCTCTAAGAGTAAGAATGAACCAGGAAAAAAAGAGTTGGTCCTTGTACAAATTAAAGTTTAGTTTCAAAGTATCTCAATCCCTTGAATTAGATTATCTGTGGTTGGTATTCCTTCTAGCTGCTTATCAGAAGCAAACATAAATTTTCCTTGGAAAAAGAAAGCATTAATCCCAAGTATTATTTTTTCTATAATTTTTCAGATATAATGAATGTTACTGAATTAAAAATAAGTGGGTAACAAAAAGTCAACATTACCAAAAAAAAGAAAAAAGAAAAAAAAAAGAAAAAGAGAGAGAAATAACTGGAAATAGAAACAGTTACAGAGAGGATCCAGTTAGTGGACATGGACTTTAAAATAACTTCTTCCCTCCTCTTCCTTCTTCCCCTCCCCCTCCTCTTGCTTTTCCTTCTGTCTGTTTAATTAAGGGTAAGTCCATCAGGTTTTAGTTGTAAAGTCACATTCTTAGTCCATTCATCTGAATCATCTGATGCAACTGAAAGCATTCCCAGGGAAGAAAGGTCTTATTTTCGATTTGATCCTTATATCAAGCCTAAGTTCTAGTTGGCCCTTATTATTGAAAAGTTTTCTTCTCCTCCTCCTCCTTCTTCATCCTCCCCTTCCCCTTCCCCTCCTTCATCCTCCCCTTCCCTTCCTTCTCCTTCTCCTTCTCCTTCTTCTCCTTCTGACAGAGTCTCACTCTGTCACCCAGGCTGGAGTGCAATGGTGCAATCTCAGCTCACTGCAACCTCCACCTCCCAAGTTCAAGTGATTATCTTGCCTCAGCTTCCCAAGTAGCTGGGATTACAGGAGTGCATCATCACTCCCGGCTATTTTTGTATTTTTAGTAGAGATGGGGTTTCACCATGTTGGCCAGGCTGGTCTCGAACTCCTGATCTCAAGTGATCCACCCGCCTCAGCCTCCCAAAGTGTTGGGATTACAGGCGTGAGCCACTGTGACTGGCCAGTATCTTTTATTAGATGTGAATGAGAAGCAGTTGTTTCTTTCAATGCTGCAAGTCCTTATACTTACGGACTCTCTTTGAGGCTTTTATTCCTGTTTGCAATCCAGTCGGTCCTTTTCTGAGCCCATCTCTTTCTTGCAGCACTCTGTTAAATAAAGCCAGTGTTAACCAACACACTTGTTTTACATTCTATTTTCCAAATTCTTCTCTTTGAGCTAAAAGTTCATTAAATACATTTCTGAGTTCCAAGCTATTTCAGGGATAACTTTTGCCAAATGTTTCACATTTGGATAACAGATCAATATCCCTCCAGTTTATATGACAACCTAATTTCTTGCTCCCTCCCACCTGGTGCCAGCTCTTTAGCCGATGCCATGTTTGGTGGTTGTTTTTCCCATGAGTGTACCAGTTTCTCTGTATCAGTCAGACGGGGCCAGGTCATGCCGTAGTAATAAACAGTTCCACATCTCTGAAGTGTAAAATAAACATGTTTATTTTTTCCCTGTGCTGCAAGTCCATGAAAGTTGTTAGAGGGACTCTGCTCATTTTACTCACTTGGGTATCCAGGCTGATGCTCAAGTAACATCTCTCACTAACAGAGAGAAGGAGATCTCTGGAGGGATTCCTACTGGCAATTAAATGTGCACTTTTGTTCATAACACATTATGCAGAACACATGGCCCCACTGTGCACAAAAGGGTCAGAAAATGGACATTTACCATGTACCTACAAGATGAGGAAATAGAAACATTTTGTGACGAGCGCTAATGACTACCACGTAGACCCCCGTGTATGTAGGAGCTTGGTATGTGAAAGAGGTGACAAAGCAAATCAACTGTGAAAAAAGGGACATCCCGCTCATGGCCCTGAGATGTTAGATTATTCATATGGAAAAATACAAAGTCAGATGCCTAGTATTTATCTTACAAAAAATAAATTCTCCAGGGTTTAAACATATAAAAGTAAAAAGAAGGCTTTTACCATTTTAGAAGAAAACATTTAAAAATTCTTTCCAAATTAGGATAGGAAGAAATTCTTAAAGGAAAAATTTCCAAACCAACAAGGAAAAGGCTAATAAATATAATTAAATTATAAAAAAATTGGCAAGAGAAAAGCCATCATAAACTGAAAAGTCATGCTATGGACTAGGAGTAGCTATTTGCAAGCCATGTAACTGACAACAAAGTAGAAACTAGAATATATGATGAGTTTCGAGACATTAACAAAAAAAGAACAAAATTGAAATAAAAAATGTCAAAACAAATAGATATTCCTCAATAAAAGAAATATTGTCTGAAGATTTTTTTCCATACAGATGGAGTACTATGCAGCAGTTTCAATGAACAAAGCAGTTATATAAACATGGATACATGATCAAACTCAGTGCATAGTAATGTTTCAAAAATGATATATGCAGCAAGTCACCAGTTCTATAAAATTATAAAACATACAAACGCATGTTTTTCTATAGGTGCCTACATGTAGTAGAACTACAAAAGTATATAGACTTACTTCACAGTAATGTTTTCCTAAGGGAAGGGATGGTTGCAGATACGTTATCTTAACTGGTAATGTTTCATTTCATAAATGAGACAGATGGACAGATAGATTTCTAAAGCAAATGAAGCAAAATATTAATATCTGTTTAATATTAGTAGCAAGTACATAGGTGACTATGATATAATTTGCTGTACATCTGTCAATATTTGAATTCTTTAAAATTTAAATATAAAACTTTAAACAATAAAAGGACAGTATATGTCCTTGTAGACATTTGCATGTCACTACACACACATGTATGTGTGTAGATTTATGTGGATACACACTCTACACACAAAAGGATTGTATCAGTTACCTTGCATTCTGCTGGAAGCAACAGACTTGGAGCTCATATAATTAGATGGCAGGAGATGGATTGTGCATGGGTTGCTGCAGCAGTCCCATGATGCCATCAAGTCTCATGTTACCTATGCTCTTTTTATACTTTACTCTGCCAAACATTGTTGACAATGGTTTTAAGAGGTTAGTGCAGCTCTGGTCATCACATCGTCATGAGAATATAGAATATATAGTCTCCCTTCAGCGAGAAAAATCTTTACAAGATGGCTTCACCAGAAAGCACCTTATAAATAGATACTGTACTTATATGTCATTGACCAGAACTGAGTCACATACCAGACTTAATCTCAATCAAAGGGAGATAGAATTTTCATATTTGATTTTGACAAGTTATAGTTCTGTTAGCAAGAAAGAGAAGAGTGAGTGGTCAGTGATAACTAACCAAACGATTATGCTTTAACGACAATAATAATACTAGATATTATTTACAGATTACTCCTTTATGTCAGGCAGTCCTCTAAGCATGCAACACTCAGAGTCATTTAATTCTCATAACACCGTACAAGATTGGCGCTTGTTCCATTAAGCTCCCTGCTTAATGGAAGAGGAATTTCAGGCTCTGAGAGGCTAAAGTACCACAGGCAGAAAGTGGCAGAGTGAAGATTTGAATCCAAGTCATGGACCTGATTTATTAAGCATTAACTATGCACTATTAATTATTCCAGACACCGGGATACATAATCTCTTTCCTCCAGCAGTCCAGAGTTCAATTAGCCAGAGAGAATCAAAAGCTGATGGCCCTTTGAAAAAGTAACTGTATGTCCTTTGAAGCATATGTTATAAGCTTCTTTTGGCCTTTTGGGAGTGTTTCCCAATGATTCCCATTGTCCTGACTTTGTCAAGGTAAATTTCCACTACATGAACTCCCAAATGTAAATACTTCCTAGGTATCTGTACCCTTCATTTGACAAGAAAAGGTTTTTGGTGTGGAGAGCTTTCCCAAGAAAAGGACGTTCCTCTTTGTGTTTACAGGTTCTGTCTGCCTCTTTGGAATTACTGATACAGTATTAGGTTGGCCTTAAAAATACAAATATATACTTTTTTATTTCTTGTAGCATTGCATTGGGTCCAGATCACTGTAAGCCCATAGCCTTTAAATTTTTTTTTTTTAGTTATTATTTGAGGACTTACTTTCTTCCTAATATTTCATTGTGCATTCTATAAATGTCATTTTACTTAACACAATCCTGGGAACTATGTTTATTACCTGCCCACTTGTATGGATGGAAAAAGTTTTCAAAACTTTGGAAAAAGTTTTGTGGAATCCAGCCTTGCTCGGTTTTGAGCAGATTAACGAATTATCTAGATCAGAAATATAAGGAGGAGACAGGTCTAGAAAGATTCACATCTGCATAAAGTAGGCTAATGAATCTGACTGTATACTCACTGACTGTATAGACTCTGACTGTATAGTCACTAAAGACAAATTTCTCCACGAAGCTCTGGGTTAAAGTTTTGCCATCTCTAGCTTGGAGAACCCAGTGAAGAGCTCATGACTTTAAATCTGACATAACTGGGGTCTTTTTTAATGCCATGGTGGACAATGGGGCTCTAGTTCTCAGTGGGGCACCATTTCTTCTTTGTGGCTATTTATTCTGGTCCATTTTAAAATTTCTGTTACCTTCCACTGAGGACCCAACTAGGCTGGATTCATCCTTAGACAGAGGAAATGTGCAACAAATAGCTCTTCTCTTGGCCCATGTGTTCTCCACCCCCTGGTTTATTTAACCGTGGCTACTCTCTTCATTAATAGCTGTTTACACTTCACAGAGATACTTGTTGGACTTGGCAAAAACCGTCAGCTCTACTCATATTCGGTCTCTGACCCAAGGCAAATTTTCATATTTGACAATATTTTGCTTTGTAAGAGCAACTAGTGAAAAACAGTTAATTAAATAGTCTAGGTTGTTCCATTGAGAATAGATAAAAGCATGTGGGCACCCTGTTAGCCTATTGCTTCTTGAAGGACAGTAGCTTGCTGAAGAGGGTCAACCCAAATACAGATAAATATAGAAGGAAAGTGGGAAAACATGGGAATGTAGATTCTCCCATGGCTCTCTTCATCCTCAAATAAATATGTTCATGAAAAAGAGGAAGACATCACCACTAAGTACCATGCCCTATCTTCAAGTTTCTAAGATTTTGTTTGTTTGTTTTTGTTTTGTTTTTTTGTTTTTGTTTTTGTTTTTGACAAAGACTCACTTTGTCGCCTAGGCTGGAATGCAGTGGTGAAATCTTGGCTCACTGCAACCTCCACCTCCCGGGTTCAAGCGATTCTCATGCCTCAGCCTCCAGAGTAACTGGGATTACAGGTGCGCTACCATGGCCAGCTAATTTTTGTATTAGATGGGGTTTCGCCATGTTGGCCAGACTGGTCTCGAACTCCTGACCTCAAGTGATCTACCCGCCTAGGCCTCCCAAAGTGCTGGGATTACAGGCATGAGCCACTGTGCCGGGCCTAGTTTCTCAGGCTTATAGGCATATTATAGCCACCTCGGCTGCTTCCCTGACACTGGGGAGGAATGGTCAAATCCAGACTTGGATTAACTTTGCCTTCATCCTGTTTAGCTACAAGTCTTAAAAGGAAGGCCAGCCCTTGCAAGGACAGCATAAATAAGCTTCATGCCTTCAATCAGACAGCATGGTACAGTTATTTGCAAGTCTTGAAAGGGCCACTTAATAGGACCTTCGTGTCCTTTTGAGCTAGCTGAAGAGAAAGTGCTGCTAAACTGCTGGATTGGCAGAGCTAAGTTTATACAGATGGAAGAGTTAGCAGAGACCACAGAACAAATACCAGCAACCAACCCATTTCACACTTCTGAAAAAAGAGAGAAAGGAATGGCAAAGGCTGGCCAAAGCAAACAGGCTTTGGAAAGCTTGAAACTGTGGGCTGGAATTTTCAGTTGTTCCTAGTCTTTTCACACTCATTTTGGGGAACTTTCTCCACTCAGAAGCGCAGAAACTTTTTGCGTTTACACTTCTTGGGTTTTGCCTCCTACAGAAAAAGGGAAGTTAGTTCCCAATAACACGATAAGCTTTTCCAACATCATCAGCACAGTTTTTCTGGAGTCTGAGCCTTTTGTGGGGGACAGGGGAGGTGCCATTCTTTCCAGAATTTGTGTTGTTGGGGTTCCCTTAGCTTGTCTTTTTGTGTCTGCACTGGCTCTTAGTCTTTTTTATTTTCTTTTTATTTTTCTTTTCTTCCAGGAAAGAAAGCTATTTTCTTTTATTTTCCCCAGAGTGTGCTGGGACATAAAACCTCCCCACAATCTGCTACCTCACACAAATACCCTTCAGTTTCCGCTGAAGCACTTGGGTGCTTATCAAAATGTATTCTAAAGTAAACACGAATGTTGTTGCTGCCTTGGGGATGTGTGATGTTTCTAGCTCCAACCCCAGAAGAACTGAGGACAATATTTGGAGACAAGAATTAAGGAGAGATTTAGCTTGAGTGGCTGTGAAATGGGCAGCTGCCATCTCTGGTGTGGTTGCATAGAATTTATGGATAGTGGTTGGGAGAAACTTTCCTGTGGGCTGGCATTAGAAAAGCCAGTGGAACAGCTTCAACTAAAATGCTTTGTTTGAGAAAGTAAGAAAACTCTGTGCACATGGGACAGACCTTACTATAATCATCTTAGCTCTGGATCAGTTGGAAAATGGCTGTCAGAGAGGCTTTTAATGGGTTAAGCAGGTTACCCAACTAGTTTACCAGAATGTGTAGATGCGTGTCTGCAAGGAAAAATTCTGCAACTGTGTCTAAAAACAGTTCCATCTGTTCCTATGTATTCAAATACTTAGATGGGGAAAAAAAAGAGTAAATGCAAAGACAAGGATTAGACCCTTTACACAGCAGATTGTCTCAATTCAAGTTGGTAATAGTGGATGACCCAGAGGCCAATAAACAAAGGACCAATGGAAATTAGGTACCCCCAAAGGAGAAAAAAAAAGCAGCCTGAGGGAAGCCTGGGGATATTTCCTGCTGAGCTGCTTCCAACTAGATGATACCTACCAAGGCTGGTACACGCAAATGTGTACATGGCTTTTTGTGTATGAGACTTGGGGATGGACGAAGGCAAAGTCCATTAGAGAAAGTACTGACATCTGGATGACTTTGAACACAAAGAAGGAAAATTTTTCCTTGGAGGTGGCAGAGTAAAGAGATAATAAAAATCATCTAGGTGGCTGAAATCAGAGTGAAGGAGGAGTCCAAAGCAGTACATTTGAATGAACACATGGTGTTCAAAAGTTTGGAAACCCTTTGAGCAAGCGAACAAAATAACAACATATGCCAGGATTTTAACTGACCAGGATTCAGAGCAGAGGGGATGTATCAAGGTAGGATAGATGCGATATCCTATCTTGGACTTAAGAGTTAACTCCAATGAGTTAAGTCCCTATTGGTTTTCCCTCGTGAGAAAGTCTCCTAGTGAGGTATGTGTAGGTTCCATTGCCAGGTAAGGAATTGTAATGCCAATGTCAAATGGGGCAAATGAGCCTTGGCCTGAGTCACACTCTCCTGCCTACTAAGGGAAACAAGGCCTGGAACACTTTTATCTGTAGTAAGAAATCTTAGAATGGCTGTTGTTTTATAATTGACTGAGATCAGGAAAAGCAGGCATGATTCATAATTCTATGCTTAGCTTTTCTTCAACGTGCGCTCTTGATCAAGTCAGCTAATTCTGATAAATCTCAGTTTCTTAATCTGAAAGCTAAAGTTGTTAGAGAATTCCATTAGAGCTATTCTGGAGCAGGACAACTTTGCAAAACACAGCTTCCCGTGGCATCTCCCCAAATGCAGCTGATGGTAAGTCGCAATGTGCTAGAGGGACAGGTTGTGGTAAGGCAGCCAGAGTCTCTCCGGCCTGTCCTCACTCACCAGTTGTGATGTCTTAGGCTACACAGAACAAAGTTTTAATGCCACTGGACTCGACCATTCTACAGCATTGCAGTGCTAATCTCTGATAACAGATTACCAGATTTCAACATAAAGTGAAACCTTGTTAATAAAATCTGAATCAATCTTAGATATTTTCCTCTTGGGGTGGCTCTCATCTCATCCTAATCTTTCCTAGCTCACAGATAAGGGAGCTAAGAGAGGGGTCTATGTGCTACTGTCTCTCACTTTCCATCAGTTCTTCTAGCATGACCACCTGAAATCACCATGTTATATATTTACATGTTACATATATATTTATATATATATATATATAATATAAACAAAATGCAGGATTTGGGATAGTATAATATAAACATAATATAAAGATAAATACAAATATGAAATATTTGCTTGTTTTTTCTTTGCTTTCTTCACTACAATGCCCATTCCATGAGAAGAGCCATTTTGTCTATTTTGTTCACACCTAAATTGCCAGTCTTCAGAATAGTATCTGCACGTAGTAGATGTTACATCAATGACTATGGAGTGCATGGACGGATATCTGATTCTGGTTTCCAGAAAGTCTTTCACTGACCTTTCTTTTGCCATCTTACAATGTAAGATTCTACCTGGGATTCAAACCTGAATCTTCCCCACACAATTCTTAATTTCCTTCTCACATATTGAAATTCTACTTTTGGTCAGTATTTTTCAAGCCAGTGGCCATTCTCTACCGTGCCTAGTGACATTCCTAGGGGTATTTGCACAGCCAGATGAAGTCTGAGGTTCCTTAAAAGGCATTTGACCTCCATCTATTAAGAGCATCCTGTGTGTGGGTGTTTTTTTGTTTTTATTTAGACAGAGTCTCACTCTGTCGCCCAGGCTGGAGTGCAGTGGCAGGATCTCGGCTAATTGCAACCTCCGCCTCCCAGGTTCAAGCGATTCTCGTGTCTCAGCCTCCTGAGTAGCTGGGACTACAGGTGCACACCACCATGCCTGGCTAAGTTTTTGTATTTTTAGTAGAGATGGGGTTTCACCATGTTGGTCAGGCTGGTCTCGAGCTCCTGACCTGAGGTGACCTGCCCGCCTCAGCCTCCCAAAGTGCTGAGATTACAGGCGTGAGCTACCATGCCTGGCCAGTGGTTTTTATCTTTCATTTCTTTTTTAATATGGTGCATCACATTGATTGGTTTGCATATGTGAAACCAACATTGAATCTTAGGGATAAATCCCACTTGGTCATGGTGTATAATTTTTTTTATGTATTACTGAATTCAGTTTGGTAACATTTGAGGATATTCATCAGAGATATTGGCTGGTTCTTGCCATTCACACACAATGGTCACTACTTGAGGAATGAATATGTTAATTTGTTTGACTGTATAAATACATTTATGTATCTGTTATATATTTAATTTGTATATCTTATATATGTATATATGTATATCTTATATATGTAATTTGTTTCACTATTGTATGCATATCAAAACATGATGTTATATACTTTAAATATATAAAATTTTTATTTTAGAAAGGGCACATGATCTGGTTAGCATGAATCCCATCCAGGTGCTGAACACAGGTCTGCCTCAAGAAAGGGACTCAGATCTGTTAAGCCCTTCCTCTTTCCCTCCTACTCCCCAGGCTAGGCCAGCCACTTTCTTCCCTTCTGCTGTCAGTCATCCTCTCACTGGATGTCATGTTCACTAATGATTGATGCCACTCCCAATGATCTATGGCCTTTCATACAGCATTCCATACATTTTGAGCATCTACTCTATAATCACTGTGTTAGGGGTTACATGTACAACAAATGAGTCAAACAGTCCCTCAGTCCAAGGAGCTTAGAGAGGGTTTCAAGTTTTTATAATCATGGTCCACAGTAAATATATGTAGACAATCCAGTATACATGGACACACACATAGACATACTGTTTCAAAGTTATATGAAACTATACTTGCCTGGTGATATTTTCCATTCTATTCTAGAGTGGTTTATTTTATTTTATTTAATTAAAAGACCTGGTTATGACCCACTAAATTGACCTCACTACCCTGTTATGATTTTCAGTGAGTACAATTTATTAGGTGCAATTAGAAAACCTTTGCTCTAGAAAAGGAGTTTCCTAGAGTCATTATAATAGAATAAGAAGCATGAACAAGGAAATGGAAGCCAGAAAATAAGTGTGACTCCTTCTAGAAAGATATCTTCTAGGGCTATGCTTCTAAAACTCTAACATGCACATGAAGCCCCCTGAGACTTATTTAAAATGAAGACTCTTATTCAGGAGCAGGGGAGTAATGCCTTAGATTCTGTTTCTTAATATACTTTCAAGAGATGCTCGTGATGCTAGAGCATGGACCACATTTGGAAAAACAGGTTTAGGAAGTAATGTTAAAAGGATGACCAGGAATTATCCAGAGGATAGAGGGAGACAGGAAGGGCAACGTGGTAGAAAGAAGCACATTAGCAATGTTTCCATGGGTTGCATGAGGAATAGAGAGCATCCACATGGTCTTAAAATTATCTATGTGTGGCCGGGCGCGGTGGCTTACGCCTGTTATCCCAGCACTTTGGGAGGCCGAGGCGGGCGGATCACGAGGTCAGGAGATCGAGACCATCCTGGCTAACACGTGAAACCCCGTCTCTACTAAAAACACAAAAAATTAGCCGGGCGCAGTGGCGGGCGCCTAAAGTCCCAGCTACTGGGGAGGCTGAGGCGGGAGAATGGCGCAAACCAGAGAGGCGGAGCTTGCAGTGAGCCCAGATCGCACCACTGCACTCCAGCCTGGGCGACAGAGCAACACCCCGTCTCAAAAAAAAAAAAAAAAAAAAAAAAAAAAAAAAAAAAAAAAAAAAAAAAAAAAAAAATTACCTATGTGTGTGTTACCATGAAAGATAGGGCCTGTCTCTAGCAGTAAGGAGTTAACTAGGACAGCAACAAACCACGGTTTTTGCACAAGGGCAAATTGAGGAAAAGGGAAGCAAAATTTGCAGGTCATCCTTTAAAAATAAATTATGTTTTCATTTTTATTATGAAACACAATATTAGCAACTGCAATTAGAACTCTTATATTTCTCTTTCATGGGTAGGAGGTGGGTAGGGCTGGAGATGAGTAGAACCCTAAACTCAGCAGCAGGTGCTGCACTGTCTGACCACAATGCTGAGACTTGGAGCACATTTTAAAACCTGGGTGGGCTTGGAGGGAGCTGTGGGTTGAGCAGTTTGAGGTTGGAGGTGGCAAATTTTGTGTCAAGATAAAAAAAAATAGCCTCCTATCCTGTGATTCCTAGGTACCAGGGAACAGATTTTAGAGAGAGGAGGTTCTGATTTGAGTTACAAAGAATGAGGTGGGAACAGGGAGGTGGAAGCAAAATACTAAGGGAATGCTTGAATTTCCCTCTTTACCCCCACCTGTACGAGAATTGAGGACTGGACTCCTCATGCCCCCTTTTCCAATCAGTGGTTTTCTTTGTCTTACCATCCCCTTCTCCCGGGTCACTCAAAGAAACTCTTATAAGCTTGGTAAGCACCAGTTTAAATGCCACATTCCCAGTGTCAGCCTGGGTTTGTGACTCAGCCTTGTGGTGAGGACAGAAACTGAAGTCCCATCTGGCAGGGACGATGGGAGAACTGATTGAAGTTCATGGCTCCAGACAGATTTCTCAGCACAACAACTTGAATATGTAGAGCCCGGTAACTTAGATGTTCCTGTGTTCTTTATTTAGTCCATGCTCATTTACTCACTACTGTCATTGGAAAGGCCTTGCTTTAGAGGCAGTGATTATGATGGTCCCTCCAACAAACCCAGTTCCAGCTACCAGTGAGCTTACGGTTTCATGCAACTATGGTATATTTTGGGCGGAATCCTAACATAAAGTGCTCCAAATGTGGTGTGTATTCTACTTTTTACTCCTAACTGGATTGGGAAGTTCATTAAACAGAGCTTTCCTGTTCTCCCTTTGTTCATAAAGAATGATTGAAGAAGTCCAGCTTGTATAAAAAGAATTTGTCCTCATGAAGATGAAGAAAACATGTTTGCGATCCTAACCCAGATCCCGAGGCCTGGCCAGCATGTGCTCACACGGACACTGACTCCTGGCATACTTATCCACTGTTTGAGTTGGCTGGGCTACAATGAAGAGAGCCCAGCACTTGGAGTTTGAAATATTATTTTCTTCCTTAAAATGTGGCTGGAACATACCACAACAGAGTTATCTCCTCGAATGTGGTCCCACTCTGTCATATAAATGAGTTCAAAAGCCTGACAGTGCCAAACCCAAGAGTTTTACACATCTAATTATTTTTTAAAGCCCAAACAAGTAGATTTTTAAAAGCTATTTAGAGCCTACCTGCTTTGCATGACCCAAGAAAACTCATGCAATTGCTCACACCTTGATAAAATGGGGCCTAGTAATTACAAGGACCCCCAACCCATTATTGCCTTTTGGTTTTCTGTCCCAGAGGCTCACCGCTGTGCTGCTGAGTGACACAACTTAGACACGTAAGCCCCTCTCTGATATCCCCTCTTCAGGTAGTTCCCTGTCCCTCCTTCTCTTCTGGGTGATGGCCCCTTCCCTATAAGCCTCTGATAGTCTAGTGCTATGAGGCACTTCCCCTGTCATGTGATCCTGGGCAAGTGCCACCAAAAAAACTTGTATGTTACTGCCTCTCATGGTCATATTTTTTCCCTCATCAGCCCTCAGATCCCTTGATCCTCTTACAGACTCCTATCCCAGATCCACTGAGTCAAAATATTTGGGGAGGGGTGCCTGGAAATGTGCAGTTTTTAAGAACCTCCCCAGGAGATGTGTGTTTCTGTCTGTGTGTACATGCACGTGTCCGCATGAGCACTAAAATTTGAGAACCATCAGTTAGAAGATTTGGCTTGCATCCTGCCTCTGGCACTTGTTATTTGACTTTTGGGAAATTTGCATTCACTCCCTGACCATCAATTTTTTTTGCCTGTGTAAGGTTAAGATGATGATGTGTGTATCAGAGAGATCTGTAGAGACAAAATGTGATGGGGTGCATGAAGTGATTAGAGAATGGTCCACGCATAGGTGTGGTATCTGCATCTTTCTTCCTGTTCCTGCTTCTTTCTGACACTCTTTGGACCTAGCTCTTGTCATCCTAAAATAATCTCTTTCTTACATGAATTTTTGATTCATCTGGGCCTTGTCAGTGTACCAATTCTCTTGTAAATTTATTTGACATACTACTATGCCTACCTGACTTTAAATCTTTTAATTTTCCTGTTCCTCTGCTATTAGATCTCCCATGTAACTGCATTATCTAATGCTATAAAGTGTCCGAGAGCCAGAGTCAGATGACAAATGCTGCACGAGGTACATTTGTATTGTATTGTTACAGTCCTTATCACTAAATTCAGATGGGACCCAAATGCTATTTTTATATAAGATTTTGTTCAGTTCTACTCCAGTGTCTACTGGAGATTTCTGGTTTTGCTAAGTACATTTTTCTCCCTCCTTTCTTAGAATCATCTACTGAAATATAATTATTTTTAGCAACTTTGCTGAGTTGTTTGCAGTTTTGTATGTAAGTCTTTGTTCTCTGGGGACATAATAAATACATGGCCCAGTGTCCCAGTGAATGCAAGGAGAGAAGTGTGAAGTCAAGGTGTGATTCCCTAGTCATGGTTGCTAAATGAGATCATTTACCAAAGGTGCCTTTGTTCACTGTAGAAATCTTTAACCCCTGATGCTTGGATCTTGTATCTTGTTTTTTGTTTTTTTTGTTTTGTTTTGTTTTGTCTTTTTCTTAACATTGAACACTCTCGTCCAAAGAAGATGTCTCTGCCTTTATTTAATCTCTACTCCTCACTCTTCTCCAAATTTTATTAAAAGACACAGCAGGCACCAAATACACATGAAATATCAAGAATTATTTTTCCTTCTAAGGTCAAGGCCAGAGACAGATGCAATGGAAACCCAAAAATAAAATTACATGTGAATTTGACTGTAACACAATGTGACTAGAGTGGGGAAAATGATAATGTAACTCCGGTTTCGTATGTTAACATTGATAGTGAGCAACTAGGAGGTGACTCATATGAAAGTATGCTGGCAGAAGTCAGTTTGTGTAGTTCCAGGGATATGGGTAAATAAAAAGATGAGTTTGAACTATAAAATTGTTGAATGAGGATAGGCAGATATAAAGCACAAATATGGGAATCTCATTTAGAGAAACAAATTGGGTGGCCACTATGAAAAATGACCAGTAAAGAAAGATTTTTAAGATGGGTAGTTCTAGAAACTTGACTGGCAAAAAAAGAAACACTCCACATCAACTTTCTAAATGGAGACCAGATGGACCATTAGCTTCCTAAAGAGTTGCCTAATTTGTACATCCAGAGCAAAGTCCCAAGAAACTAGAGAAGGAAAATTCTGACTTTTTAATGTCTAGAAGGACAAAAATAGAAACAAACATGTATACAGTAGTGCACTCCTGTGAGTTTCTTTTCTTTTTTTTTTTTTTTTTTTTTTTTTTTTTGAGACAGAGTCTCCTTCTGTCATCCAGGCTGGAGCACAGTGGTGTGATCTCTGCTCACTGCAACCTCCACCTCCTGGGTTCAAGCAATTTTCCTGCCTCAGCCAGCTAAGTACCTGGGGTTACAGGTGCCTGCCATATTACTCAGCTAATTTTTTTATTTTTAGTAGAGACGGGGTTTCACCATGTTGGCCAGGCTGGTCTCAAACTCCTGACCTCAGGTGATCTCCCTGCCTCAGCCTCCCAGAGTGCTGAGATTACAGGCGTGAGCCACCACACCTGGCAACATGTGGCCTTGGGGAAAACCAGTCTACTTTGGTCTTTAGTCTTCTCTGTGAAATGGGGATAAAAATAATTCTTTATATTTTCACGTTCAGCTAAGATGGAGTAACAGGGACTGGATTTATTCTTTTACCTGAAACAGTCAATAGTAAATACATTTTAAAAACTATATAGATTATATAATCCAATAATTTGCAAGACACTGGACATCCAACAGTGAAGGGCAGTGATCTCTGAGGGATGAGATCCTTCAAATTGTTTCAGCTTACTGCCATCAGAGATATCCAAGGCCATACATAAGAAGGAAGAACCCAGACAGAGGGTGGTGGGCTCCCTGAGAAGAGGACATGGAGCAGAGAATCCAGGGAGGTCAAGAGGGCTAGAATATCAGAGAAGAAAGAGCTGTTAAGAGAGTAAGCACTCCAGAGATCTAAAAAGGCATCCCTCAGATATTAAACTGAGTACAGATGAATGTGTGTGTGTGTGTGTAAACTACCTGAGGTCAGGAAAAGAACCACCGAAAGGGATTAGAAAGCTGATAGTGTTGACTATTCTTAGCAGCCCGACCAGAAACCTCAAGATTCATGAGGCATTTGGCAGAGTCCACAGAAATGTCTTGTCTCAGTGGTGGAGAGTAGTTATCACTACAGTGAACACTGCTGTGGTCCCATATAATATATATTAAAAACCATACCCTCAAAGATTAAATAATTTCCAAGTAACTTAAAGCACCCCAGAGCAAAGTTCAAGAACATTTATGAGAATACAAAAAACATCTAGCATTCAGCAACATAAAACACACAATTCCTGGCATTCATTCAAAAATTATCAAGCATTCAAAGAGCAAGAACAAAATGAGAAAATAAACTTATTAGAAACCAACCCAGAACTGACAAAATGCTAGTATTAGCAGAGAAATGGCAGCAAAACAGTTACTATAACTGTATTCCAGATGTTCAAAAACCTAAGAGGAGATATGGAAGATATTTAAAAAGACCCAAATATAACTTGTATAGATAGATAGAGTTTTTTTCTTAAAACTTGAACTATTAAAAGATAATTGATTGTTTAAACAAAAATAAAAAGATTGTATTTGGGGTGTGTATATATATATATATATATATATATATATATATACACACACACACACACATATGTAGATGTAAAGTGTGTTATAGCAATATTCTAGAGAACATGAGAAGAGAAATTTAGATGTACTCTTATAAGACTCATATCATACATGCAGTGATATGATATCACTTGAAAGTAGACTGTGATATGTTAAAAGATGTATACCATAATCTCTAATGAAACCACTAAATAGCAAAAGTAATAATAAAGTTGTAGCTAATGGTAATCCAATAAAAGAGAGAAAAGAAAATAATAAAAAACATTCAATTCATTCAAAGAAAGTAGAAAAAGTGGACAAAAGAAAGAGGATATGAAACAACTATAAAACAACAATAGTTTTGAACCTAGTCATATTAATAATCAAATTAAATTTAAATCGTTTAAATATCCCAATTAAAAGGTAGTTTTCACATTGGATAGACAAAAAGAACCCACTGTAATCTACTTACAAAGAAATATACTTTAAATATAAAGACAAATATTTAAAATAAAAAGGATGGAATGAGATATAACGTGTTATTATTTATTAGTGTTAACATGTTAACACTAATAAAAAGAAACCTGGAATGGCTGTATTTGTATCAAAGTAGATTTCAGAACTAAGAATATTAACAGAAACAAACTGTTCATTTTATAACAATATAGTGGCTGAATTATCAACAGAATATGATTCTAAATGTTTATGCCCTTAAACATAGCTTCAAAACACATGAAATAAAAACTAATCAAGGACATAAATGAGAGATTCGTAAGTTGACATTGATAGTTGGGGATTTTAATACTACTCTCTCAGAAATTGATATAATAAAATAGATAGGAAATTAGTAAGTATGTAGAAGACTTCAACAACACTATCAAGCCACTTGACCTAATAGATATTTATAGAGCACTCTACTCAACAGTAGCATAATGCACATTCTTTTTAAGGGCATTCAGAATATGCAACAAGATAGAACATATCCTATGCCAAAACAAGTCTTAATACAGTTAAAGGATTTAGGTCATAAAAAGTGTGTTCTCAGAACACAATGGAAGTAAACTAAAATCGGTAACAGAAGGATTTTTAAAGAATCTCCAAATATTTGTAGATAAAATTACACACTTCTAAAAAAGCTGACAGAAGAAATCAAAAGGAAATTAAATTGTGTTTCAAACTTAATGAAAATGAAAACACAACATATCACAATTTTTTGGAATGCCACAACGGAAATACCTGGGGGGAATTAATAGAATTAAATGCCTATATTAGAAAAGAAGAAAGATATCAAATCAATACTCCAGCTTTCAACCTAAGAAAATGGCAAATGAAGATTTAAATGTAGAATAAATAGATGAATAAATAAACAAGTAAACGCATAAATATGATAGCAGAAATTAACAAAATAGAGCATAGAAAAACAATAGAAAAATATCATTGGAAACAAACCTTGATTCTTAGATATGATCAGTAAAATTTATAAAATTCTAGCCAGAGTAACCAGAAGAAAATATTGAAGACTTTCATTGCCAATATAAAAAATAAGAAAGATGAACTTGCTGAAGATTCTACTGATATTAAAAGGATGATAAGGAAATATTGTGAACAATCCTCTGCTAGTAAATTTGAAAAATTACAATAAATGTAGAAATTCTTTGAAGAACACATATTATTAAAGTCATTCATAAATAGATAACCCAAATTATCCCTATAGTTAGTAAAGTTATTTAAATTGTAGTTAAAATCCTCACAAAGAAAACTCTAGACCACAATGGTATTACTGGTGAATTCTGCCAAATATTTGAGAAAGAAACAATACCAATTCTATGCAAACTTTTTCATCACATTTAAAGGGAGAGAACATTTCCCAAATTATGCTATGAAGCAGCGTGACTCTGATACTTGAAAACTACAGTACAAGAGGTGGAAACTGCAGACCAATATCCCTCATGAAGATACATTTAAAAATTCCAAACAGAGTCATTTGAAAAGAATAAGTAAAATTGTTTTTATTCACAATTACCATGATTATGTTGAAAATCCTATCTACAGAAAGTAACTTGAACCAATAAATTAGTTCAGCAAGATTGTAGGAAACAAGAACAATGTCAGAATCAATTGTATGTCTATATACTAGAAACAATTAGAAATAAATAAATAAAATAATATCAATAGTCACCTTCAACATATAAGATACATGGGCTAAATCTGACAAAAAATAGTAACATATTGTGTTCATATGTCAGAAGTCTCAATACTGTTGAGATGTTGATTCTTCCCAAATTGAGCAATAGATTTTATGGAATCCTAATAAAATCCCAAGAAGGATCATTTTGTAAAAATTGACAAACTGATTCTAAAATTCATTCAGAGGTGCTAAGCACCTAAAATATTCAAGACAACTCAGAAAAAGAATAAAGTTGAAGCACTAATACCATATGCTTTTAAGATATATTATGAAGCTACAATAGTCAACACAGTGTAGCAGTGGTGTAAAGACTGATAAATAAATCAATAGTACTGATTAGAGAGCCAGAAATAGACCATACAAAGATGGACAATTTACTTTTGGAAAATGTGCAAAGGCAATTTAGTGGAGATAAGATAGTATTTTCAGCAAGTGATATTGCAACTATTGAATGTTTATATACAAAACAATAACATTTTACTCATACCTCATGCCATATATAAAAAAAACCCTCAAAATTGATTATAGACCTATATATGAAACCTGATATGGTTTGAATCTGTGTCCCCACCCAAATCTCATTTGAATGTAATCCCCCAGAGGAGGGGTCTGGTGGGAGGTGATTGGATCATGTTGGTGGATTTCTCCTGAAGGGTTTTGTACCATCCCCTTGGTGCTGTTCTCATGACAGTGAGTGAGTTCTTAGGAGATCTGGTTGTTAAAAGTGTGTAACCCTTCTCTCTTGTCTCTCACTTGCTCCTCATCCTGCCATGTAAGATGTTTCTAAGGCTGCTATATATGTGCTGGTGATAACGTGGAAGGACTAGAACTTTCATACACTGCTAGAGGAAATAAAGACGAGTATAACCATTTTGGAGAATAGCACAGTGGTTCTTAAGTTAAATATACATCCACTACATGATTCTGCCATACCACTCCTATTTGTCCAAGAAAAATGAAAGCATAGGTTTATACAAAGACTTGTATGCAAATATTCATAGAAGCTTTATTTGTAGTAGTTTAAATATGAGAAAAAACAATATGTGCATCAAGAAATAAGTGGATAAACAAACTGGAATCCATAAGGTGGAATACTACTTAGTAATAAAAAGAATGAACTACTAATACATTCTATATAACACAGATAGGTGTCAAAATAAATATGTATCGTGAAAAAAGCTAGACAATGTATGTGCTATATGATTCTATTTATATAACATTCAGGGAAATGTAAACTAACATATAGTTCTAGGAATCGATTGGTGGTTATTGGAGAGAGAACCAGAGGGAATCAATGTTTTCCCAGATACCAATCTGACAGCAGGCTGGCCACATGTCAGAATTACTTTTATAAATATACAGATTCCTAAGCCCTTCCTTCAGAGATTTGTACCCATTTGGTCTTGAGTGAGTTCTCATAATCTGTTTAAATAATGTGTGCAGGTTACTCTGATATCAACCAGGTTTGGGCAACTCTATCTAAGTTGTACTTTATTCCCTTCCTTCCATTAGTATATGTCTTTCAGAGTCGAGAGTAGTTTAAACCCCATAACTTTAACAAATGGAGATTTGGATAAATCCCTCTCCTAAGGTCATCCATTTAAAGGAGATGTCTACAGAAGACCTCAAGGATCCTGACTCTTAACTGGAAACACCTGACCCCTTGGCCCAGGAATGTGAATCTAATTTGAGTGTTCCTGGGGTAAACCAAGTCACCAAGGTAGACCAACCAGGGAGTCCCACCTTTCTGAGAGTTTTCTTGCAGCTCTGCTCTGTATTTTATTTTTTCCAAATAAATACATTGCCATTCTTAATTCTTAACTTCTCATCGTAGGTGGTTAGTCAACCTTCATTTTTACACAAATTATGATTACGATGTAACTGAATTTGGCTTGGAAAATTCAACTGGAAATAAATAATCTATTGGTTATTGCTTGCAAATTGAAATCAACAAGATTGTCTGGTACCTCTTTCTTATCTTGCCTCACTGTTTCTTGGCAGGTCTTTAACTTCCTTGAATGTGCTGTTTATTCCAGTGAACCTCAGTTACTCATGTTGCAGTTTCCAGGGATAAAATGCAGCCCTTTTCCCCCAACTCCATATCTAGAGTTTTTGATTAGCAAAATGCCATAGGTTCTTTGAGAGACTTTAGTCTTGCATTTGGGTAGAGGTGTGTCTTGAACAAAAAGCCATGTGTGACCACATTACCAACATATTATTTAGGAGGAGCTGAGAAGCAGCATCACAACTTCATCATGACTCCCCCCGTTCTGCCTCCAAGTCATGCTGGTTAAGGCAGTATCACCTTTCAGGCTGACACAAGCCACCAGCCTAACTTACATTTCTCTCTGTTTATATAGTAGGTCTATCTTGTGTAAATTACTTTCTGGGGACATAAAAGATCCTGTTTTGAGCAGGAAAAACAAAAGTAAAAAAGTCCTGCCTCTCCCACTGGTCACTAGTCTACATTCAGAATCATGAGCCAACAGGTAAGGTCACATCTGTGAAAACCTAAGTGAATGAATCAACATGGTCCAGAGAACAAAATTCACTCTGATAGGCCAGTAAGAGGTGGATGGTACTGAAGAAAAATACAAAACGACTCTATTTAGTGCAGTGCTAATGGTGGGCATTACAATCGCAGCATGTGCTTAGTGTGTTCACTTTACTTGTTAATTACAATATCCCTGTCAACCCACAGCTTTGTCTGAAAAGACAAAGCTAGTTATCTCATCTGTCAACCCAAGCTGCAGAAAGTCACTCCTGGTCAGTGCTTGGAAAGGAGAGAGTTTGCACGTGAAAAAAATCCAGATGTCACAGCTAACTTGTGTGGGCACAAGCATAATATTAGTCATCAGAAAGTGGTGAGGGACCAGAGGTCCTTACTTCTCAGGAGGGATAAAACTGTTTACCCATTCAGCAATATATGTGCTCCACATTTATAGAGTGCTCACTGCATGCCAGGGCCTGTAATACAATGGGTAATAGGGTCTGGGATATGGAAAACTCAGTCCCTGAATTTGTTTAACCATGGGGGATTCCTTTCAGGAAAGGGTTATGCTGCTCAGTTGAATCTCTGGCTGGTTTGTTTGTTTGTTTGTTTTAAAATATCAGGAAAATTTAGACAATCTGTGGCCAAATTTACATTCTGTCAGCAAAAATAAATAATTATAAAAATAGTGTGCCTTTGTCATTTTAGCAGTAATAATAATATCAATAATAGCTAATATTTATTGAGCGTAGATTATAAGTGGGAAATTATATTGATTGTTTTACTCTCAGGTAATCCTCAATATTCACCCTATGAGATGTTAAGTGCTATTGTTCTATCTATTTTTCAGATGAAAAAATGGAAGTGGAGAGGAATAGAGTGACCTGCCTAAGGTCACAGCACTAAAAAGGGTGGATGCAGACTCAAGCTCAAATCTGCCTCGTAGTAAAGCCCCAAGTCAGTTGGGAGAAGGAGGAAAGGTTTCATTTCATCCTTTTAAACAGTGTACTGTGCTGTTTGTAACAAAGGCCGGTACAATCAAGTAAGGTCTGAACATGTGGGAATGTCATATGGTTATAGTTTCATCACTGGCTCCCAGGGAATCTCATGGGTTAATAATCTATTCCATTTTGTGGCACTTTGGAACATTTGAGGAGAAAGTCACTCTGTGAACATAAAACTAATCATTGCATATCTGAAAGCTCGCTGGAAAAACTTAAGCATTTCAACAAACCCCCTTCACTTTAAGTGCATTCAGCATTTTCCTCCTCAGAAATGACTTGTAAGTTTGTGCTTTTAATTATTATCATTCTCCCCTGAAATTACAGGCAAAGCACTCAGTGATATTTGAAACATCAATTACTGGCCTGCAGCCCTCTGCTACTGTTTCTCTGCCTGCTGCCAGGGCTGCAAATCCATTTTTTGCATTTCTTTCAGATTTTCTGAACAAAATTATGGAAAATCGCTGTTGGCACATGGCATTTTTCCACAATGGTCAGAGTTATTGAATTGTGCCGTTATGTGCTACTTTGAGAAGACATTCCAACTTAAAATGCCAGCTTCAAAACTATCAGTACGTTTTCTCCAATCTGAGCTTTATAAATTTTCCACAGGAAAAGGCTAAGAAGTTTGCCCTCGCTTTGCCTGGATCTCCTGCCGAGCGTAACTACCCACTTGTGATGGTTCGTGTTGCTGATTTTTAGCTCATCTCTGCTTTGAGTTCTCTTATTTGGATTTCCTTTCTGTTCTCTCATCACAATTGCTCACCCTGCGTGGCCATGCATCCATGGCCCCCGGAACTCTGAGGCCTCCAGAGGGCAAACTATTGGCAGCCATTTTGAATTTTTCTTCTCTGCCACTTCCTTTCAGGCCGCGATCTGTGCAGTCATGTTCCAAAGGCAACTGGAACTCAAAATCCCCGACTAGACTCCCCCTTCTGTATCCCCCATGGAGGATCACACACAAATAGGAATTTTGGGAGTTGTTCTCAACTAGTGTCTCTCTCTGAGACCACACAGTCATGCTGTCTCCAAGACCTGTCAATTCTACCTCAAATGTCTCTCCCATATCAACTTCTTTGTGTGTGTGTGTGTGTATATATATATATACACACACACACATATTTATTTATTATACTTTAAGTTCTAGGCTACATGTGCACAATGTACTGGTTTGTTACATATGTATACATGGGACATGGATGAAGCTGGAAACCATCATTCTCAGCAAACTTCTTTTCTATCACTGACTTTTCTTTTAGATTTTACCACCTGGCTTATATCTTGCCACTAGTCTTTTCCTTCTTCAGTGTATCTTCCACATTGCTGACAATGTATTTAAAAATATATATTTATTAGTTGACAACAGTTATTAAAATCTACCCTGTATCAGATACTGAAATAGGCTCTAGGGAAATAGATCTGGTGAGTGTATAACCCCATCTTCTAAATGTTATGAACCATTGTTATTCCACTGCTTAGAAAGAGCCAATGGTTCGGCCAGGCGCGGTGGCTCACGCTTGTAATCCCAGCACTCTGGGAGGAGGAGGCGGGAGGATCACCTGAGGTCTGGAGTTCCAGACCAACCTAACCAACAGGGAGAAACCCAGTCTCTACTAAAAATACAAAATTAGCCGGGTGTGGTGGTGGTTCATGCCTGTAATCTCAGCTACGTGGGAGGCTGAGGCAGGAGAATCACTTGAACTCGGGAGGCGGAGGTTGCAGTGAGCCGAGATCGCGCCATTGCACTCTAGCCTGGGCGACAAGAGCGAAACTCCGTCTCAAAAAGAAAAAAGAAAGAAAGAAAAAAAAAAGAGCCAATGGATCATCTCTATGAAATAAAATCACAGGTCTTTAACGCAGCTGGTCCTCTGCGACAATGGTGACATGGTTCTGATGTGTTTCTCTAGTCACATCTCTCTCATTTCTTTCAACATACCCTATATTCCATCTGCGCTAATCCCTGTTTCTTAAACGAAGCAGACTTTTTTTTTTTGATCCCAAATCTTTACCGTACTATTTCATTGCAACCTGTACCCATCTTTCACAGCTTAGCAAACACAAATGCCAAGTTATTTTTTTAAGGCTTGATTCAGATTTTGCCCTCCTATGAAGCCTTTCTATTCCTACTCGTCTGGCTCCCAGATCCTCTGCACCTTAATTGTACTGCATTCATAACTCTGGAAAATCAAAAGGGGGTGGGAATGGTGGGGTAATATAGGATGGCAATAGGGAGCACAAGCCTTGGGGTCAAATGGATCCAAGTTCCGTTACTGATCAGTAGGGATTTTGTGGCGTTGCTTATTTTATCTAAGCCTCAGTTTCTCCATTTATACATTTGGAAATATGAATATGGACGTCACAGAGTTTTTAACAGTATTTAATGAACTCATTCACATAAAATGTCTATCTTAGAGTAAGTGCTAAATAAATTACATCATTTATAATTGTTATCACCATTGTCATTTTTATTATTATAGTGTAGCTTACCCCATGTTATTACAATTAGTTTTGGGTCTCTCTTTCCTACTAGACTGTATGTTTTTACAGTACAGGAACCATCTCTTTTTATTCTTTTTACCTCTTTTTCTCCAGTGCCTAGAATAGTGCCTGGCTCATTTTAGGTTCACAATTAGTGTGTGCTAAAATAGCAAATTAATCTTTATCTGGAAATCCGCAGGTACTTCGAACTCAACATGTAAGAAATTCAGAGTCATTAGCTTACCCCAATGCATGCAAAGCATCTAGAACAGTGCCTGGCATCTAACAGTTGTTAACATATAAGTGAATTATATTATAATTTGAATTACTCAGCCAACACATTGATGAGTTATTCTCTTGATGGTGTGTAAGAATTACAAACATCAATTTCTGTGGAAGATAAGACATTTGATTAAACTGTTCAAATAAGAGATTCCTTGAATATCCATTTAAAAAAATTATATAAACTGCATATTCTCCAGGTTTGGCTTCCAGGAAACTCTACTAGAACACTCCTATTACTTAAACTTAGCTATTGCTATCCGCTAGCTGGAAGATGGGAACATAGAGAGGCTGTGGGCTCTACCTTGTTCAAGAAAGCCCTGCGGTTGATTTATGTATGTTTTGAGATCTAGGGTAAAATATAATTCCTACATTTCATAAAACATAGCTGCAATCACATGCTCTATGTCCTCTTGATCTTACCTCATCAAAGGTTACCCCCAAATTCTGCATTCCTAATCACAGCCTAGCAATACTTCTAGGTACCTCTTCATTTCACTGATTGATCTGCACACTGTACGCTATTATTTTCTGTGCCCTGCATGTAGTAATTATATTTTCCTATGGTGCACTGCTGTAGGCATGTATCATCTTTCACTCTTGTATGGGCTGAGGACTGGCCCCTTCTGATGTATCCTGCCAATGTTTTCGAAAGAAGTTCTTTAATGTATAAGGCAGCTGGAATAAATGGTTTTTTTGGACTCAAGGAAAAAGGAAACATAGATCTATCTGGTTCCTGATATATATAAGGAAGACAAAACTACTAGTTTTTCTGAAAGTATGTGAAATTCCTAGAACAGTGCCAAACAGGTAGCAGTTACTAGAATGAGCTTTATGTGTTTTCGTTTTGTTTTCCTTTTTAGTTCTACAAATTTATGGGGTACATGTGCGATCTTGTTACGTGCATAGACTGTGTAGTGGTCAAGTCAGGGCTTTTAGGATATCCATCTCCCAAATAATGTACATTGTACTACATTAACCTATCCTCCTCCCTCCCACCTCCTCACCCTTCTGAGTCTCCATTATTTATCATTCCACTCTTTGCATCCATGAAAACACATTTTTTTTTTTAGCAACTGCTTATGAGTGAGAACATGCAATATCTGTCTTTCTAGGCCTGGTTTGTTTCACTTAAGGTAATGACCCTCCAATTCCAGCCATGTTGCTGCAGAAGACATATTTTTATTCTTTTTTATGCCTGACTAGTATTCCATCATGTATATCTACCACATTTTCTTTACCCATTTATTCATTGATGGAAACTTAGGTTGATGCCATATCTTTGCTATTGTGAATATTGCTGTAATAAACATAGGGGTGCAGGTATCTTTCTTTTCCTTTGGGTAGATACCCACTAATGGTATTGCTGGATTGAATGGTAGGTCTAATGAGTTCAAATGAGCTTGTATTTGGACGGAGAGAGAGGACAGATGGCAACACAATGTTTTCCACTTCCAATCCTTCACATACACTGCCTTCTTTACCTGATGACAGAGGGAAAGCTGACTAGGACTTCTGTTCCTACTGTCTAGTGCATACACACACACACACACACACACACACACACGTATATAAAATTTTGGTGGATATTTTCACTGTCTCCAAACTAAAATTTCTTTCAAAATAATTTTTTTTCTTGGTGAGACAGAGTCTCATTCTGTTGCTCAGGAAGGAGTGCAGTGATGTGATCTCTGCTCACTGCAACTTCCACCTCCAAGGTTCAAGCGATTCTTGTGCCTCAGCCTCCTGAGTAGCTGGGATTACAAACACGTGCCACCACACTCAGCTAATATTTTGTATTTTTTGTAGAGATGGGTTTTTGCTATGTTGTCCAGGCTGGTCTTGAACACCTGGCTTCAAGTGATTCTCCAGCCTCAGCCTCCCAAAGTGCTGGGATTACAGGAGTGAGCCACCATGGCTGGTCCTAACATTTCTGAATAGGGAAATCAGTATTTAAATTTTACTGTTAGAGGGAGACTGAAAATTTCATGTAGGAAAAGTTTGGCATGCTATGATTTTACTCATTCATTTATTATTGCAAAAATAGTTCTTGACTCTTCTATGGATCAGGCTGTCTGGTAGGCACCAGTGACAAAAACATGGTAAACAGAAGGCAACCTGCTTCACAGGGATGAGGGTGAAGTGGGGTAACATGTGTACAGCACTTAGCACAGAGCCTGGCATGTAGGAAATACATGTCAGCATTTTCCCTTGCTAATGTGCTCCTGTCTCAATGTGAGGAAAGATGCCTATTTTTCTCAAAGGGAGGGCAGGTACAATGGAGGCCACAGATGTTCAACAATGACTTGCCCAAGCCAATGGCTATGATTTGCCAACCAGAGAATGCGTCAGCTCATCCTTACATTTCTAGCAGCTCCACAGTACCTGGCCTAAATTATATATGTCTCTAATTATTGACCTAAACTAAACTAGATTCACAAATGAGAAAACCTCTGCTAGCTCCTGTTGACAGGAAAAACTGACATGGAGCTGCCGGTTTCTCATCCTTTAATGGAGTGGCTCCTTTTCTGGGAAGTAAAATAAAATACAACTCCAAGAGGAATACATCTATAGTTCTTAGAGAAGAGCATCAGTATGCTTTGCAGTATGCTGCAGTTCATAATATTCAAATTATTAGCAAATAAAGATTATTATAAATTATTAACTGTTTGTGAGTGGAATTATTTGCATATTTTAAAACATTCTTTTCATACTAAATTGTAGAAACACCTTCTCTCCTTGCGAATCATGAAGGATTATTGGGATGACAGGTTTTCACCTGGCTTTATGATGCCCATTTTGGGAAGGGAGCAGTTGTTGCCTGAGCTTGTATTGGGAGCCTGGCTTCCTGCCCTAGAGTCCTGTCTTCCTTGTGCATGGGTCTACATGCTCAAACCTGTGGCCTCAGACCTGCCCAGGCACACACTCCTGCTTTGGCCCTGAGCTGGGATTCTGGAAGGAGTTGGCTGATTCACATCCAGAAAAGCTTGGATCTCCCAGGGTCTGTTTGTGGTTCACCTCATTCCTTAGACCATCTGATTCTTCCCCAATTACGGTCTCACTTTGTGTCCTCCAACTTCAGTTCTATTGTACTGTGCTTACAAGTTTCTCCGGGTCCATATTCTAATCTGAGGCTTGTGCTGTGTTCCCAGGTTGCATGTCCTGAAGGTAATTTCTGATTCCCCTTGTTACCCAGGCACTGGGTTCTTATATTCCCAACCTCCAATGCTTTATTTACCTTGACAGTCCCTGAAACTTGATCTCTCAATGTCTGTCTCTTCATGCCTGAGCTTTCCAATAAGGTTGAATGGGAAAAGAAAGGGGTTTGCTCACCAAGATAATTTCTGGAAAGTGACCCTGCCCGAGCAGTTATTTGGGTGGTGGAGAATAAGTCAACAAGTGAGGCATTGACTTGATTCCCTGGCAACCTCTCTTTAAAAGGATGAATGCTTGGTTTGATACTTGACCTACAATATAAAGAAGGTCGTCACAGCTCACATTTTTGCCCCTAAAAAGGAATTACTCTTCCAAAACCCCAGAGGAAAGTAGAGTCTGGCTTTCTGATTATATGTTTCATTGCAATGCAGTGATGTAATGTCATCCATGATAAAACTAAGGAGCTGGGCTTGAATTGAAGTCAATTGAAGCTTACAGGCTTAATCCAGGTTTGGGTATTTCAAATTTGTCCAGCCATGATTTCTGGGGCAAGTATTTGAGGTTAGAATAGCTTATGAGTGACATGGACCATTGGTTGGTTTCTTTTGCAATTCAATGGGCCACTGAAAAGGAAACTTTGCTCATATGGTTTGGAAAATGTCATTTTGAAGGGAAAACTGAGCTAATCCCTGCATCCTGAGAGTCTTGGAAGGAAGGCTTTTTCAGTACCATTTTATCAGAGCCTAAATGAATGTAAACAGGTAGAGACTGTCTTAAGGATTATAAAGGGCCTGGCAGGTTTGGTTTTGTGTGAGGTTTTTGGTAATCCCTGGTTTGTTTAACTGGGTGATTCTGGGTCAGGGAACAGTTGACACAAATTCATAAAGACACATTTACAAAGGAAGGTCCTGTGCTTTGGCCCCAACTCCAGGCAGACAGCTCTGTGTGTTCACTGTCCCCAGTCCATCCTGGCTCCTCCCTTAAAAGGCACAGGCCTCTTTCCTCATGACAGCGTCCAAGGTGGCTCACATTGGGAATGTATTTCCACTGCATTCCCCTGAAAGTGATGGGAAATTTATTCAAACCTAGAATAGTATTTGAGGATAGGAAATCCTCTTTGATTGAAGGAAAAACTGGATTTTATGGCTTGATATGAACTAAAATCCTTGTTGGGTCTCAAAAACATATATGTAATGATGAGACATTGTGTACTTTTTTGTTAATGAGTCTGATATTCACCAAACTAGATGGAAGTGTCCATTCATGCACCTTCCATACATAGTAGAGTTGGTCTTCGAAGCAGGGTAGAGACAATGGTAAGTAAACACAAAATAGCCTAGGTTGAAGGAATAGTACAACAAAGAGTATAATGCTGGAGGGAACAGGTGTTGTCAGGGACTTTAAGGAAGTGTGGCTGTGGCAGAGATCCTATGGGGAGAGACCCTATAGAGAGAAAACTTCGAGGGAGAGAGTCTCTAGGAAGAAAGCCTACAGTGAGAGAGCTTCTAGGGAGACAGTCTACAGGGAGAGACTCCATAGGGGTAGACTTTATAGAGAGATATCTAGGAAGACAGTCTATAGGGAGAGAGTCTATAACGAGAGAATATATAGCGAGAGATCCTATCGGGAGACAGTCTACAGGGAGTGACCCTATAGGGGAAGGTTTTATAGAGAGAGACCTTCTAGAGAGAGAACCTATAGCAAGAAAAATTCTAGAGAGAGAGAGCCTATAGGGAGAGTCTATAGGGAGAGAGCTTATAGGGACTTAAAGCTGGAGAAATGAGCAGAGGTTAGATGATGGAAGCCTTTCATTTTGCTGAGGACTTTCCAGGACTTTTCTTTTGCACCATCCCCCACCCCAAACTCCCAATCTTCCCACCTCTGATGAGTTAACGTTATGTTAATATTATTTAACATGAAATGTCTTAGAAATTAGACACTTTCTAATTTTTAACTCCATAATTGTTCCTGCTATACCTGGGGGCTTCTTATCCTAGGGCTACTCCTAGCTCCAAAAACCATTCATTCTTCCTGAATCTCCTCAAACACTAGAAATCCTGGGTCTATCACTTCTCCCCTTTGATGCTACCTACAGGACAAGTCTCGATCATCCAGCTTAAAAATATTCTGTAGTATCTGGGTGTCTTTCTGTTTGTCCTTCTAAGACTCAGGTATTTCTGGACACTTAAGGGCCCAGGTGGCTTAAGGATGTCAGCAGTGCCTGTGGACACTGACCAGTGCTGACCGCTGAGAAGGGCCAGCTGTCCTTTGCAGGAAGACCCGGAACATTCCTCATTCCAGCAAACTGCCTTCCTCTGAGCCCCACCAGCCTCCCACTGGCGTTTCCTTCCCCTAATTATAACCTGAGTTGAGTCATCGGGTATAGCTGGTGGTGGTTACGGTTTAATGTCTGCTCTAATAGTTACTTAGTCCTTGGGAAAAGTAAGGAAAGTGGTTGGTTTGAAATAGCCTAATTCTCCTCAGGACTGAGGTCATTCACAGAGGTTCATTAAGAAGACACAGAATATCCTTAAAAGCCACTAAAGAAACAGTGCTCAGAGTTTCCATTTAGCCATCCCCCAAGTATCCATCTAATTTTAATTCAGATAAGTAATCGGAGCACAATAGAACCACTGAAAATGCTACTTACCATTAGAATGGGGTTTATCTGTAATTCCTCGGTGTGATCTTTGTCTGTTCTGCCAGAAAAAAAAAAATTGAAATTAGAGATTCTAAAACTTCCATGTGTCCAAGATTTATTTGGGATACTTACAAAAATGCAGGTTCTTGGGCCACATTCTCTAGGTGTCTATGATTCATCTGGTTTCATGGTTGGGCTTAGGAACCTGAATTTTTAATAATCGCTCCAAAATGATTGTGATGCAAGAAGTTCATGGCCAGATTGAGAACTAGGGCAGCAGCTGTCTTGGTCCTTGTATGGACTAGGAGCTGGCAAAGTGCTGCAGTTTAAATGTATAAATACTTGAAATAAAATATATTCTGAATTATGAGATGATAAAAAGGTCTAGGGTCTAATTAACAAACAATACAGAATCACAAAGGAAAGGAAACAAAATGCAAAATGGGCAAACACTAAAACAAAAACAAAGTCAGAAACCAATAACAACAAAAGGAAAAAAGTACTTTGGAAAAATATATACAAAGCAAATTACTGTTTTTCAACCTGGGGCAATATAAAACTGCAACTCTTTGCTATTTAAAAGAAGCATAGCTAAAATAAAGATATTTCAGTACAGTAATTTATCAGTATGTTTTGTATTCATTAACCCAGTGATTGTCCATTTTAGACACTTTTTTTCTAAGAGAATGTGTGTACACAGATATGAATACATAAGAACACTCATTGCAGCATTATTTAAAATATTTAAAAATTAAAAACAATATATATTATATGTGCAGGATTAAAATGTCAACATCCATAATATAAAATGCACTGAAGTGATTAAAAATATGTGATAAGAAATTTACTTAATATTCTGAATTTTTCTTGGGTCGCTGTTAGTCAAATAGAGATAACTAGATTACAGAAGAATAAGTAGAGTTTATCCCAAATAGTAGTGGTATCAACGGGTGGGGACCGTGGTGTTTTTAAAAAATTGTTTTAAATACTTGTGATATGGTTTGGCTGTGTCCCCAATCAAATTTCATCGTGAATTGTAGCTCCCATAATTCCCACATATCATGGGAGGGACCCCATGGGAAGTAATTGAATCATGGGTGTGGGTCTTTCCCATGCTGTTTTAGTGATAATGAGTAAGTCTCACAAGTTCTGATGATTTTATAAAGGGCAGATTCCCTGCACACGCTCTCTTGCCTGATGCCATGTAAGATGTGATTTTGCCCCTCCTTTGCCTTCTGCCATGATTGTGAGGCCTCCCAAGGCATGTGGAACTGTGAGTCCATAAAATCTCTTTTTTTAAATAAATACTCCAGTCTTTGGTATGTCTTTATAAGCAGCATGAAAGCAGACTAATATAACTTGTAAAATTTTCTACAAATAGCATGCATAAATTTTGAAAAAAATTTATCTAAAATAGTAAATAACAAGATGTTTGATTTCAATATATCAGACATATGCGAATTAAAATTTAAAAAGCAAATATTTCTGCAACATAAATAACAAAGGTTTTAAATTTTTTAATTGAAAAAAGGAGGATTCTTTTATTTTTATTGTAGGTTAGGAATTTTGCTAATCATTTTTCTACTAATAAAATACATTAAAAATTAGAGAATAGACAAGGAAAGAGGATTTCTTGCAGGTCGATATACATATATTCACTTATAAGCATGAAGTATATTCATATGTAAATCTCCTGTGCAGTGAAAACAAAGAAATGTCTTATTTTCCATTGCTCAAAGAACTTTTAGATCTTGCTTATCTATCACAGCACCTTCTAAAAAGCAAAAATTCATAATGATATAACATGAAAATTTATGGATGTCAGCCATAGCTATTCTCGTAGGAATATTCATATATTCAAGTATTTAAATATAAACGAAAAAATTTAGTACATAACTTAAATTCATGCACTAAACATTCAGTTCTAGTGTTTGGAAAAAGACATAGACACACATATTGAAATAATTAAAAAAAAAATTTAAGAAAACATAGTATTATTTCCTAAGCCAACAGTTTGAAAAAAAGATTTCAAGGTGGATGGTCTTCTAGGTAATATAGGTGGCCAAAAATAACATTAGAAATAATGTTTATGGACAAAAAAACTGTGAAAAGAAATCTGCTTCCAACAACGGTGACACAGCCAAGTGTGTTTTCACCAGTGAATTACAAATTTTTGAGGAACAGATAATTTTAATTTATACAAACTGGTTCAAAACATAAAATAAGAAGAAAAGCTTTCCAATTAATTTATCAAGTTAGGATATCATAGACATTAAGATGTGGGAAAGATTGCACAAAATCAAAACTAGAAGTCAAAACAACTTTTAAATATTGATACAAAAATTCTAAGTAAAAATTTTGAAAATAGAACCAAATAGTATATTAAAATAATTCTATAAAAAAGGTTTATCTAGTGCTGCTAGAAAGAGAGGACATTTGCCAATAATAAATATAAGCACATTAGTAGAGCAACAGAAAGTGCCATTTCAGTGTTACTCAAAGTGTGATCTGTAGTGTGCAAGGGAGAACTTGATAAACACTGATTTCTGGGCCTCAGCCCCAAAGATCTCAATTATACTAGTAGGGAGGGGGAGAGTGTTGAAAATGTGCATGTCTAGCAAGTTCCCAGGTCATGTTGAAGCTGCCAGTCAGGGACCACACCTTGAGAAGGTCTCAACTTTGGCTGCAAGTTGAAATCACCTAGGGAGCTCATAAAAATACTCATGTCTGAGTTACAACACCAAATATTCTGATTTAATCATCTGGGCTGTGGTTTGGGTATTTGGAGGAGGTTGTCTGAAATCTCCCCAGGTGATCTAAATGTGCAGCCAAAGTTGAGACCCACTGCTCTAAAAGCATTAGCCAAACCAAAGGCTTTGCATGATCTTCACTACAAATGTATACTGGTGATTAAACATGTCATTCCCTTCCCTACACAATCCATCTTAAAATATGTCATAGACATAATCACGATTATTTTTTATGAAGCAACTGCTCTATACAAGGTGGTTTACATGTACTATCTCAAATGCTTGAAGGGACTCTTCAAAGTCAACTTGGCTTTTCTTACCACTGGTTAAACAACAATGGAAACACCAAAGAATGACTAACCTTTTAGGTTTTCCCTGAACTAAGGGGTTTCCAAGGATGTGAGACTTTCAGTGCTTAAACTGGTAAAGGTCTACATAAACCAGGGTAAATTGATCACCCAAGGCTAACAACGTGCTTACAGTTATGTGCTACTAAGGGGCACAGACAGGAGTGGAAAGCAAGTTTGTCCTGTGTTCTGTCCACTATACGACACTACCCTGGGTAGCCCTGGGGGAGGGATTTAAGGCACTACTCAAACTGGAGTCATGGCGAATCTCCATTGCAATGCCAGGGTGAGTAATTGGTAATAGCACTTAGGTATAGATTTCGGATATTTTTCAGTCTAGGAAGACAAAGTTCCCTGAACCAAATACATCATATCTTTGGCAGTGGTTCTGGAAGTGGGTCCTAGGACCTGTAACCACAGATCCATAAGCAAACTTGTTAAAATGCAAATTCCCAGGCCCTACCCCATATATACCAAATTACAAACTCTGGGGTTGGGGCCCACAATCTGTATTTAAGAATCCCTCCAGATGATTCTGACATAAAGTATAAGAATCACTGACTTAGATGGAAGGGATGAGAATTGGGATGTTCCCCAGATTCCAGTGTTTATCCAGGGATGAAAAACACAGTTCCAGACCTCAGAGCAGAGCTTATTAGGCTAGGCTGCAGATTAGAAACACCTGGAAAGCTGTTAAAGTCTTGATACCCAGGCTGCTAGACTAATTAAATAAGAATCTCTGGAGTGGTATCAATATTTTTCACATCTCTCTGGATGACACCAATTTAGAGCCCAGATTGGGAATCTCCGCCTTCTGCGCTTTAAAGCTGTAGAATTCCACAGTGAACCTAGCAGGTGTATTTTCTCATTGCTAAATGGTACAAACTTTTCTGAATATGGGATCCTAGACTTGTAACTGGGAAAAATGCTAACTTAACTACATTCGGAACCTGTCAGTTACCTAATCTCCCTGGGTATATCTATTAAGAGTGAGTCTATGGAACTTTCTGGAAAATCAGGTAGGAATATATCCTTTGAGGCCATCAGATTCCTTTGGAAGATTTGGAATCCCTTCACATGGAAAGAAAGTCAATAAATATATCATAAGATCCAAAGGGGATTTTTCCATGAAAAGACACAGATTGTTAAGAGGGTATGCCCAGAGCTGCCCCTTTGCTGAGAATATTTCTGGGCTTGGATTGCTGATTTAAACACAGCCATGGGCCTCACCTCCTGGAGCCAGTCCTGCTGGACAGCGGACATTGCCTCTGTGGGCCAAAACCTCCCATTTAAATTTCCAAAAATAATGTTTAATGTTTCAAGACTAGTAAGCAGTGACAATAGGAAAAAATAACCTTTACTTTTTTTGGGGGGGGGGGTGGTCAAGAAAACTCTCGAAAAGGAGAATTGTCTGAAATGAATTCTGCATTAGGCAATGTTGTGGTAGAGCCTGGAAAGTACTGGAACTGAAACTCTCTCATTTCTTTTACTATCCAAGCTGTGAATTTCAAAAATAACAAGTCATTATAAAAGTGAAACATAAGATTCATCACACCCACTGTTTTAATCATTTTTAAACCTTCTATAACTTTAAGTAACTAAAATATTTTTAGTAGTTAATGCTTACTGAATTTTTAGTGCTTTCTGAACATAAAATTGCATTAATATTACATTCTAGGTACAGTACTAGGTATTTTGCATTTATTCATTCAATATGGATGGTGTGCTAGAGATTGTAACGATTGCTGAAGAGCTGGAGATTAATTACATTCTATTCCTGCTTTCAAAGAGCTTATAGTTTAATGATATAATTGATGTATGATGTAGTGTAAACATTGAGGAAGGGTTCACAGAAAAGGTGCTTTGTAGCTGGGCATGGTGGCACGTGGCTGTAATCCCAGCTACTCGGGAGGCTGAGGCAGGACAGTTGCTTGAACACGGGAGGTGGAGGCTGAAGTAAGCCAAAACAGCATCACTGTACCACTGCACTCCAGCCTGGGTGACAGAGTGAGACTCTGTCTCAAAAAAAATAAAAAAGACAAGAAAAGGTGCTTTTTCCAGTTTAGCAGGGGCAAGAACCAAGATACATTTATTGGAAGAGGTGATACTTTACCTGAATCATAATTATTAGTAGCAATCAGCCAGAAAAAAGTAATTTAAATACATTTATTTATCTTCATAACAACTCCAAGAAATAGGGGTTATTAGTCACATCTCACGTACCCTTTAAAGTAAAATGTCCAGGCAACAGAGTTAATGTCATGGAGCAAATTTTGTAGGAGGACATCCATCCTAGCTAGCCAAATAAGGATTAGTTATCTATGTATCTATGTATCTATCTATCTATCTATCTATCTATCTATCTATCTATCTATCTATCTATCTATCTATCATGGATCGAATTGTTCCCCCCGCCAGCCCAGAAATTTGTCAATTTGTATGTTGAAGTCCTAACCCTCAATGTGACTGAAGGTAAGGTCTTTAAGGACGTAATTAAGGTTAAATTAAATCATAAAGGTGGAGCCCTAACCCAATAGGACTGGTAGCTTTGTAAGAAGAGGAAGAAATACCAAAGATCTCTCTCTCTCTCTCTTCACATGCAGAGAGGACAAGCCATGTGGGGACACAGAGGTGAAATGGTTGCCTATAAGCCAGAAACAGTGGCCTCACAAGAAGTCAGCCTTGAGGGTAACTTGATCTTGGACTTTTATCCCCCAAAATTGTTAAAAAAAAAAAAAAAGTTATTGTTTAAGCCACTTAGTCTGGTATTTTGTTATGGCAGCCCAAACAAATTAATACACTGTCTATATGTATAATATGGCTTAAAGAGATTTTAAAAAGTGTAATTAATTTAAAAATATATAGTTTATTTATGCATAATAACCTAATACTAATGCATTGTAGTTTAATATGTATATGATAAGAGATAGCATTGATCTCTAAGGATAAGGAATGTAGGAATGTGCATTCCTGGTTTCTGATTCTGGGATCTACTTTCTCTCTACAGAAGGACCTTCCTTGTTTCTATCAGCATGCACAAAGGTGGACCTGGCACCAGATAGAAATAATCTCTTAGTTGGTGTTCTCGACATTAACTAAATTGATCATTACATATGGCCAATCAATTTGAACATATTAATTCAAATGCTAGGGATGGAACATCTGAGAGTGTTGGAGAAACCATGGGTACATGTGGGAAAGCCAAACAAGATTTGAGAGTGACAGCATTTTAACTACCAGCTGAGTGGTGAACCCTTGCATAGGTGACCTGCGGATCACTGTATTTTCACATCACTTCACGTCCAGCCTGGAAACATACCTGATTCAAATGGAATATTCCAATGTAACAAGTAAAGAAACTGATAAAAGGCTTTTGTACTTACATGGATTTTAACCTCACATCTCTGATGAGGGTAGAGTGAATATATTTGTGCTAGGGGCAGTGAAAAATATCTCTTGATATTTTTGGAAGCTGAGGTCTTCTAAAGTTGACCATCTCCTTACAAAAGTGTCTTTGGAAAAGTCACTTAAGCTTTCTTAGCCTCACTTTCTTTAGGTAAAGGGTTATTTTTATCTATCTCAAAGCATTATTGTAAGGATCACAGAAATAATAAGAGAAATTAGAAGATACTTTTAAAATGTTAATTTCTCTTTCTTCCTTCCCATTATAGATTGTGATCATAAGCTCCTCAGGTTTAATCTTTCTAACGCTTTCGTAAGTTTATTCTACCTAAAATAGTTCACCTAAAATATGCATTCTTCCTTATTAATGAGATTTGTATTTGGCCTTTGAATAAGCTGAATGTTGTGTAGCAAATGGGCCAGGTGGTAATCAAACTTTCAGCCTTATTATTGAAATCAGTGAAATATTGACTTATTTGTAAAATCATCAATAACTTTCAGAAGTGAGATGCTTTTCTCAGATGCTCAAATTTGAATTTGGCATTGAAACAAAATGTAAAGCTTTTAAAGCAAAATAAGTTTTTATAAAATGTCATCTACCACGCCTCTTCCCAGAATGATGCAGAAGACCATATTGTATAACAGAAAAATGAAAAAAAAAAAAGCCTGAAATGATTGTTGGCCTTACTCAGAATTCTAAATATGTAGTTTGAGTTACTCTAATAATTCAGAATTTCAAAGGTCCATTTTATTTCAAAGAAAACCTCTTAGCCTAATTTGGGGTGGATGGAGAAGGCTGCTCTCTCTGGCCAGAAGTCTCCAAGTATGATTTATTCTAGCAGCATTTCTATGAGATGTTTTTCCCTTCTCCCAAATTTTGTGGAAATGCCAAGACTCTTTCTTTTAAAACTCAATACAATTTGGCTCAGAAACACAAGGCACGGGGAATAGGATACCAGTTATTTAACTCTACACTCCTTCTCTCACCCCTGACTAACCTCTTATTTAAAAGATTTAAAATAATTTTCCATATAGAAAACGTTTTACCTTTTGATTTTTTTGGATATTCCTTAAAAACCACCTCTAAAGTACTGAAATGTAATATAGTGTGCACAGGTGAAAACTACTTACTCTTTCGAAACAGCATTTCTTTTGGCTCAGCCAAAAATACAAAAATGTTTTTGCTTACTTCCCACTAAAGAAAAAAGCTATTTCATGAAGTAAGTTTCACCTTTGAGGAATAACCTTTAGCTGTGAGAAGTCACCAACTGTAAGTTAATATTTGTGCAGAGCCCTGGCTCTGCATCATAAAACCTTGCTAAACACATCTGCCATGTAATATTTGTGGTGTAGCCAGGGGCATAGTGCTATGGAAAGAGCTTCGATTTTGATCTCCTTGGAATAACTGTGAGTCTCGGAAATACCATGCAAACTCTCTCAATTTCAGTTTCCATATCTTAGACATGGGACTCCTCTCCCCACTTTACTTGGACTCTATGATGACAAAATAAGGAGCCAGGCAAAAGGCAAGTTCTTCACCAGTGCCAAAGGCTCTCTCTCCTTCATCTGCCTGCCTTATTTTCTAAATCTAGGTCCAGCCCATGATCTTACGTTAGCATTTGTAGCAATGCTGTCCTTCAATGTTGTCCATGTCTCAGTCCCCAAAACCCGTCCCCAAAATATATCTGAGTATATTATCTTACATGGTCAAAGAGACATTGCAGAGGTGATTAAGAATCTTGAGATGAAAGATTTCCCTGGATTATCACAGTGGGTCCAACATATTCTCAAGGGTCCTTATAAGTGGAAGAAGGAGGTTACACAGCAGCACCTGGAGATGCTGTTCTGTTGGCTTTGAAGATGAAGAAAGGGGTCTCAAGCCAAGGAATATAGGAGATCTCTAGATGCTGGAATAGGCAACAAACTCAATTCTCCCTTAAAACTTCTAGAAGAAATGCAGCACTACTGACACCGTGGTGTTAGCCATGTGAGATCCATTTCAGGCTTCTGACCTCCAGAGCAGTAAAATAATCAAGTTATGTTGCTTTAAGCCATGAAGTTTGCATTAATTTGTAGGAGCAGAAACAGGAAATGAATACAGCAACTTTTCAAGGCCAAGTGCTTTGAGTAGCTATGGAAGGTGTAAGCATTGGCTGTTTATCTCCTTAGATAGGTAAGATGAGGTTGATGGGACAATAAATGCAATAGACGGTTTCTCTTTTATAGGCAAGAAACCTGAGTTTTCCAGAGCAGAGCACATAATTTGATGTAGACAAAACATGTAGGCACCTTTTATTTTTTCTTCAGCAATTTCATTAAAATGCCTATTGTGTTTTTGCAAATTTGAGCCAATATGACTTCTTTCTGAAAATATGATCCTACAGATAGCAATAGTATCTATCTTTCAGAAGTCCAGAGACACCCTCTATTTCTGCCTCAAGAAGGCAAATCTTGAGGCAGAAATAGAGGGTGTCTCTGGACTCTGAAAGATGGGTACTGTTGCTATTAAAAAATAAGTTTAACCTTTTACAACACATTCTGACTGAACCTGAAGTAAATCCACAAAACATGATCTTTGTAATTTTGTATCTCTCTGGGGAAGTGTTCAATCCAAGGAAAATTCAAGTGAAGCTCTCTGGATTTGACACTTCAGCCCTGAACTATGGCTATTTCAAGAGGTTTCATGATTCTGAAGTATAGCAAAATCTGACTGTGTTCCCATTGAGGGGCAGGGAGACACACACACACACACACACACACACACACACACACACACACTGAGAGAAGGGGTGGGGAGAGAAAATTACCCACCTGGGACTAGAGGAGAGAAAAATCCTTTGCTATTTTGTTGTAGGTATTTCCTCAGAACTAACCAGAGCAAGCATCCAAAGACAAGCTTGTTTAGACATCTTATCACTTGGTCTTGAAACATTTTTTATGAAATGCTACAGAAAGTGTTAGCATATCCAATTAGTGATGATATGGTAGAGTTGGAAAAGTGTCAGTTGCCTGTGTGGTCCCGAAACTTTTTCTGGCCTTTTAGCCAATGATATTTATTTTAATAATAGCTCAGAGACCAAGAGGCCTCTCCTTTTCCCTCTTCATGAACAAATTGTGAAGAACTCCCCTATTTCTTATTCACATCTCTGGAATATGTGTGTGGTGGTTGCAGAAGAATATTTCCTGCTGAAGGTGGATCTGAAACACTGAGAAGCTGCCTGCAGCTCTCTGAAGCAACCTCATGCAGGAGAACAATCAGACTATTTCTGTCTGGCTTTTAGGGCCACAAGAAAAGAAGTAGAAAGAAATAGATGATGACTCACTGAAAGACAGACTTCTCTAATATGAAGAGTACTCTGATTTTTTTTTGGTAATCTAGCTGGAGCTAAGGATTCTGTGATCCTGTTTTGGTGCCCTTATCAATGCGTGTAAACTGCCGTAGGTGTAGGGTTAGAAGATGGCTTCACAAGTCACACATTTGGTAAACCCACTATAAATGCAATTGAAGTAGTTTTAAGTTTCTGGAGGCTGGGGATATTCAGACATAGGTCTGAAGACTGCTTGTTAATGATGTTCTAGAAAAGACTGAAAACCCTGAGGGGTGTATGGACTGTTTTATTTACTCAACTTGTCATCAAATGTTCATTAATTCTACTACATGCAATGCTCTGTGTTGGATATTGCACTGGTTTAAAGATCTACCTTAAATGTTCGTAATTTTATTATTCTATTCATTTTGGTATGGATGGGAAAGGAGAATGATCAAACAGAAGTAGGAGTCAGTCACATCTTTCATGATGCTGAAAATAAAGTCTCATGAAGTCGTAGATAACAAGAACAACAGTAATAATTGCCATATGGCCCAGGCGTGTATATGCATCATATGATTTAATCTTTCAACAGAACTTTGCAGTAAATATAGTAACTGTTATTCTTCATGTAAGAAAATTGAGGCTCAGAGACATCGGATAAATGCCCCAAGATCCAGTGCTAGTATCATCTGGAGCAAGTATTCTACCCAACATATATACATACGTACCAAGTTAGCATGTGACCTTTTGGCTAGAGACTTGCAGAATGATGGAAATGGAAATACAGCAATTACTGACAGCATATTTATTTGAAGGCAAGTGAAATTCCCTCCCAATATAAGTTAGCAGCAAGGTATTCATTTTATAAATAGAGATTTGCAAAGTCTCATCTGGGATGAGCTTAGTGATAAGTCAGTTGGCACTGGGGGCTTGCAAGATGTTACTTATGGCAAATTGGTTCAAGCACAAAAAGTTGTTCTTAACACTGTCTTTTTGTTGGTGACTTAAGAAGCAGCTAGAGTTAAACGTATGTATGACATTTCAGTATATTAGGAATTTTTGGAAGCAACAGGGAAGTATACTTCAAATACAATCCCCCAGCACTAGGCCAAGCACTTTCGCGTACATCCACTGATTTAATTGCCTCAGTGGTTTCAGAGGGTTGATGTTACTAACCCCATTTTTGCAGAAGGAACATTAAAATTCAATATTTTGTTCTAGACCACAGGGATTATTAGAGCTTCTGAAGCTGGCTGTTTGATTGCAGGCTTGCAGTTTATGCCTAGCTATGCATTTATAAAATATGGTAACTCAAACTGCTTTTCTGGGTTGTACTGTGGTTCTAACCCCTCTTTTGTAATAGTGTAAATTTTATGACAAGAGATGGTCTAAATTCCAAATAAGAAATCTTGAAGGATGAAGACTTCTGGTATATGGCTAGAACCAACTTTGTTTTTGACCAAAGAGATTCAAACACCAACCCAGTGGACAGGAATGTCACCATTCATCACTCTACACTAAACCATTTGTCAGGGCATCTATGGAGGGAGCCCTGGGAACCACTGAGTAGTAATGGTATGTAGACCATCAGGCTGAGCTTTGTATACCAGGATATGGGAGCCCTTGCCCTCACATCTGTATTCCATCCCTACAGACTCTGTCTCAGGCCTGGGTAGGGAAGGAATCTGCAGGCAATAAAGAAATGAAAGCCCTAGATTAGCTCTGGTTCCATGCCATGCTCTTCTCCAGGGGTGGTATTGAGTAGCAACTCCTGGGCCACACATGCAGGAGAGAAACTGATGTGAAGATGTGACTCTTTTGGCTGTGGCTGCCTAAGCAAAGCATCCCTGTTAGGTATGTGACATGCTTTCCACATTCCATTTTCTTCTAATGATTGAGCTCTGCTGGAAGAATAGGATTTGGGTTCTCATTGTAGTGTCTGCTTCCTCAGAAAGCCTGAGATGCTACAGTTCCCCAGTGAGGCTACACATGGAAAAGAGATTAGGCTGGGCACAGCTTTAGGGCAAGGCCACATCAGGACTCTGGCCTTGACTGTAAATGTCTCTGCACTCATCTCTCTGCCTTTGGCTTCCATAGTCAGTCCTCACTCCCCAAGCACCCCCATTCAGAAGCAATATTTTAAAACAGCAAAATCAATGAACTTCAAAACCTCATGGACAGCAAAAGCAAAACAGGGCTCAAAAATCTAAGGAGACCAGACATTTGAGAAAAAAAATTTCAAAGCACAAAGCCAGCTCAATCTCATTTGTAATGGGTCACAGTTTATTAGGAAGCCAATATGAAACCACAAGCAGGGACTAGCCCTGTCCTACTTTAAATGGACTTTCCATTTCCTTTGTAATGGTCAAAATGCAACTTGGTTAAAATGGACTTGTTTGTGAAATTTCTCCTTTCACAATTAAAAAAAGCAGTAAAGTATTTTACACATTTTAGTTTAAGTATTCAACCTTAAATACTTGTTTCTTTTGCTTTACATTAATTTATTATCAGTATTAAATACATTTATTGTTTTAAATTTATTGCTGTTACTTTATTAGTAGTAGTATAAATAATAGTGCTAGTAGTGGTAGGTGCATGTTCTAGTTTGGGCCCAAATCCCTATCTGATTTCATATACATACACACCCACACACACACACACACACACACACACACACACACACACACACATATTCTAGCCCAGCTCACTGTGATATATTTGGGAGATAAAGAATCTGCTGATTCAGAGTCACCTATCTCAGCCTCCTTACCCTTAGGTCCTACCCTAATCCCATTTTAAAAAAAATAAAAAACTAATATGTACACAGGGAAAATAAATAAAATAATATAATATGGGGTAAAAAGCAAAAGTTTGTGTCATTCCCTCAGTTTTTATTCCACTTAGGTAACTGTTTTTTATCATTTTCTCACATATTATTACATATTAAGTACTTATCCACTCTAGCATATGTAGACAAATGTTTCTCATTATGATCATTTGGATAATTTATTCACACACACACACACACACAGAGAGAGAGAGAGAGGTTATTTTGCATCTTGCCTTTCTCTCTTCTGAACACTATATTTTGAAGAACTTTATCAATCCATATGCATGTTTTATTTTTAAAATATCTTCCTAGTATTTAATTACAAAGATGTACCTTAACTTATTTAACCAGTATGCTATTGATGGAAACTTAGGTAGCTTCCTTTTTAAAAAAATAAATTAGAAATTATGAGACCATAAAAATATATCTTTATTATTATTATTTTGCTTGTGCAAATAAATATATAGAATAATTTCTGCTTTTCTTAAAAAAGTAGGCTATGAGCGATCTTTGCATCCCAGATGAAAGACTGTCTAGATCCTTCTTAATGTAGCGGACAAGGACAGTAGCAACAGAAATATGTACATGCACTGAAGAGGAAAACGCCAAGAAAGCAACTGATTCTAAAAGAGGGGTCAAGGACTATACACAGAAAGGAGCAGGAGAAAAGGCCGAGGGAAAATTTGCTTCAGTTCTGTTCTGTTCATAATAGCTTTAAGGCCCCCATGGCCGCCCAGCCCTGGGTACCTCACTATGCCTCAGGCTCCTGGAGACCTCCTCTATCTTCCCGGGGTTGGATAGAAGAGGCTTGAGTAGGGGAAGCCTTGAGCTCCCCCTAGAGGCTGGAGAGCATACGCTAGGCCAGAAAATACACATCATAGCAAATTAAAGGACATGTTTCAAAGAAAAAATACGCCAGTATAGAACAGCTGGTCACATGCATGCCTCTTCCCCTGGTGTCTTAATTCATGTGCATACATTTTCCATAACTGCATTGATGGCCTAGCTTCAATTTTGTATTCAGCTTCCCCCACCCCCTTAATACTACACAGCAAATGTTTTTCCATGTGGCTACATAATCTTTCTAATTACCATTTTAATGACTTTATAATACTCCTTCCAGTTCACATATTGTAATTTATTTAACCACTCCCTATTGGTGGACATTTTAGATTGTTTCCAGACTTTTAATAATATAGAAGGTGGTCCATATAATATCTGCTGTTTTCCCCTTTTTAAATGGTTTCTTAGATTAAATAGTGTGTCACAGGGTAGGGATGATATCATAGCTCTTAATACTCTTTGATCTTCTGATTCCACAAGCAGGAATGCTTCTGATAAGGTACCAAGATACTAATTTGGGTATCTGTTTATTGTTATTATTGTTTTTGTTATTCTTGTTATTGTTTTACTTCTGCAAGTGTCATAATGTAACCTACATTACGCCTTAAGTACATTATACATGAGCCTTTCACATTCTACTAATTCTTCTCTACTTTCCACACAGCCAAACTCATACATTTAGCCATTGGTTGATCATTTTTTCATTTATCTTTTGAGAACCTAACATTTATCAGGAATTTGCTCTAGAATCTTGTTTCCTTGGTAACATTGCAATTCTTATAGAAAACAGGAACAAAGGATGAGAATGCATCATATTAGTGAGCTCATTTTGTAAAACTCAAAAAAAATACTTTGCAAAATTCTAGTTATCAAACTTAACGAAAATGTGGGTTGGAGAAAATTTGCTAGCACGCCCCAGCTCTGTGCAACACATAAGGGCTGAATAAAAAGAGAACTGAGGCTGGGCACGGTGGCTCACGCCTGTAATCCCAACACTTTGGGAGACCGAGGTGGGTGGATCACCTGAGGAAAGGAGTTCGAGATCAGCCTGGCCAACATGGTGAAACCCCGTCTCTACTAAAAATGCAAAAATTTAGTTTGGCGTGGTGGCACAAAAAAATTAGTTTGGCATGGTAGCGTGCACCTGTAGTCCAGCTACTCGAGAGACTGAAGCAGGAGAATCGCTGGAACCTGGGAGATGGAGTGAGCTGAGATCACGCCACTGCACTCCAGCCTGGGCAACAGAGTGAGACTCTGTAGCAAAATAAATAAATAAATAAATAAATAACAACTGAGAAAGAGTGTGGAGCTGGTTGAAGCAAAGCATTGTTGGGTGGGTAGGAATTTACCAGCAGATAAGGGATAACAGTGGGGTCCTAGAATCAAACCGTTTGTATTGAAATCCTAGCTCTGACCCCTTAAAAACTGTGAGGTCTTAGTAATTTATCTTTTCTCTCACCCTCCCTCTTTGCTTTCTTACCAGTTCTCTTAGGTTTGTATTCAACTTTTAAAACTCAAAGAAAATATCACCTATAAATTTATGTTCTTCAACTTCTTCAGGAAAAATAAAACTCCCCCTACCCAGTGTTCCCAATCCATTCATTGATATATCTCTATCATAGCCCTTATCACATGATCACTGGAATGCACAGTCTTTGCAGGGAAGAGGTCATGTCTTCCTCCTCTTGGTGTCTCCAGCATCTAGCATGGTACCTGCCGCATATTAAGTACTTAGAAATTTTTGTTGAATTTAATGACTTGAATTGAATGTTTAGGTAATTATAGAACATAAACAGGAAGAAATATTATGTAGCAATTAAAAGGATAATTAGGAAGACTGAGTAGCTCGGTGGGAACATGTTTATGATATGTTAGTGTTAACATGCAAAATGATACCTGCATTATAATTCTCACTGTCGGAAACTTCTCAGGCTAGATACTAAGGAGACGAAGAAAAATGTGAAAAAAAAATATTTATCTCTGAGAAGCTCCTGCTATACTGAGGGAGGCAGGTGTGTGTAAAAATGATCACAGGGTAGGGCCAATGATAGCAGTGTGCATGAAGTACTGACAAGGGAGGGAGCTGAGTTTGTCTGGGGAAGTTTGGTGAGATTGACAGGACATTCACTGTAGGCTTTGGAGATTAAGTAGTTGTTAACAGACAAGAAATCAGAGTAGGATTTTCCTTAAAATGGGAAAAATACAAGAGAATAAACATGCAATGCATTTCAGAGGAATAATTAGGCATTTCCATGGGGGCTGGTAAGAGATGAGACAAAAGCATAATGTTGAGTTATATTGCAGGTGACTTGCTAAGGTGTTTGATCTTCAACATGTAGACAGAAGGGAGTCCTCAAAGGTTTTGAAGCAGCAGAGGAGTGGCACAATGATTACATTTGTTTTTAAGACAATAAACTTGGCCGAACCAAAAGGATGGGCTAGAGTGATAAATACCAGGACAAGGACACCAGAGAGGAGGCTACAGCTACCTGCTTCAAGTGAGATATAAATTGACTTAATAGTGAAGCTGGAGCTGGAGCTGGTGGGGTGGACTTGACATATCTTCAAAGGAATATTAGATAAGACTTACTGACTTATGTGATGATGGGAGGTGAGTTGAAGAAGCAGTCTAGAGTGATGCATGGGGAAAGACAATTATTTGGAAAAAAGTGTAAAAGGAGTAGATCTCTGGGAAGAGAGATCGTGGAAATGAGGGAGTGGGCAGATGTTGGGTTTAGTTTTGGAAATGTTGAGTGCATGGTGCTAGTGGGCTTTGCATCCACAGAAGCCTGATATACAGTCAAACAAATGATTCTAGGTTCTTAGGAAAATAACTCTGGCAAGAGATGTCCACAAACTGGGGCTAAAAAATAATCCCACATCTTCAATATCCATGTAAAACAGGATGTGTGTTATAAATGAAAGTATTCTGGATGCCTGACTGCAAGTCTAGGCTTTCCTTCAGCAGATGTGAGCAAATTACTTAACCCTGTTAAGCCTCAAATTCCTCATCTGCAAATTGGGATAATAAATCTTGTCTCAGAGGGCAGTGTGAAAATCGGATGAGATAAAGCAAGAAAACACCTGCAGGAGGACCTGATACGTGTCACTTCCACCCCCACTTGCACTTTGCCCTTTCTCTCCCACAGATGATCTCAGAACAAGAGTAAAGGGCTTGAAACAGAAACCAACACAGTTGTCTTTAAAATAAGTATCAAATAGATCTCTGTCCGATGATGACTGATTTTTGTCGTGCTGGTCTACTTCCTAATGTCAGATATTAGTAAGGTTCAGGGACCAGATCTTCTCTTGAGTGGTACCTATACTATTTTCCAATTTAAGATCTCTCTGAGATGAAATACAGAGTTTCTCAATATGATCACCATCTAGGTATAATCTGTATCAACATTCCTATATAGTAGCTTTATTTCTCTCTCTTCTCTGCTGAGAGTAAGACCTTGGGTTTCTCTTGCTGATTTGAAATGAGTCATCTCTATGTATTTTCATACAATATGATGATACTAATAAAATGATAATAACTTTCATTTTGAGAACTTGCTTTATGTTAGTATTTTAGGTGCACCAGTTCTTTTAGCCTATGCAAAAAACCTTCATGATTTTATGTTTTACTCATTATGAATGATGAGGCTGGGGTTTAGAAAGGTGAAGTGACTTGTCCGCAATTGCATAGAAAGTGAGTGAAGAACCTAGGATTTGGAAAGAAACCATGGGAATCCACTGTGTAACCACTACCTCTCAATCAAGATGGCATTTTCTGACACTCAGGGAGGGAGAAGGAGTGAAAAGAGATGCAAGAAGTAAGGAAGTGTTGTATGTATATGTGTTTTAATTGCTGTTCCTCATGAATCATAAGTCACTCTTGTTTCTCTATCAAGGAAGGCAAAAGGACAAGCAAACAGAATGGAATTTATCTATGATTAAAAAATTATGACCATTTATATGCAAATGAAGTTTGGACCTATGCTTCTGGAAGACTGAAGGGGATTATGCATAGTCAGAAATTTGGGGTTTTTCTTCTTTTCCACACACTCCCAGGGCATGTGTTAAGGTTCAGCAGTGTTCTCCAGGGAGACGGGGAACACGATTGATGATCTTGGTTTGTTTCACAAGATACAGTCACAATTAGTAGCTATGATCATGCCCCTTCATGCATTTGCCGGAGAACCCTTGCCAGTCTCCCTGATCAAATGCTCTCTGCTCTGTAAAGCTTTCTACAGGAATACTTTGGTTTCAGCAGAGTTAGTTGCATTTTTTTCTGGGGCTCTGTAATGGCACAAATCAGGTTAACTAATTCATTCATAGACTCATTCATTCAACACATGCCGATTGAACACCTTCTTGTACCAGATACTGTCCTAGATACTGAAGATAAAGTTCACATCTGATTCTAGAGCAAACTAGAGAGATAAGGTCACTGTTCTTCCATGAAGCATACTTGACTGAAGGAGACAAATAAACAGGTAAGCAAAAACAATACATATAACAGAATTACAGGAAACGATTTGTGCAGTGAAGAAATAAAAGCGGGTGGATGGTCAGGGAAACTTTTCTGAAGAAGGTTTTATGAATAATAGCCTAAACGAAGCTAGATAACAAGCCATGGAAAGATCTAGGATCAGAGACCAAGGCAGTGGAATTGTAATTTCGGCCAATATGCATGCCATGTGAGGGCAGAAACTTTGGTCAGTAGTGATGGAAATGGTGATGACCATGATGATCTTCAGTATTACTCTTGAGCATCTATCAGGGTTTAGTTACCTTGCAGGTGATTTGTACTCGTTTATTCTCCACAATAGCCCATGGGAGGTGGGTATTGCTGTATATGATTTGCAGATGAAGCAAAACCCTTAAAAAAATAAGGTGACTTGCTCACGGTCACACAAGCAGTAACGGGAATTAGCTGAAACTCAAACTCCAACGTGTTTCCAAAGCCTATAACCTTCAATGGCCCCTTGTTTTTATATTCCCAGAATCTAACCCTGGGGTCTGGCACTGTAGATACACAACAATACAATGTTTGAGAGAATGGGTGATATCGTTATCCTCAATGCCCCATAAATGTCATCTCATATGACTAAATTTCGGGCAGGCCTGAGGCTGTGGTGCATTTAGACATTTGACAAGTATTGCACCTGTGAGAGGATGGTGGGATAAAGCTTAAGGCCCTCAAAGGTAAGTAACTTCAATGTTGAAAGTCAAGTATGGATATGAAATGAAGCATGATGACTCTGTCTCTACTTCCTCTATTGTATGTACATCGCTTTAGAAAGAGGAGAATTTTCTCGTTCCAAATTACCATACACACACACACGCATGTGTCAGAGACACAGTCCTATTCCCACAAACACAAAATATAACAAATAGATGCAGTTGTACACAAAGATGCACATGGTCACGAAGGATGCAGAAACCCAGGCACACAAACTTGAAGCTGACTTTATGACCACCAGTTTGGCTCTAAGTTCCAGGGTCAGTTCACAGCAGCTGGGAGAAATTTCCATGTTTCTATTTTTGTTGCTTCAGCAACAGCCTAGTTCTCCAAAGTTCTTTTTCTCTTGGGGCCACCCAACCTCCAACTGCTTCTTCCCCTTTCTCAGCTTCTTTCAGAGGGGATGCTTTTCTGAGCCCCTTCTGATCTCCCCGGTGGAGTCAGGTGGCACAGCTTTCCTGAAATCCCTGCTCCTGTCTTAGGGCCTTGACATTGAGTGGTCCCATGCCTGGGATGCACACCGTACACCCCATGGCTCCCTCATCATTTTCCAGTTTTGCTCAAATGGCCCCTTCTAAATGAGTTCTGATTTGCCCAATTATTATTGCAACCTCATGATGATAATGGTGACGATGATATAACTATTACTATTGAGCATCTATAAAGGCCTAGGTACAATTTTAGGTGACTTGCACTCACTTATTCTGCACAATAGCCTTGTGAGGTAGGTATTGTTGTGTTTGACTTACACGTGAAGTAAAACCTTCAGGCAAATAAAGTGACTTGTTCAAGGTCACTCCTGCTGCCCTTTCCCCTACCTTGCTTGACTTTTCCTTTACTTTATAGCAGTTACTATTTTCTAACAAACTAAATAATTTACATACTATGCCTTATTGAATGTTGTCTTTCTTCCGTCCTCCCCTACATATAGATGTTAGAATAAAGCTCTACTTAGGTGAAAATATTTCTCTGTTTTGTTCCCAAGCACCAAGCACAGTGTCTGGCATGTAGAAGAAATCAATAAGTATGTTATGCATGAATGATTGAATGAATAATTACTAAGCATCTAATATTGACCAGACCTTGTATTGTCATTTCACCTACCCTTTGCTCTGTGAAATAGAGATCATCATCACCAGTTTGCAGATGTAAAAACAATTAGTCCTAGAAAGGAAAAGCAACTTGCTTAAAGTCACAGAGCTAGTCTGAAATGAGATTTAAAAAATATATACTGCTGAGGGGGCACAGTGGCTCACACCTGTAATCCCAGCACTATGGGAGGCCAAAGCAGGCGGATCACCTGAGGTCAGGAGTTCAAGACCATCCTGGCCAATATAGTGAAACCCCGTCTGTACTAAAAATACAAAAAATTAGCTGGGTGTAGGGGCAGGCACCTGTAATCCCAGCTACTCAGGAGGCTGAGGCAGGAGAATCACTTGAACCTGGGAGTGGAGGTTGCAGTGAGCTGAGATCACACCATTGCACCTCCAGCCTAGGTAACTCCATCTCAAAAAAAAAAAAAAAATATATATATATATATATATATATATATATATACACATATGTATAAAAACTGCTGACTCCAAAGTGCTACACAACATCCATTCTTTCCACCCAAGGACACTGTGGTCAGCTCAGTGACACTGAGATCCTTTAAGTGATCCTAGAGGAAGGTGTCATTCCTTGCTGTGCTCATGTCCTCAGGATTATGACGTTGGCTTGATGGTGAGGAATTTTCCCTCTTCCAATTCTCGTCTCTTGTAGCCAACTTCTGGACCTGACTGCTAGAACAGTAATCCACAGACTTCTCTAGAATTGTTTCTTGGATGTTTCTTGTGATTTCTGGAAACCTTGGGATCTCTGTGCTCTTGGTTGGCTGGTCACATGCCAAGGCCACCTGACAGAAGGACTTCTGGACCAGAAGATTCTGAAAGTCAGAGAGACTGCATGCAGAATTTCCTCCATTCACTGGAGCTTCTCCCTTCTGGGCAATCCTATTAGTCTCTGTGGCCACAGCTGGAGCTATCTCAGCTAGAAGCTGCCTTTAACTCATCCTCATCAGTTATGCAAGCACCAGCATTCAGAGCCCCTCACACAGGCTGGAGCCCTGCGAAGAGACTGGTGTGGAGGGAGACAGAGATTGAGGAAGAGAAGGAGTGGCAGAAGGAATACTTGACACTATAATGATGATTTCTTGATTTTTTCCTTCTTTGCCTGAACCCATGTCCCTTCCTTTCTCCCAAGTTAGAAATCTGGAAGTCACCATCAACTTCCTCTCATCTTCAGCTCCATACCAAAGCAATCACTGATCCCCCTCTTTTCTTTCTCACATTTCTTCACCCATCTCCTCATCTGCAACATAACAGCTACCCTCTTGCTCCTGACCCAAAACATCTTTATCCTGGAACCCAACAGTTCCTTCCTAATTGTTCTCCTGGCCTCCAGATGTGTCCCTATCCAACCACAAATGAAGTATTCTGACCAGGTTCTTCTGCTACTAAAACTGTCAGTGGCTCTTTACTGTCCCAAGAATCACATCATTTTCCTTGGGTTAAAAGGCCCTGTGTGAGCAAGCTTGCAGCGACATTTCTAATTTCATCTCTCTCATGCCTTAGGCAGACTGGTTTCTGGGGATTCCCATCATGTGCCCAGCCTGTTCTGTCATTCCCTCATATTTCTGCTTCATCTGAAATACTAATCCTCTGTTTCTGCTTGGCTGACACTCATCATTGAATACTCAAGTCAGGGGTCAACTCTTCTATTGAAACATCCAGACATCTGCTGCCACTGTCCCCTCTGCTGGTACCTAAATGGTTACTCCTTTATGGCCTCATTCAAATATCCTCCCTTATACCTTATACATAGCTCCAGTGTCACCCTCACTGGACCATGTGACCATTGAGTCAGCACCTCCATTTATGCTGTGAGCTCTAGGGCAAGAGCTGTGTTGGTCTTGTCTTAGCTCGGCCAGTTCTTGACTCAGGACATGGAGCAGGGGCTGGGTTCTTTCTCGCAGTGCTTGCTGTTCTAGAGGGTAGTGAGAGTGATAAGAGGGGCTCATAAAATAGCAGGCTAGGCCAGGTGTGGTGGCTCATGCCTGTAATTCCAGCACTTTGGGAGGCCGAGGCAGGCAGATCATGAGGTCAAGTGATTGAGATCATCCTGGCCAACGGTGAAACCTCGTCTCTACTAAAAATACAAAAATTAGCTGGGCATGGTGGCACGCACCTGTAGTCCCAGCTACTCAGGAGGCTGAGGCAGGAGAATTGCTTGAACCTGGGAGGCGGAGGTTGCAGTGAGCTGAGATCACGCCGCTGTACTCCAGCCTGGTGACAGAGCAAGACTCCGTCTCAAAAATAAATAAATAAATAAATAAATAAATAAATAAATAAATAGACTAAATCATTTTAATAAAACCCAAATTCTTGGGGGAAAGGATTCAGGTAGGGGCTCAGGCATAGAATGGAAAGATTTCTCTTTTCAGTGTACCCTATCAGCTGACAGGTCAAGAAGTTTCCTTAATAATTCTTTGAGTAAATCACTGACCTGAGTTTTCTGAGAAAAGAGAAACCTCTCCTTTCTCTAGTCCACATGTAGTAGAACTATGGCACAGTCTTGCTGGAATTACTTGTCTCCAACTACTTGTTCAGGTATAGAAAGAAGGGGAGGCTGAAATGTTTGGGTGCCACTCCAACACATGCACAGCAAGTCTTCAACAGCACCCTCTCTCTTATGGGTCCACTTCATTTGCATTACATTTGCATGTGGCCCTTCAAATACCCAAGGTCCAGCCTCCCCATGTTTGTCCCCCCAGGAGTCCACCTCTTTCTTCCTTTTCCCTTGCCAAAGGCATCTGGCAGGTTGGTACTCTTTTCCATAGAAACCAAGATATAGGAGAAGGAGGCGCTCTTAAATGCCAGAAATTTGGGGTGGCACTGCTGGGGAACAGGGGCTTGCTAACACTTGGTGGTGGTTTTCTGGAGTTGACTTTCTTTAATATGGGTACATCCCATGAGCTCAGTGATTCAGCATCCCTCCCAGCAGGGCTGGGGTGATATTTTCCCATTTCCTTCCCCCACACATATAAAATAGTAGATTCTGAGTGGGAAGAAGGCAGGTACCTCATGACTTTTTCCAGCTGGGAATGTAGACTTTAACTTAGAAGTGTCTTCACTGCTGGGGAATGAGCCAGGGAAGGAGGTTCATTCAGCATGTGTCTGGAGGTTACTAGATCCTTTCCTAGATCCAGGTTTCCTGGAGTACTCTGTCCTGATTTTAGGGTAGCAGAAGGGAAACTGCTGAGGGATAGTCTCAGACCTCACTCTAATCAAAGCAAGCAAGAAAATGTAAATACTGTTGCATTCCTCCCTTCTACTCTGGGGCTGACTTTGTCTCTTATTTATTTCTCTGCTCCAGGGTGGTGCATGTCCCTCAAAGTTTGTGGCCTCTGGTCTCACCTGGATCTTCTTGCCTAGTAACTCTCTGTCTCTGATCATTCAGTAATAATATTATTTGATCGAATTCTGACATCTGCACAGCCTTCTCCAGGTGTGGCTGAGTAAGCTCTTTATTACTAGGGATAACTTGGCCCTTCAAATTCCTCTGACATTTGTTGTATACTCAGTATTTCTGAAATCTCATTGGAAGCCATGCATTTCTCCAGAACCAGGCTGCAAAAATAATCTCCCCAAAAGTGTTTCTTTGCTCATCATTAAAATTAAAGCCTCTCATATTTAGGCGAAGTGTGGTGGCTCATGTTTGTAATCCCAGCTCTTTGGGAGGCCAAAGTGGGCGGATTATTTGAGGTCAGGAGTTTGAGACCAGCCTGGCCAACATGGTAAAACCCTGTCTCTACTAAAAATACAAAAATTAGCTGAGTGTGGTGGTGCACACCTTTAATCCCAGCTACTTGGGAGGCTGAGGCAGGAGAATCGCTTGAACCCAGGATGCAGAGTTTACAGTGAGCCAAGATTCCATCACTGCACTCCAGCCTGGGTGACAGAGTGAGATTTCATCTCAAAAGAAAGAAAGAAAGAAAGAAAAAACGTCGCTCATATTCAATCAGGGGTTGTTTCAGAAAGATCAGAAGCTAGTTTTAGGCATTTAAAAATCACTTCTGGGCCGCATCTGACAATGGTATAATAAATATGAAAGGAGAGGAATATTAAACTTGAGAGAATGGAACTGATTTTCCGGAAGTCACCTAGTGAGTCACAAACCGGAGGAGGAAGGATGAGGGCCAGAGGCTGGCTGCTGACCAGGCAGAGGGTAGCAGTGGGATAACTTAGGTCAGGAATGGAATTGAAGTGCATAGAAGGGGAGAGACATCCTGGGCCTCCAAAAAGGAAGTGTCACAGAAGGAGACCAGTTCAACTGCATCTGTGACTAGCCCCGATACAGCATCTCCTGTCTACCGTGGGCTAAGTGCTGTTAATGCCCTGGCACATTAATCTTCAATACAATCCTTTAAGGTGGGAAGACTTGCCACTGGAATTTGAACTCATGACTTTCTGACCCCTGAGACAGAACTCTTTATTGCATTACCCTCTCTTTGGGCTGCAAAAATTTCAATCCAAGTATTTAGGGTCTCATAAACTCAGTGGTTTCTTTGTCTTTATTTTTATTGTTTCTGGTGTGTGTGTGTGTGTGTGTGTGTGTGTGTGTGTGTGTGATAAATGCTACAAATATGAACTCTCATAATAGAGAGAAATCTGCTTTCACTCTATTAATGGCATCACTAACCATTTATTGATTTTTAAAAGGGAAATTAGTAAAAACGTTGTTGAAAATTGTTTCTATTAAGTCCTATTGGAGAGTTGTTGCACGTGCTCCTATGAGGATGAGGGTGCGTGGAAATATGAGTCAGACACAGAGAATAAGAGATCTTGGCGTTTGCCACTGAAAGGTCACAATGATAGCCACAGCAAATTAAGGTCAACTCATTGAGCGTTTAAACAATCTTTTCTTTCATATGTATCTAGACAAAGTATAATAGCGTGATGTAGTGGAAAGAGCAGACGTTTAAAATCTGTTGTCTGTTGTTAGCAAAATGTGTGACTTTGGGGAAGTTGCTTAATTCCTGTAACCTTCATTTTACTCAGCTCTGCTATTTGGATAATAGTACCAACTTTGTTGAGTTTTTGTGAAGGCAAAATTATCATATAAAGTACAGCACAGCCCGGAGCACACTGTGAGCAGTCAATACCTGCTGCATTCTTCTCCTTCTCCCTAACCCCTCTCCATTTCTCAGAAGCTGAGTGTTTTCTTTCTCATTTTTAGCACAGGAATCCTGTGGCCCTACTTTTACCCTGTACTCCATGTTGTATACCCTGGAAAATGTGCCTCCTAATGCCTTGCTTTTATATATAAAAAGGAGAGTGAAATATTTGTCATCATCCCACTGGCTCTGAGTTTCCCTATGGAGGGGGACATTGGGAGATCCAGGACAGATTATTTGATATCTTGGTTTAGATGTGGAAGGTAAGACCTCAGGCAAGATGCTGAAAAAAGACTGTGATATATGAAAAAGGGTTAAGAGTCCCTCAATGAAAAGTGAACAGCACTTTGGGAATCTCTGAGACAGGTGAATGGAGAGGGGAAAATATAAGAGAAAAGAAGAGACCTAGGAAAAATTGCCAGGCATGAAGCAAAGTTCTTGAAAATGTGACCCAACTATCTAATATCCAATTTTAAGTGGTTTTCAGTGCTGTTTAAATAAACGCAACCAACACCACTTTGTTGAAAGTAAGTTGGTATGCAAAATCCTTGGAACAGTTCCTGGAATATATTATTACAATTATTATTACAGGCATACCTCATTTTATTGTGCTTCATGTTATTACATTACAAATTGAAGTTTTGTAGCAACCCTACATTGAGCAAACATACCAGAGCCATTTTTACACAGCATATACTCATTTTGTGTCTCTGTGTCACATTTTGGTAATTCTTCCAATATTTCAAACTTTTTCATTATTATTATATCTGTTATGGTGATCCGTGATCAGACATCTTTGATGTTACTATTGTAACTGTTTGGGGGCACAAAACTACACCCATATGAACTTAATGACCAATGTTGTGTGTATTCTGACTGCTCCACTAACTGACCATTGCCCCATCTCTCTCTCTCTCTCTCTCTCTCTCTCTCTCCTTTCTTTAGGCCTTCCTATTCCTTGAGGCATAATAATATTGAAATTAGGTCAATTGATAGCCCTAAATGGCCTCTAAGTGTTCAAGTGAAAGGAAGGATCTCTCATTTTAAATCAAAAGCTAGAAATGATTTAACTGTTAAGTGCAGAAGTCCTGTCCAAAGCTGAATTAGGCTAAATGCTAGGCCTCTTCGCCAAATGGTTAGCCAAGTTGTGAATGCAAAGGAAAAATTCCTGAAGGAAATTAGAAGTCCTACTCCGATGAACACAGAAATGATAAGAAAGCAAAACAGGCTTATTGCTGAAATGAAGAAAGTTGTGGTGGGCTGGATAGAAGATCAAACCAGCTACAACCTTTCCTTAAGCCAAAGCCTAATCCAGAGCAAGGCTCTAACTCTCTTCAATTCTAGGAAGACTAAGAGAGAGGAGGAAGCTTCAGAAGAAAAGACTGAAGCTAGCAGAGGTGGTTCATGATGTTTAAGGAAAGAAACTGTCTTCACAACATGAAAGTGCAAGGCAAAGCAGCAAGAGCTGATGTAGAAGCTACATCAAGTGATTCAGAAAATCTAGGAAATATAATTGATGAAGGTGGCTGCATTAAAAAACAGATTTTTCATGTAGATAAAATACATCAGAACAAAGTGCCATCTAGGACTTTCATTAGCAGAGAGGAGAAGTCAATGCCTGGCTTCAATGCTTCAGAGGACGGCTGACTTTCCTATAAGAGGCTAATGGAGCTGGTGACTTTAAGTTGAAGCCACATGCCCATTACCATTCTGAAAATGCTAGAGGACTTCAGAATTATGTTAAATCTATTCTGCTTGTGTTCTATAATGGAAAAACAAAGCCTGGATGACAGCACAGCTATTTACAGCATGATTTACTGAATATTTTAAGCCCACTCTTGAGACCTACTGTTCAGAAAAAAGAAAGATGCCTTTTAAAATCTCACTGCTCATTGACAATGTACTTAGTCACCCAAGAGCTTTGATGGAGATGCACAAGGCTAATGTTGTTTTCATGCCTTCATTCTTCAGCACACAGACCAAGGAGTAATTTTGACTTTGAAGTCTTATTGTTTAAGAAATACATTTTGCAAAGCTGTAGTTGACACAGATAGTGATTTCTCTGATAGATCTGGGCAAAGTAATTTGAAAATCTTCTGGAGAGGATTCACTATGCTAGATCTCCATTCCTGATTCATGGTGGAGGTCAAAACATCAACATTAATGGAAGTTTGGAAGAAGTTCATCCTAACTTTCATAAATGACTTTGAGAGGTTCAAGGCTTCAATAGGGGAAAGTAACTGCAGATGTAGTAGAAAGAGCAAGATAACTAGAATATAAGCATGCTGATGTGACTTGAATTGCTGTAATAGCACGATAAAACTTGAATGTGTAAGTTGCTTCTTATGGATGAACAAATAAAGTGATTTCTTGAGATGGAAACTACTTCTGGCATAGATGCTGTGAACATTGCTGAAATGACAAAAAAAGATTTAGAATATTACATAAACTTAGTTGATAAAGCAGCAGCAGGGTTTGAGAGAAATGACTTCACTTTTAAAAGAAGTTGTACTGTGAGTAAAATGTTACCAAACAGTGTCACATGTTACCAAGAAATCTTCCATGAAAGGAAGAGTCAATTCATGTAGCAAATTTCATTGTTTTCAGGAATTGCCACACTCACTCCAACCTTCAGCAACCATCACCCTGATCAGTCAGCAGAGGAGGAGGAGGAGGAGGAGGAGGAGCAGGAGGAGGAGGAGGAGGGAGGAGGAGGAGGAGAATAACAAATGTTGGAGAAAATGTGGAGAAACTGGAACCCATTTGCACTGTTGGTAGGAATGTAAAATTGTGCAGCTGCTATGGAAAAACCATACAGTGGTTCCTCAAACAATTAAAAATAGAATTACCATATGATTCAGAAATTTCAATTCTGGGTATATATCCAAAAGATTTGAAAACAGAGTCTCAAAGATGTATGTGTTCAGCCATGTTCACATGTTCATAGCAGCATTACTCACAATAGCTAAAAGGTAGAAGCAACTCATGTGTCCATCAACAGATGAATGAGAAGCTCAAATTGGTCTACACATGCAGTGGCATATTATTCAACTGAAAAATGAAAGGAAATCCCCCATTTGTGACAAAATGGATGACCCTGGAGGACATTATGCTAAGTGAAATTAGCCAGTCACAGAATGACAAAGACTGTGTGACTTATTCTATGCAGTCATAGAATAGTTAAATTTATAGAGACAGAAAGTGAAATGGGGGTTCTCAGGGGCTGGGGGGAGAGGAAAATGGGAAACTGTCATTTTAACAGGTACAAAGTTTCAGTTTTGCAAGAGGAAAAATGTTCTGGAGCGAGACTGAACAACATTATGAATATACTTAACATTACTGAATTGTGCACTTAAAAAGGGCTAAGATGGTAAGCTTTTATGGTAATCTTTTATGTATATTTTACCACAATTTTTTAAAAGCAAAGTTGATTGCATTACAATTTTTAGAGGAAAACTAATAGATTGATTTAGTTCCTCTCCGCTTTTTCTACTTTGAACAGGCTCCCTCTGAGACCATGGATCAGGCAGTATGGAGGGGTATAGAGGGGGCCGAGGCACTTAGGATGGTCACCTGCACTGGAGAAAACAGACGGGAATAGTTTTCCCCCATCAGACTTTCTATAGACAGACAGACTGTCCTGTCAGCCTCATGGAGTACAGTAATTGCTCCCACTCAGCGGGTGGTGCTCCCCCAGGAGATTGGCCAAGGAGTCATTGTGGGATCTGTCATGTCCTATAGCCCTGCACTGGGGCTGTACAAGTGTCCTCTCCTGCTTAAGTTATTTATATAGGTGGCTGAAAACGCTTTGCTTGTACAAACTAGAAACTATTAGATTAGGCCAGCAGAGACAGCCAGAGGCAATCTTTTAACAAAGTGAGTGGGATTCAAAGTAGGCATGGAAAGCAAATATTATTTCACTGGGAGTTGATTAGAGGGAGCTCTGCGGATGAGCAGTAACTGCTTTGTTAATTTAGCTGGGGGAGGTGAGTAGGGCCAGGTAGGCACCAGCTGGGTTGGAAGGTGAGCAGCCTGGGTCGAGATGGTAATTCAGGGGTAGGTCAATGCATCAGGCACCCCTCCACACACACTCCCCCTCCTCCTTATTTAAAGTACATGATGGAGCTTAGCAGCTGAGAAGCCTGGTTTGCTCTAAAATTTCGCATTTTAATTCAGGCAAACACTCTATAAATCCAATGTATCGGAAAGCAAACATTGAGGCTAAGTAAGAAGGTCCATTAGATGGAGTGCTTAGTTATAGGGCCTGAGCGTGTAAGGGGGTGGACGGGGAGGCACAGAAGGAGAGGCTGAGCTGCAATGCAAGTGTAGAATGTGGGTACTGAAAAAGAGGATCTGAGGAAGGTGGGCCCTGCGAAGGGTTTGAGGCAGAGTGGAGAGAAAAGGGAGATTTGGGGATTACAGAGGGTAGGTCAGTTTTGAAAAGGCTGGGTTAGGAGACACTTGGAACTTCTAGTGAAAAGAGAATTGAAAATGAGGCTTCAGATGAAGTTTGGTAATTGGGGCTTGGGAGAGAGGGTCTCTGACAGAATGAGGGAGGGCCAGAAGAAGACATTAATTTGCAAACTTCTGGGTACATAGTATTACTGGCTACCTTGTCAGTCAAATTGTAAGGAGTGAAGGCCAGGGATAGATTTGGGAATTTGGATGATGGCTCATTTACACTGTTTTGCAGTAGGGCTAATGGGAATTTTATGAAGATGTCAAACTTATCCAAAGGTGGCCGAATTGCCACCAAAAATCCTGGGCATCAGAGAGTCCAAAATAAAAATGGTACTCAGGAGCTCCTGGGTGTTCTGTCTCCCAAGGATGCCCACAGGAAAGAAGAGGGTCTTCACCCATGGAGGTGGTGTGCATGGTAGTTAAGGCTGTGGGTTCTGGAATGCGAACAATGTGGATTCAAGTTCCACCTTGATCATGTACTAGCTGGGTGACCTTGGAAAAGTCAATTACCCTCTTTGAGTCCAGTTTATTAACCTATAGAATGGGAATAATTATACTTCCTTGGAGGTAATGGTAATACCTCCTTCAAATGAAGACAGAATGTGATAATGCAGATAAGTTTAGCATGATGGCTGGCACAAAGAGAGTGATAGATTAAACATATATATTTTAAAATTGATGTTATGAGAATAATTCTCAAAAACAATGGCTCCAAATCACCCACAGGTGTTCTCTGTATTTGGGAGCAAAAGTTCTAAAGGAAGGTGAGGACTGTCCACAGTGTGGCTGGGCTGGAAATATGGACTTCCATGGTTTTTCCCCTTTTCACAGTAGTTCTGGGAATCTTTGATCATAAAGTCTTCATGGTTATTTGTTATTCAATGTTTTTCAAATGACTTTTACAAAAAGGGAAATAGCCAGGTATAATGACCAGCCACTGGAGTCTCCCTTGGATCCTATTAAGTCAGCACTTTTGCTTCTCAGTAAAGTTAAAGATTCGTTAAGGTGATCTTCTCAACATCCCCTTCCAACTTTAAGGTTTTTGGAAGAGATATTGGAAGTGTATTAAATCATTAGCACAAGAGAATGAGAAACACAACTGATAATGGCAATAACCACCATTTACTTAGCCCTTTTCATGTGTCAGGCTGATAATTAACTCTTTTACAAGGCTGTCCTCAGTTAGGGATCATCACAGCCCTTTAAGGTAGGGACTATTTTTATTACTGTACAATGGAAAAAGAAACTGAGCCCAATGGAAGATCATGCTTGGCTTAGGAGTATATATCTGCTATGTGGCAGGGCTGAGATTTGAATATGTTCAACCAAATCTGAAGTCAGATTTCTTGATATTAACCACTCCATGAACCTGATGACTGCCATCCTCAAACTTCATAATTAGAGGCCAAAATGTAGACAAATCACAAGAGCCTTTATTGTTAGGTGAGAGCCTGGTTTCTTAGGAAAAGATGATAATTAATCTCCTGTGATAAAGGGAAAGGCAGATTTGATTTTTGCCCAAAATGAAGTTGTCCTAATTGTTACTGATATACAGTAACAATTTGGACCCTTAATCAATGATGTTAGCAGTTTTCAATGTTAATTTAATTAGTACAAGATCACCTGCTGGTAGAAATATTGGATAATTAGTGTCTTATGTAATGGCTTATGAAGTACCCTGTAAAAGAACTCCAATAATCACAAATTCTCAGTAGAACTTTTATCAAAGCACAATATTTAAGTGGTTAAATCCTTGATTGGATGCCAGTCTGATAAAACTTTGGTTAGGGCATCAAAATTACCATTCCTATTGCATTGCTCTGGTTTCTAAAAGATAAAAGGTGGAAGAGTCATATATCTGGTTCTTCTAGAAAAACATTTCCAGGGGCGACCTTGGAAACGTAGAGATTTTTTTCAGAGGTGATGCTCGAATGACAGTGAAGATCTAAGGATAATTCACTCAGATTCCAGCTCCAGAGGAAATATAGAACCCATATCATTTGGTCTTGGATAACTCTATGGGGAGAAATTTTGCATGGAGAAACTTTCAGGTAAATTCTGATAAGCATACAGCCAATATAACTAAGAGGGGTCTGGGTAGCTCCCAGTGTATGAATGAGTAGGATTGATTTACAGAGTATGTTTCAGGTCTTAGAGAGAACGGCTTGAGTTGTTCTGGTGACAAGGGTTGATAGTCGTTGCAGAGAATGTCAAAGTAGGAATATAAAATAATTCCTGGGCCATGTTTTGTGGGCCACACATAATTCCTAAGCAAATAGGTAAAGACACATTATGAAGCCTGATTATACTGGTCACAGGTAAAGTCCCTGCCTACACAAACACCTGATAAAGCATGTGCCACCTTAGACTCTGGTGTAGGTAAAGGAAATGACCTTAAACTAGGCCATCTAAGCCAAATGAGCTTCAATTTTTAGAGACCAGAGACTATGAGAGAAAGAAAATACTGCATGTGTGTTGGCCAGCATGATGCTTCCCTCCTTACCCTGTGGATTCAGAGTTCAGAGAGGCTTGGCTTTGGATACTCTAGAGCCTGTTATGAGGTATATTATACCAAAAATTTAGAACCCCAATATTCTATTGGAATTATATGCTATAGCTGTGCCCTAGGGTTGGCTTATATAAATGCCTTCCTGTGTTAGAAAGCTAAAGCTTGAAGATAGGCATTTCAGATTCAATGACTTCAACTTTAATGACCATTGGCATCTAAAATCCAAAATATTCTAAAATAAATTCAACTTTTTTTTTCTTTAAAACTGCATTTCCTCTTAAATTCTTTTTGTTGATGGGGTAGTGGCCATACCATCTATCCAATACCAGAGCTAGAAATCAATGAATTATTTTTTGCTTCTTCTCTCCTTTACTCACCACTTATGTGATGAGTATGGCTGAAAAAAAAAACATCTGCAGAGTTTGTTTCTTATACTCTTCCTGTCCATCAATAACATCACTGATTCATTTAGTCTTCATCAGCTCTTGCCTGGACTATAAAATGGTTCAGAGCCAGATGGGACACCAGCTCTGCCTCTCCAACCCCCATCCGGCCTCTTCACTCTCACTGGAGTCAACAATCTGAAACATAAATATGACCTTGTCATTATCATTTCATCTCCTTACTGAGTTTTCATGACCTATGAGATAAAGTCCAAAACATTTGGCAAAGCATTTATGACCCTTCATGACCTGGCCCGTGCTTAAACCTCTAACATCTTATGACCTCAAATGTATGCCCCACCTTCATGTTATTAATTAACTATACATGGCATTCAGATTTTTGTTACTGGGCCTTTCTCTTTTCTTCCTTTTTTCTTTTTCTTCTCTCTGTTCTTCCTCTTTAGGCATACGTTTTCCTCTTCTACTCACATGACCTCCAGGAAGCCAACCCTCACCAACCTTCCCCATCCCAAACCCAGGTAGATGTTCCCATGGACGTTTTCTTAAGATACTATAAATAGATATCCCCGTTACAAAATCATCTTTTAACTTTCTGATTAATGTGTCTGAATCTCCTTATAGACTGAGCTCATTGTAGCCAGAAACCATGCCTTATGTTTTTAATTGTGAACACCTAGGACAGAGCCAAGCAATTAGCAGATACACACCATATGTTTATTTCACACATAAATTAATGAATATTACTGAATAATTTATCCAAGGCCAAAAGAAGAACTTAAACCATACCTCTGCCTTCATATTTAAAATTGCATTATTTTTATTGTACCTATTATCTTGTTTAAATATCAAGCTCTGCCTTGATTTTTGCCTTTAGAATTTGATCATGTGTGAGCATTTTCACCAGCCACTAATGAATATGAAATAAAGGCACTTTTAAGAACAAGCACACACATTAAACACTGCAGAGGAAGGTTAGTGCTGATAGGCTATCAATAAGGAGACTGATAAAGAATGTACTTTAGAAAAAAATATATTCCAGAAGATAGTCTGTGAAGTAAGAAGCAATACTGAACAAATAAAATTGTAAATATGCATGTCAGTATAAACCAATAAAATATATGCATGCAAATATGATTATTCCCATACAATAATTATAAAATAATGTTCAATTTGGAGGTTTAAAAAGACAAGGTTTAAACAGTGGGTAAGAAGAGCATTTAATCTGAAAGAACTACAGCTGAACTGTAAGAGTTTTAATATTCTTTTATTAGTTACAGGATTTAACGTATTGATTATCTTTAATATTTATATAGTTAAATATATCTAACTAAATATAATTTATATATATTTGAAATGTAAAACCTCAAGGGTAACCATTGAAGCCCTAGAGATAATGTTCATAAATTCTAAACCAGTAGCTAAAACATAGAAGGAAGAAAAAAAATACAGTAAAATGCAAAAGACATAAAAGCCAATACAATGAAAAAGATGAAACATCAAAGGAAAATAGAAAAATAGAAAAAGTGAATCAGGAAGAATCAAACTGGCAGAAAAAGTTCAAATATGACAAGAATTTCAATAAACTAAATATATAAGCATTTCTGTTAAAATTGACATTTTAAGATTGGATTTTTAAGAAAAACTCCAATTATGTACTACTTCCAAGAGACACAACTGAAACTGGAGGACACATAATTGTTTCACGTAAAGTAGACTGACCCCCACTAAAAAAAACCCTAGAGTACTTATATTAATATAAGATAAAATAGAGTTTAAGACAAAACATATTATGAAAAATAGAGAAGTTTATACTATAATTAGAAATGATTCAAATCACTAGTAAGTATAATAATTCTAAACTAGTGCACACATAATAAAAGATCCCCAAATATATGCAACAAAATTGATGAGATTTGATAAAGAAATGGTCAAATCAATCACTGTAGTGGAAGATTTCAATTCAATTTTTGATAGGTAAAATGAACAAAAGTCTTAATAAAAATATAGAATTAAAACAATTAGGACAATAAACTTCTGTTAATGTTCACAGCTAACTAGGGAATAAGAATTTTTCTCAAGCCCCCAGGAAATATTTATTAAAAGGTATTATACCATACGACAATTCTAAAACATTTCAAAAAATTGATATCAAACATAACTTTTCTAGACAAAACAGAATCACATTAAAAGGTGATAATAAGATATAATAAAACACACACTTATTAATGTATGTATCAGTAAGAAAATTATTTTAAATATATAAAACTACTTAGAATACTAAATATCAAAATTGTGAGATGTAGCAACATTTGCTAGGATTACATTTTTTATGAGAAAAATTTAACATAAATAACCTAAATATTTAGCTCAAGAAGTTAGAAAAGAAACAATAGAGTCAAATTAAATGAAGCAGAAGGAAGATGAACATACAGAAGAAATAAATGAAACTGAAAACAAATACAGAACTGAGAATATAAAAAAACCAAAGGTTTGCTATATGACAAAGCTAATAAGAATTCAAATTTCTGGTAAAGAAAAAGAAAAAGAGAGATAAAACACAAATTGACACTATTATTAAATAGTAGAGGGGAGAACGCTATAGATGCAGAAGAGATTAAAGAGATGTAATAAAATACTGTAAGTAGCTTCATGCCAATACACCAAAAAACATAAAAAAGACAAATTCCTAGGAAAATATAACAACAAAATTGACTTAAGAAGACATAAGAAATCTTTAATTAGACCATAACTATTAACATAAGACTATTAAAGTAATTGAAGAGAAGTTAAAAATCTTTTCATGATGAAAATACCTGACTCTGATGATTTTAGAGGTGATATTCACCGATCTTTCAAGGAACAGATAATTCCAATCTTATGCAAAGTCTTAGAGAGAAACAGAGGAGGATTTCTTAGTTCATTTTTTAAAGCTGATATTACCTTTATACTAAAGCCAGTAGATGATAACCTCATTCATGCACAAGAATGCAGATTTTAGCAAACAGAATCTAGCAGTGGTTAAATATTGTAGTTCATAGAAAAAAATGGCTGTTTTCTTATTCTAGGAATGTAAAATGGTTTAACATGTTAGCATATCAGTACATGTAATCCATGTAAGTACATGGATCAGTACCATGTACTTACATGTACCATCAGTACCCTGTACTTACATGTACCATCAGTACATGTAAGAAGAAATAACATGTCATATGGCCATTTCAAAAGATACACAAAGAACATATGAAAAAATTAAATGTGGATCCTTCATTTAAAAAAAATCTTTATAAATAGGGATAGAACTTCCTCACCTTTATTTTAGAATAAAATAAAAATACTGAAAACCACCCAAGATGTATAGCTTAATGATCTTTTTTAATGAGGCAAACTTCCTTGTAATCAATCGCCACCCCTAGTTCAAGAAAGAGAACTTTGCTAGCCATCATGGAAGACCCACCATGTGCCCTGTTTCTATAACAACCCTTGCTCTCCTCTCAATGATAAACCTCATCGTAATTTTTATCACTATTTACATCTTTACTTCTTGTTACAGTTATCTCATCCTGGACACTTTGGTTTAAAGAAAACATATATCATTTAACTTTTTAAAATCTCTAGGTCCTCCTGCATCTTTTCCTTTCTTTATAACTTATTTGTGGAAGAACCCAGGGCATTTAACCTATAGACTCCTTCATAGCCTGGATTTTGCTGAGTGCATCCTCATGGTGTAGCTCAACATTTTCCTTATCTTTTGCATTTCCTGTATATTGGCAGCTGGATACAGAGATTTAAGTCCAATCTCTTTGGCAGGACAGATTCTAGGGGGTTATATTTTTTTTACCGGGAGTCACATAATGTCTGTTCTCTCTTTATTGTGATGTTAAAGGTCACAGATGTCCAATGCCTTTATTCATTACTTTATTCCAGATTGAACAATAGAACTGTTCTACTTCCATCCTTGGGTTTTCTTTTGTTAGTTGAAGTAACTTTCTTAATGGTCAAGTGTGACAATCATTTCCTTTGGACTAGAAAAAGATGAGAAGTTCAATGTTTATATTCAGCATGGCTCCAGGGTCCAAGCCAGGGCAGTAAGACAAGGAATATAAACATGAAGTTTATATTCAACATGGCTCCAGGGTCCTAGCCAGGGCAGTAAGACAAGGAAGAGAAATTAAGACAAAAAAACTCAAAAGGAAGGTACCAAGCTAGCATCACCTGCAGATGATATCATTGTTTACTTAGAAAATCAAAAGAATCCACAAATTGTTAGAATTAATACGAGAGTCGATAAAAAGTTAGTTGGCTTTAAAATAAAAAATAAAAATTGTTTGCTTCTCTATACATCAACAAGAAACCATTGGAATATGTAAGTTTTAAAACTGTCATTCACAATTAAAATTAGAAGTCAACTCAAAATATGTCACATAGAAATAAATAAAACAAATGTGTATACTATGTCTGGAAAAGTATAGGAGTTTATTGAAATAACTAAAAATAAACAAGATAGAGAGTCATGCTATGTTTCTAGATTGGAAGAGCCAGTGTCAGAAATATCAGTTTTACTCAAAGTAAATCTATAAATATTCTCATTAAATCTAATGGGGTTTGTCATGTAATTTGGCAAACTACAAGATTTATTTTGAAGAGCAAAGGGTCAAAGCACGGCAAATTCTTGAAGAAGAATAAGATAGGAAGGTTTGCTTTTTCAAATACAAATATGAAACCATAGTAATTAAGGTAGTATAATATTTGTTCAGGGACAGACAATTTGGCTGGTCGAACAAAACAAGATTCCAGAAACAGACCCACACACATATAGAAAGTTGATTTGTGAGAAAGGAAGTATCCTGTACCCTTGAGAAACAGAAGAGTAATTCAGTCAGTGTGCTGAGACAATTACTATACCTGTCAGGATAGGATAGGTTATGATTAGGAAACAACCCTCACATCTTAGTGGCATAAAATAACAAAGTCTTACTCAGACTATATGTCCAACCTGAGTTGGTGGGAAGTGGATTGGATTCTATTCTTTGTAGATGTCACTCAGGGTCACAGGTTGACGGAAGATTTAACTTTTTTTTGACACTAACATCTCGACATAAGCCTTCAGGGTTCTCCATGCAGCAGAAAAACAAGGCTGAAGAGCTCAACACTGGCAATTATTATGTTCTTCCTTCCAGAAGTGACAACATCACTTTGCTTTAGTTTACCATTGTGTAGAAAATAATTTCTTAAACAAAAATAGAACAGTAAGAAAAAAATTATGTTTATTAACAGACATATGAAAATATGTCACATACTTGGGATATTTTATCTTTAACAAAAGATTAATACTTATATTTCAAAAGCACCATATACATTAGTAAAATAGTGATGAAGGCTGGGCGCGGTGGCTCACGCCTGTAATCTCAGCACTTTGGGAGGCTGAGGCGGGCGGATCACGAGGTCAGGAGATCGAGACGATCCTGGCTAACACAGTGAAACCCCATCTCTACTAAAAATACAAAAAATTAGCCGGGCGTGGTGGCGGGCGCCTGTAGTCCCAGCGGCGGGAAAATGGCGTGAACCCGGGAGGCGGAGCTTGCAGTGAGCTGAGATCGCGCCACTGCACTCCAGCCTGGGTGACAGAGCGAGACTCCGTCTAAAAAAAAAAAAAAAGTGATGAAATCAGGAACTTTCATTAACAGGATCCATAAAGAAAGTGAAAATACAGGACACAATCTTTAAGATTTGCTATCTAACAAAAAGTTAAAATCCAGGATATATTAAATAAACAAACAGATCTCAACTCATGACATTAATAACAAAAAGAGAAGGGGGGAAGAAAAAGCTCCTGAACAGACACTCGACAGAAGAAACACAAATGATCCATAAATCAATAAAATTGTGTCCAGTCTAATTGTTAATCTAGGGAATGCAAGTAAAGACCACAAGGAGATACAATTTTACATCCTCTAGATTGAGGTGGGGTGGAAAATGTATAAAAATCAAAAGTATTTGAGAGAAAGGCACTGACAGGAAATCCTCTAAAACCGTTGATGAGGGTGTAAATATACACAATTATTCTGGTAAATGAATTGGCATTATCTGGTAAGTTTGAGCATTCACAAATTCTAGCATATAACAATTCTACTCTGAAGTATGCATGTTAGAAATCACCTTGTACAGTTGAACCATGAAAATATTTGAGAATTTTCACAGTTAATCTGATTGGAAAAAGCCTGATCATATGAATAATACCTGGAACAAAATTGGGTTGCATATTTGTAATGTAATACTTTATATCAGTGAAAATATATACAGCATTGCTATGTGCAAGATAATATGTATTACTTCTGAAAGTTCAGAAATAAGCAAAACTAAAATATATATTGTTTGAGAATAAGTATATAGTCTCAAACATATATACTTATGTGGTAAAATTATATGCACAAGTACATGTGTACATATGTGCTAAAATTGTATATTTGTATGCTTGTATACCTATGGATACCTCTGGTATACCTATGTGCCTGCCTGTGGTGTATACCTATTTTATATATATATATATATATATATATACACACACACACACACACACACACACACACACACACATATGCCAGCCAGCATGGGTATGTTAAACACAAAATTCAGGATAGGTGTTAATTCATGGATGGAAGGCAGTGGTGTGGGTGGAGACAAATCTTTCAATAAATGCAGATTATTAGTAATATTCTAGTTCTTATTTTAGGTTAGTAAGTTAATAGATATTAGTTTTATGATTACGCTTAAGAACATAAAATATTAGTATATTAGTATTTTACATTAAACATTATATTAAATATATTACATATAGTAAAAAGTCCAAAATAATTAAGCTTAAAATTTACAAACAAAATAAGAAAGATGGACTGTGGATGTGGTGAGTAGCAAGGTAGGAAAGGCCCTGCATCAGAGATGGCAAGGAGTTTTCACATTTCCTCTTGAGAGGAATTCAGGGTCTGAGATAGCTGTGGCAGGGAGGTGGATATGGGATGGGGGTGGGGGAAAGTGCTATGCTTGATTAGTGATGTCTGCACGGGCATGGAGATGAGAGTGATAGACCTGTGCAGCAGGCTTATCATTCCTGCTCTAAGTGATTTATTGCAATGGAATCAGGTTTTGTCTTTACTGAGGGCATGAGGAAGTCTTGAGCCTGTTGAAAACATAGAGCTGGATTTTTTTACTTTCCTTGGAAATCACAGCCCTGAACAGCTTTACTAAAGCTGGTACATTGGCAGTGGTTTTGTCTGCCCAGGGAGACAAATTAGTCACGGATAATCATGTCCCATGAGAAATAGAAATTCATGGCCAGGAACCCATCTTCATTTGGGGCTTTCTCTGTGAAAGCCTGGGACTCATGGACTTCCGTATGTCGGTCTCAAGCCCCTTGGTTTACAGATTCCTCCCAACTCCATCCAGGGAAAATAAGAAGGCAAACAAAGAAACCTTGGGAGAAGAGGCAGAAAAGGAAGGGTAAGAAAAGGGAAAGGGAGTCAGATACTGCAAGAGCAAAAACAAAAAAAAACATACACACAAAAAAAGAAGGGGGAGGGGATCTTGAAGTTTAAAATATGCATATATATAAAATAAAAAAATAACTGACTTGGGAGAAGGGTATAGGAAAGGAGAGCGTGCAGAGGAATTATTGGTTAGATCCCTTGGGGTGACAGATATCAGCTCTTGATTAGGTGTGAAACGTTGACAGGCCTGAATTGCTTACGACGAATTAATGGCTGTGAGGGGCTTTGAAATCCTGGGATGAAAGCAGAAGGCTTTGTCTAGAAAAACAAATGGCATCCACGATTTAAACTTTTTACTGTTCCTATGGACTCTAGATGCTAAAGAGAAGAGCCTGCCCTGTCCTTATCCTGGGATGCTATTTGTAGATCACTCCTAAGGGTGGTAATTCCTTTCCTTTTCTGTCCTTATGTCTGTGCAAACTCTAAGACTCCTGGGAAAGCTCAGCTCTGCCTGCCTCATTGAGGAGGCAGGAGTCCTCGGCAGGCAGGGGCATTGAGGCTCCAACATCAGATCTCAATCTGTTGAGGATGTCTTATTTATTCTGGTTTCAATTTATTGTTTTTAGCTGTTATTGTTTCTAAGCTTAGATTCTCCCCTGTTCCAGTTGGAATACTATCTACTTTAGCCAGTGGAAAGTATTGTGGGTCTTAATGTAGCTCTGGCACTTTAGCTGGTGGGTGGAACATGTGCTGCCAATCTACTGCCAGGTTAATAGTCTGTGATCACCTTTTCCAGAGAGCTTTTCCAGACCAATGGCTTAACTACCCCCTCTCCCTCCCAGTTCAGTGGCAGGGTCGGTAAACGCTGCTTTCTCCTCAAACCACTGAATAGAGGCATCCCAGACCCAGACAGGACTTTCATTTTCCTCTTGTTGTGGGTTGCAACCAACCCAAATAGCTACAGAACAATGTGGAGGGGGTTCCCCTCCATTTCAGCGCTCCCCTTTCTGCTTTTGTCCACACCAATCTGAAAAGCACACCAATCTGAAAAGAGCATCCTCAGGGAAATTCAGAGGTGAATTGATCTACAGTTGAGGCAGGGCAAGGCGATGGGTTAGCTTTTATTTTCCGGAGGAAATTAGTGAGTACTATAGCTATTTTCACAAAGGGCATGCACCAGGCAGGAAAATGCAGGTGTAGACAATAAAGCAAGGATAAAAGGGAACCCTTTGCATGGGTTCCTGAATCCAAGTGAGAGAAGCTCCTGATGAGGAAGAGACAGGCCAGTTGGGGGCCTATTCAAATGGTGGAGAACCTCACCCACATGTGGTGAAAACTGTACACATCTGTATGATTTTGCATACAATCAGGGAAATTTACACATCTCTGTGTAACTTCGCATGTACTTGCAGAAACTTCAACACAGTTGGAGAAACTGTGTAAACCTGGAGAACTGTGAGTGCAGTTGGGTAATCTCTGTAGCCAAGGGCAGAAACACAGGGCTACTCAGCAAAGATATACCAAGTGCTGCTCAACAAAGGCAAAGATGCTTTTTCACAAATGACTGAAAGGAGGCACATGTCTTTGCGGATTATGAAAGAATCTGACACATCTATATTGCAGAATTCAAGACAGAGCCTCTCGAACTTTCTTGCACATTACTATCACCTGGGAACGGTGTTTAACATACAGGTACCAGAATACCACCATGAACTACCAAAGCTGATCTTTCACTTTGGGGCCCAGAGAAGTGCATTTATAAGACAAGTCCTTCAGAGAAGCAAATGTACTACAAAATTTGATGAGTTAATTAAGGGAACGGTGTCAGTTTTGAGGACAATACCTTCTTCTCTTTTCTCCAAGTGATTCTGAACTTGCTAAAAGGATCATGATGCTAAAATCAGAGGAAACTCTGTAGGGATTGTATCTCTGATGGCCCTGCAGTTTGTTTTAGGGGGATCAGATCAGATTCCCTGGTCTCTCATCTGCTGATCTCTCCAAGCCCTCTCCCTAGGAAACGATCTCCTAGTGGATATAACAAAGGAAACCTCAAATCAAACATTCATATAACTAGACCATAATTGTTGGCTTACTCATTGTTTTCTTCCACCAGACATTGAGTTTGTATTGTCACTGGCTGGAGGAAGTGTGCTGTCTTCATCCCTGTCTCCATAATGCTTGGCAAATAATGTATTGGTTGGAATAGTCTGACCACACTACCGTTTTAAAAAGAAATTATTTCATTTCACTCTTATGACATCGTTTGAAAATCTATGGTTATTATTCTCATTTTATGTTAAAGAAAGTTTAGCTCTAACGTTGTTAGTCCATGTTCCCATTATCTTTCAAGAGATAGGTCTGGGGTTTGATTCCTGGCCTGCTGGATGTCAATATTTACAATTGCTCACCACTAACTCTTCAAGTCACTGACACATCAATGAAAAAAATAATAAAACACTTCACTGTTGTTCATCTCCTTTTCATTTAGGAAGACAAAAAAGGGAAGCAAGTTTGATTCAATCTTTCTTTAAAGCTTTCCTGTCATCTCAGGAGTGAGCTTCAGATGTCATGGGGGGAGAAACTGATCAACCCAAATAAACATTTATCTTCCCAGCATGTCATACCATTTCATTTCACGCTCTACTAATAGGGTGCCTCTATTCTGGGAATGAAAGATTTACAAAAATGAATATATAATTAAAAATTTGAATTTACAGTTACATCTAGCATTTGTTACCTTCCCAAAGTGCTTTTGCATACAGACTCTCATTTAGAGTATCCACTAAGCGGATTCAGATAATGCGGTTTGTCAATGCAAAAGCGAAGGGATGATTTTGTAAATATTCAAATACACTCAAGTTTCTGAAAAGAAAAGAGTGACATGCTTACTCCTTGACTTGTGATTTCACCATTGAGAGCCTTCTATGTGCAGGCCCTATAATTTCCACGAGTCTCATTTAATTTTTGCAACTACTTGGTGACACAGGTATCGTTATGCAACCCTCAGGTCACCATCGATGTGAGGTGTCAAACTTTAATTAGATCTTACTCTGAGCTTCTAGGAAAACATGCTTTACTTAAAAGGCGGAGACCCCATCACTCACCATCAGCATCTACAGGAGCCTTACGTGCACATTTAAGATGGAGTCATAAAACCAGCTATAAACAAGGGAGGGAAACACAAACAGGGCTTTCAATTCAGGGTCTTGTCAAGTGTCCACTTGCATTGGGTGGACAAATATCTTTCAAAAACACAATAAAAGGAATGGAAATGAATATATTGTGAGTTTTTTGTTCTAGGAAAGCTTAGTTAAGTTGTACTCAGAGAGGTTAGTTAAGTTGCCAAAAGTCACAAGAGTATAAAATAGAAAATTTGAAACTAACACCTTGAGCTTCTCATTGACTTCAGGGTGTATTCCCATAAGCAAGAGCTGCCTCATGCTAAGGGATTTTTAATATATCAGGGTGCTAAATCTAATTAAATTGGACTTTAAGCAAATCCCTTTCAGAGGAGGACTCTTAATAAATTATATGAAAGGGGTAGTGCCAGCGAGAAAGCCCTGTTTGTTTTTTTATGCATGACTTACAGAGAAAAGATACAATTACCAGGAGGTAAAAGAATAAAATGAGGTAAAAAGAATAAAAAGATCACCAGGCAGATCAATAAACAAGCAGCTGGAAGAGTAAGATGAAAAGAGAAAAACAGATCTTCATGCAGTATTTGTCTCTTACCACTGCTGTAATAAATTACTGGGAATGTAGTGGCGCAAAACAACACAAATGAATTAGCTTACAGTTCTGGAGGTCAGAAGTCTGGCATGGGTCCTAATGGGCTGAAATAAAGTTATCATTGGGGCTACATTCCTTCTCCAGGCTGTCCAGGAGAATCTCTTTCCTTGCCTTTTCCAGCTACTTGAGGCTGCCCACATTCCTTGGCTTGTGGCCACTTCCTCACTCTTTCAAGCCAACAACAGAGCATTTTTCTTTAAAGGCAGCCAAGAAAATTCTGTCTTTAGGGTTTTGTGATTAGGTTGGGCCCACCTGAATAAGCCAAAATAATCCACCCCATCTTAAGATTCTTAACTTAATCATATCTGCAGTGTCTCTTTTGTCACGTAAGTTGACATATTCAGTTTCTGGGGATTAGGGTGTAGACATCTTTGAGAGTCCATTATTCTGCCTACCACTTACATAAACAGGACCTAGGGAAGATAGAAAATGGGAATCGTAGGTACATTTGGACCCTGCAGAAGTGCACTAAAGAGTAATATAGAAAGATAAAGAGGCAGGTACGAGCAAGGACAGAATACACAGATATATTTATTAAGAACTCAAATGGGCCAAAGTAGTTTCAGATCCATTTTTTATGAGTGGGGGAGTTGAGCTTAAGCACATTTTAAAAGCCCTCTGAGAAAGATACTATATCATTAATAAAATTTGCTAAAAATCCTTCCCAAGGGCACTAGGAAGGAGTCACTGTACTATGAGGGTCCCTGAACCTGAATTTTCATGAGCATCACAGTAAAACCACCTCTGAGCCAGGGACTATAGGAGGCACTATGTAGGTGTCATTGTCACTTACCTTCTGCACAAGTCTGGGCAAGCTGATGCAGGACTTTATTTAGAAACTCTGGTAAGTGATGGAGAAGGAATCCAGAGCCAGGCTGGGTGATGCTGCAGCACATCCATCACACTATCCCTACTAAAAGTCAAATCCTAGACAGCTGCACCCCACTACTGAGCTAGCTCTGTGATGTTCAAATGAAGCAATAATTCTCTGTGGTCCCTTCTGAATTTTACAATTGTCTTGAAACAAATATCCAAGCAACATTCCCTATGGCAGGGGTGAGGATGAGACAGAGATGCAGAACACAGCTGAGGAGGTGGGAAGATAAAATCAAGGCCAAAGCTAGTTAGGGCTACCAGGAAGACCAGATGCCAGTGCAGCCTGAACAGCTTAAACCATTCCTTATTTTATTTTATTTTTTTATTGAGGCAGAGTCTTCCTCTGTCACCCAGGCTGGAGTACAGTGGCGCAATCTTGGCTCACTGCAACCTCTGCCTCCCAGGTTCAACCATTGCCTCAGGCTCCCAAGTAGCTGGGATTACAGGCGCCCGCCACTATGCCAGACTAATTTTTTTGTATTTTTAGTAGAGATGGGGTTTCACCATGTTGGCCAAGCTGTTCTCAAACTCCTGACCTCAAGTGATCAGCCCGCCTCGGCCTTCCAAAGTGCTGGGATTACAGGTGTGAACCACCATGCCTGGCTAGTCCAAACCATTCCTATCGGCTTTTTCATGTTGCCTGGGGCCTTTCCTCAAGATTTCTCCTTTTGTCTCCACTTCTTCCTACCCATCATAAGGCCTATGAGCACATGGTATTTGTCTATCCCCACTCTGAAGCATGGATATTTTGAAAGAACCTGATACATTCCTAACTTAAAAAAAAAATCAAACCTGACCCTGATGTTGAACTTCACCTTGCTGCCAAGTTTTACCCCAATCCTAAGTAATAATGTTTCTTGCTTTGATTCTTACCCATGCTTCTGAAGCAGAATTAGGCTTCAGGATCAGACAGAAGGGAGGTGTGAGATGTGGTTTAGAGATGCAATTTTACAAATAACACAATTCATTTAACTCAATATATCCAAAGTGTGAGCATTTTAACATACAATCATGATAATCATTGAGGTTTGGGGTTTTTTGTATGAAATCTTAGAAATCCAGTATGAATTTTACACTTACAGCATCTCTCAGAATTAACCACATTTCAAGTGACCAATAGCTGCATGTGGCTGGGGTCTCCTGTAGAACAGCATAGATTTACAGACTTGTAAGATTCAGGGTTTTTGTGTGCTTTTTTGTTTTGGTTTCGTTTGGTCAAGAAGCAGGGAATGGTTTGGTTTGGTTAGGAAGCAGGGAATGCCTTCTTATATCTCCTTTTCTCTTTTTGGTGGTTTTGGCAGCCATTCCTGATCATTGTTTAGATGGATTAATTCATTAGGGTTCACAAAAGTGGTGATATTTTCTCATCCTGCCTTCATTTATAATCTGTAAAACTTCTCTAAAGGGGTATTTCTTATCCCCAACTATTTGGTTACCTGAAAAAATTTTTTTATCAAAAATGTAGAATAAATATTATTTAATCATTTTCCTTTATTTCAGTTTTCAAAAGGCAGGAGCTATGCTTGCAGTTCTCCCAAATGTGCAGGGTGCATATGAGGGCTGGGGAAGAACCGAGGAAAAAAGGGGCAGTGGGGGGTGATTGGAGGCTCGGTGAGGATGGGATGGGCATAGGATGGAGGTGAGAGGTAGAGGAAGAGCTCAGTGATGGGGTCAGGGGTATGCTATGGCTCGAAGAGGACTGTTCCATGTACATCAGTGTTAAAGATGAGGAAAAAGTACTGTGCATTCACCATTGCTGAATAAATCATGTATTTTCTCCATCCCATTGCAGCAAACAGAGAGCTCATTACCCTCCAGTCCCAAATTCACAACTAGCAGAAAGGAAATAAGCAGAGTTCGTGCTTCAGGTTTACTTGAGGAGATTGTTTTGGATTGTCTCAAAGGGAAGGAATCTGGAGACTGGTGCTTAGAGGTGAGGATGGGAGGAACTGAAGCTTCAGTTTAAAGGACTGGTATGTGAATTAGGAAAACATTGGTAATGAGGGGTTTTCATGTGAGTGGGAGATCCATACCCTAACTGCACATGGTGCCCTGGATGGAGGATTTCAATGGGATGCAAGGAAACCTGGACACCCACAGCCTTGAGGGAAGTGGGCCAAACCCCTGTGTTGAGCCTTTGATCAGGGGGAGGACCCATGAGGGGCCAGAGGCCATAAGAACATTCAAGCACAGCAGCCACCCCATGGATCAGGAGACTAAGGTTAACTATGGCAGACACATTGGATTAAGGACAAGGCCTTTCTCCATTTTGCTAGGTGACCTCTAAGTGCTAGGATTGTTATTTTCCATAGTTATTAAGAGCAGATATTCTAGAACAAGCCTTCTGGGTTCAAATGTCAGCTTCTGTGTGTACTCTGTGAGCTTGGACTGAAGATCTTTGTGCCTCAACATCTTCATCTATAAAATGGGTAAAAATAATGGTAACTCCTAGGGTGGTTGAGGTGAAAAGTGAGTTTGTAAAGATGAAACACTTAGATGGTGTCTGAACCACAGTGTGCTATGTGTTAACCATGTTTAACTGACTATAATGAAATAGCTAAAATAATTATTATTATTCTTACTTCGTGACTTTGGGGAGATGAAAGGATCACTGAATATAATAGAAACTGTTTCTCTTAACCACGTTAGAATCAGATTTAATTTGTAGGGTGGGAGGAGGAAGAGGAGCAGAAAAAAAGAACTATTGGGTACTAGGCTTAGTACCTCGGTGATAAAATAATCTGTTCGTCAAACCCCTGTAACATGAGTTACTTGTATAACAAAGCTGCACATGTACCCCTAAATCTAAAATAAAAGTTGTTTTCTTTTTTTAAAAAAAAAGATTAAAGAAAGAAAAAATAATAAATGTAAGCTTTTGTGTGCCTGGCTGCTGTGGATTAAATTCATAGTGCTACAACACATTACCCAGCAATATAATGCCATTTTATATATTTTTGCTTCCACATCAAAACTGCTGAATTAAAACTACTCCTTCAGAGCACTCTGAGCCGTGCACCAAAGTGTCTCAGTGAGTCTTAAAGCGGCCATTCATCAGCATCCCAGGGCAGGATATATCCCTGATGTTCTGAAAATGTCTGTTAAAAAAAAAAAAAGTATTTTGTGGAGGGAGGTAGTGAGGTTGTGATGGAGAGAGAGTGGGAGGATTTTATGTATAAAAATATGAAACGAGTAAGTGTGAAGCATATAGAATGTTAAAAAAAAAAATAGTGCAGTTCTTTTAAGAATGGTTTCAAGCCCAGGAAGGATGCAGTGTGAGGGTGTGAGGGGAGTAAGCTCTAGGCTTTTCTATCATGGGGTTGAAAAAGCAAAACTGTGGGATGCAGAAATCACGACTCGGGAAGTGGCTCCTAGTCACAAGGCCGCGCTCCTCTGTAACAGGGCCTCACAGCTGACTTTTATGAGATCTTTAGAGAATTCCATTTTTGACAATAGTTTTTAATAATATCTGGATAAAAGGGTAAAGGACCAAGACAGTGTCACGAGGGGGTATTAACAGTGATATTTAAAAAGGACAGAACGAAGGCCTTAACAAATGGAGGCAGCAGCCCCGTGATTCACAGGGATGATGGTTCCCCCCAGGGGTTATGCAGGAAGACAAGAAAGCCAGGGGACAGTAGGACATAGACAGTGCCAACTCCATTTTCCCTGCCATTCCATTGCAGCCTCAGTTTGCCTCGGCTGGAGCCCATTCGGCTCAAAGCTAAGTGTCTCATTCACAGTCTCAGTTTGCTATTTGGAACTTGGAATTGATGGATGATAATCAGTCCAGTTTGGGGTAAGTCTTAGGCATTGCTGGTAGACAAAGGTCCTGCTGGTTAAGTCCACAGGTCTGGGAATCTGCCCCATGTTGCTGTCTAGTAGGCTAGTCCTTTGTCATAGCTAGACCTTTGCAGGGGTCCTAACACCTTACCTAATCCTTTCCCATATTTTCCTTCAGCAGTGGCCTAGTCTCAATATTCTTGGCTATTGACTTTAATCAGGCTGGGAATATGATACTCACCTGGAAGCAAATGCCACTATCTAGTGGACCTTGATCTCATGCTTTTCTTTATAGGAACCTGCCAAGCCCTAAAGGAGACACTTTTTAAAATCATTGGCATGGCTGAAATAGCTCCAAGAGGCTCTCTCCAGCTGAATGATTCTACCCCTGGGACCTGGATATTTGGTCCCTGCCCAACCTTCCACTTCAGATGTGATTCTTACTGGTTATCTGTTACTCTGGACTGGAAAATTCTGACCTTCTTTTGCTTCACGATCTTTCTAAAACCCAGGATGCAATTGTAGTTTTTTCTTCCACACTCCACAGTCAAAGGGTCTTAAGACCTCACTCTACTTCATGCCTGTGACTCCTTTCCAACAACTAGGAAAGGATGTGGCATCTAATGAGTGTTTTCTGAGCAAATGAATGGATGAATGAATAATTGCATATGTAGTTTAGGAAGGTTAGGGGAGTTGATGAGAAATTCCTTTGTTTAACAGATTAAAAAAAGATGAAGCTTATATCAAAAATTAAAACATAATAATAAACAAAAATCCCATGATTGAAATTATTTCCAGACTTTGAGTTGATCATATGCTACAGCCTCCTTCTGATACACCAAAGCCCTGAAAATTATGAAAAAGTAAAACAATGGTTTTAACATCTCAGCAGTACCTCCTTTAGAATGAAGAGTGATCACAGCCCAAAGACCAGCCTCCAGAATACTGCAGCCAGCGACGCAGTCCTACCCTTCTTTCCCGAACTCATGGTCCATAATTCACTGTATCTTTTCTGCAAACTTGTTCTTTCACCCATATCCCACACTTATATGGGTGGATAAAGGCCTTGAAGAAAAATCCAATGAGCTATGAGACGTCACTCAGGGAATCTTGGCCTTGCCTAGGAAAGAATATTGAGCTATGAAATGAAAGGGATAGTAAGCCATAGGGAGAAAGTGTCCCCAGGTAAGTAGGAACACAAACTCTGGGATAAGAAAGTGCTTGACAGTGGGTCTGAGTGCAGGGAGTGGTGCTGGGAGAGGGTAAAGAAATACCTACAGGCCAGATCTTGCAGAAACCTCAACTTGTTTCCATGGAGGGATTTTAGGCCAGGAGGAGAGGAGGCAAGCATTTCTATGATTAAAAGCTCACTTGCTGATGTTTAGAAAATGGACTGGACACAGCAGTGTGCAGTTAGAGAGAAGGATGTGTGGGTTGCTCAGGCCAGGGGTGAATGAGATTGGTAGCTGTAGAGATGCAGGTCAGTGAATAAATTGAAGGGAGGTATTTAGAAGGTAGAATGGACAGGATGATTAGAGGCAGGGGAAAATGTTCAGAGGTTGTGCAGTGGGGGCCGCTGGAGAAGATGGAGAAATCAAGCCAGAGGGGAAGACAAGGTAAGATCTCAGAGTATCTCACATGTCATGCTAAGAAGTTTGAACTTTATTCTGTAGGCAACAGGGAGCCATTGAAAGGTTTTAAGACTAGGAGTGATTTGCATATTGGAAAGGTCACTTTGACAGGGTACAGAGGATAGAGAGGAAGAAAGGAGAACCAGGGAGACCCATGAGGAGAGTGTGGTAGTTGTGTAAGTGTGGAATGACGAGTGTCTGAATTAAGGTGGTAGCATAAAAGATGGAGAGAAAGCGGCTAAACATAACTTTATTTTATTTTATTTTATTTTGATGGAGTCTCACTCCGTAGCCCATGCTGGAGTGCACTGGCACAATCTCAGCTCACTGCAACCTGCACCTCTCAGGTTCAAGTGATTCTCCTGCCTCAGCCTCCCAAGTAGCTGAAACTACAGGCACAAGCCATCACACCAGCTAATTTTTATATTTTTAGTAGAGGCGGGATTTTGCCATGTTTGCCAGGCTGGTCTCAAGCTCCTGACCTCTGGTGATCCACCCACCTTGGCCTCCCAAAGTGCTGGGATTACAGGTGTGAGCCACTGTGCTGGGCCAGAATACAACAATTTGAAGACGATGGAATTGCATTCCCTGGGAGAGTGGATTGGACATGGCGGTGCCACCATGAAGTTTGATGGGGAGCCTGGAGAAGGGAGTTTGAGCAGGAATAAATTCACTGATTCAAAAATTATGGACAAGACACTGTGCTAGGCCCTAGAAATATATGTTGCATAAGAAAAATGTTGTCTGCCCTTCTGGAACTTATAGTCTAGTGGAGGAGACAGAAATTAAGTAAACAAACACATTCATTAATCGTGAATTAGAAGAAGTCTGATGAAATAAAGTAATAGACCTGTCATAAAAAATAGCAGCGTATGGAGGTATGTGGCCTATTTTACATAGGGTGGTTGGATAATGCTCCCAGAAGGGGTGATATTTAAGATAATATCTGATGGATGAGAAATAGGAGGGTTAAGTACATTGCAGGAAGAAAGAACAGCAAACACACAGGCATAGAAACTGGAATGTGCTTGACTTATTTGAGAAACAGGAAGATCACTGTGGCTGCAGAAGATTGAATGAGGGGAGGGGGAATATATGAGAGGTGGGCAAGGGTTAGATCACTCAAGGCAGTATCCCTCACACCACGGCATATGGAGAGGTAGTGAGGTGTAATGCTCAATTGCGAAACAAGCAGGTTGGGGTCTCTTGTCTTATACCTAAACAACTTTAATAATTTATTTTATTGGACAATCCCCAGCAGACATTTTATTTGGGGACCCCTGAAAAACAGGTAATGAGCATTATAAATATCATATTGAGTAGATATTGGGGACTCATTTATGAGAAAATCAAGAGTTTAGAAGCTGGGAATTCAGTAGCTCAGAGTCACTGAAAACCTGAGAGAAAAACCTGGGAGTGAAAGCAGACATGTACTCTCTAGGGTAGAAGCCTGTGTCCAGAGATCTGGGACACTGGGGTTTGAGTAGTACCAGCTGAAGCTGGATGCAATAATAATTCACCTGTGTACTGTTTGTATGTTCCTTGCTAGGGCCACACTGCGTTATAGATTCTAGGCTTTATCTGAGTAAAGAAAAAGAGTAAAATGGTTGTGTTGGTATCAGCAGTTTGCATCCAGAAGCAGACATCAAGATAAAGGGTGGGATACAAAATGTTTATTAGAAATCAACACTTATGAAAGAAAAGAGGTTGAGAAGGATAAACAGAGGGAGAAGTCAAACTACTAGAGAGAATTGACAAAGCCAAGCCAATCCAGCAGAGAGCTCTGGAGTGAGTACCAGCCCTGAGAGTGTAACACTGTGGATCCAAATGGTCAAAACTTTATTTTCCAACCTTGCTCAGTTACTGCATGTATCTGCCTTGGCAAAAAGAGGGACCTTAGGCAAGGTGCCTTGCTTCAGGTGAGGCAGGCTCTGAAGAAGCAGACAGCTGGACGCCGTCCACCTCCACTGACTGTATTTTCTGCAGCTGGACAGCAAGCCTTTCCTTAAAGAGGTATGAGTGGGACAATTTTGTGTCTACAGTAAACATCAAAAAGTGGATGATAAAAAACTTTATACAAGCCTTAGTAAGCTCTCTGAGCAATTTCTACATTCTTAAAATGAGGTATTGTAAAACTATATTTAGACACGTATGTGAAAAATCTCTAGCTGGTACTTGTTCCTGTTAGAGAAGCAATAGACTTAGATTATTGAAATCACCTTACAGCCAGTGTAATAAAATATAAAAATGGCCCCCAATGCAAAGTTTAATATTAACTCTTCCAAATTCCTAGTGAAGTATCACAGAGCGCTTCTCCACTAGCAGGGAAAGAGTGTAGTTGAACAAGGACAAGGGTTTTGAGCCTGGTGCTCCTGAGGCTCCTGGGTGCATGGAGGAGATGGAGATGATAGAGAAAAGATGTTAGCTTTTCTTTCCTACATTGGTAAAAGGCTTACTAAGAAAACGGCTTAGTGGTAAGAGAAGATAGTTTTTGCAGCCTTAAGTTCTACAGTTCTAAGTAGGTGACAAGGTCCAAAAGTTAACAAAGATTTTGAGTGCATTCTTCTAGATGGTTAAATGTCAGCTTTCTCAATCTGGGACAAAAACTTACAGTCGGAGTCCCATGAAATCCATCTCTCACTTAGTTATTTTATTCTTACCCTTTGTTAATTTTTTTTTCTAGCAGACCTCACATTTATATGGGCAAAGTCTGTGTGGGTAGATGTTACTGGGAACACCTACCCATATAGACACTTGTAAATTTCACAGGGTCACAGCAAGTCAGCCCCACATTACTCACTGGCATTGATGTGATTCAGGTCTGCACTTTGTTGATTTTACTATCTTGTCAACTTTCCTTCTGATCCTTCTGCCAGGTTGGGTGTCTGGTGTAACAATAGAGGTGGTAAAAATGAGTTGAGTGTGGAACTGTGTGGGTAATGCTAATGGTAATAAAAGGAGGGGATGATTATGAGGGATGTGGGTGTTACGTAATGGAAAACGTTGGAGGAATAGTCATTAATATTTCTGGAAAAATAGATGGGCAGAAGATAGTCTTTGGAGATGCTGGACACTTGCAGAGTCTTGTTAAAAATAATCCATTTTGTTTTTCTTTTCTTCTCACATCCTTAAAGTACAGGGCATGAGTTTGCAATTATTTCTACTGTACAGCTGTTGCAGAGAGTGATTGATATGAGTGACATCTGAACAATGATTTTTATTTAAATTTTTCCTCAGTAAACATATTCAGAATACTTATCAGAAAACTTTTAATGTTGACAAAAAATTCTTTTGAGTTTAAAAGTTAGGGAGAACACAAGCTTAAAGGCAAGAAGACGACAGCAGAAGAAGCAAGCCAAATGGTTTCTTTGGCTATTCTTGTTGCTGTGTGTTTGTTTTGCATACATTCAACATTTATCTAACACTTCATAAAAATAGAAAAATTTAAAAAGTATTAGAAAGTGATATTTCTCTCTAAAGGAGTATAGTATTAAAGAAGATGGTAAAAAAATAACTTCGAAAAGGTTTGAAAGCAGTGTTCCTAAAGTTGACAGCTGCATCTGTGCATGCAGTAGTAGAAGGGTGACATGAAAAACCTGGGTAGGCATTGCAAGTGTCCCTGGGTTATGGTCTTGACTCTTCCTCTGAGATCCAGTAAGCACCTAGAAGAATGTTAAGTGGAAGTGAAGTGAGTAGACCTAGTTCCTTGACAAGCTGAGGGCCTTAGTGAGCATCTCACATTACTTCCCTGACCCGTCTGTAAAATGGGAGTATTGGGCTGCAGGAATCATTTAAGTTCCTTGTAGAGTTATCATCTGTGATTTCATGAGGCAGAATGAGCCTTTGGGGATGTTTTGGAGAGAGACCAAAATAGCGGAAGGAGAAAGGGTTTTGGAGCAGAGAGAACAGAACTATAGAACTTGATTAGAACCTTACCTCTACTTCTCGCTGCGTAACTTGTGTTAAGCTCTTGGATCCTCAATCGCTCATCTTTAAAAGGGATAAAAGCACACATACATGAGAGAGTTGTCCATGAGATGCTACATATACAGCAGTTGGCATGGTGCCTGCAGCATAATGTAATAGTCACTTGATAAATGGTAGTCATGCCCAAAAGGACAGGCACAGCACTATTTTTTCACGATTCCTGCAACTCCTCTGAATAACCCAAATACTATATCAGTCTCTCTCTCAATCTCTCTCTCTCTCTCTTTCTTTCTCTTCCCCCCCTTCATTCTGAATTCTCATGCCTTCACACTGCCTCCTCTTCTATTTTAAAAATGCCATTGTCATGTCTTCCATTTCTCCTCATGTGATAAATTATTTCCGTGGAAGCTAAACATCATATATGTTGGCTAAAGAGGTCATCTTTCTTAGACATTATTCAGTTAAGATAGATATGATAGGAAGAAAAGTAGGAAGAACAATAGATAGATAAAAGATAAAAAGATCATTGGAAAGTAACAATACCCAAAGAGGTAGGAAATCCCAGATGCTAGTATATTCATTGGTAGGAACTTTAAGGTAAAAAATTCTGTTTTCTCCTTGAAAGCGCACGGTGTAGGTAATCCCCCACTGTGTTCTTGAATTGTGTGGTCTTCCTTCAACACAACAGAGATAAACAGAGGATAAAAAATTCAGAAGGTGAAATTCTGGTAGGTACAGAAATAAAAGGGGCCATGTCTGGGGTAATTGAATTCAGAACAGCCCAACAACAGGTTTCTCATGTGGAGCAGCTGAGACCCCTACTACAACTACAGACCAACGAGGTGCTCTTTTTTGTGCTAAGGGCACATAAGGATTCAGAGAGAGTCTTGCTGCCTCTGTCCCAGGTGCCAATATGTGGGCTCATCTCTAACCCTTTCTATGACACCTCTTATTTTGACCTAAACCTTGCAATTGGGCTTCCAAACATGTTTTCTGGTCAGCATTCCACTTTCCCTCTGAGATTCTGGGGCCAGACCTGCTTAACCTCCTCCTGCTTCTCTCTCTGGTTCTTTCTAACTCTTTCCCAGGGAATCTGCATGTGTTTGTTGAGGCCTGAAACCATAGGATGATATCCTGGTGTCATAAATCTTTCCCCTATGCCTATTGAATTGTTCCCCAGCTAACTGCAATTATGTATATCTTCCTATATCCTTCTTGACTTTTCTCTCCCATAGATTTGACCTTCTCTTTCAGTTCATGCAAATCTGAACTAAGACTGAGTTTATTATACTAAGTTTATTATTTCTATTGTAAATTAATACACAGTAAATTACTGGCTATGTTCTTTGGTAAATGAAGATTCTTCAATATTCTGGAGAGGTAGTATATTGACTTGGGGATAGCCTAGGACTATAAAGTTTAGGTTTCGACCCTAATGCAAATATTTATGAAGAGTATGATTTATTCTCTTCTATACAAAGTATGTACATGTAGCTTCACTATACACTTCTCTTGGTTGTGTATTAGTCATTTTCTTTTTGCTAGTTTAATGTTTCCTCATTGGTGGCCATCAAAGATGGGCATTTTAAAAATATTTCTTTTTAAACAGAATCACCTATTGAATGATTTGTCTGTTCAACCTTTTTCTCCTGCCTATTATGCCCCAATTTGTGGTTTAGATCAGCTTCTCATGATGCAGTAATTGTGCCTGGTATTTAAAATGTGAGCCATTCTGTACAAAGCCTATGTCAAGTGCTGAACCTTATAATAATAATGCATTCTCACTGAGGTTAAGTCAGCACTATAAATGTGTTTTCCTCCCCAAGAATCTTGAGCTCATTTTGGGGAATGGAATATAACATATACGGAAGTCTTTTTTTCTCTGTTAAATGGAAAAATTTGTCACCAATGGGAAAAGCATGACCTCCCACCCCTCACTCACACCAGGTTAAACAATTTCAGGACTTTCCATAACAAGTTTGGCTCATGTATCACACAATGTCAAGATCCCGAGGTCCACTGATCACTTTCTTTTACATCATCATCAATCATTTTAGGTTTTAATGCATTCTCTGATGAAATAACTGATTACTTGGCTCAATATTTCTTTTGACTTATATAAACATTTTATTACTTGCTCTTAGCTTATGAGGCTGGCAATTTAGTTTGTGTGTTTGTGTATGGGATGATTCTTGGCATAGATTGATTAAGGGATAATTCAATACTCTGTATCAAGAATATATATTAAGGTACATAGTGTTTGGTATCCAAATCTCATATTTGTACTCCACCAGTTGTGTGACTTGAAGCGAGTAGAAAAATCTTCTGGTCATTTTTTAAAACTGTAATTTAGGGATATTGATATCTGCTTCATAGATATCTTGTCAGGATGGAATGAGTTAATGCACACAAAAAGCCTAGTACAATATCTAGCACATGTTCAATAAATGTGGTATTTTTCTTATGCACTCCCTTCACACCTTTTTTTCTGAGTGAGTGTATTTTGAGTGAATTTTTGTTAGTGGCATTTTCAAATTGTGTTGCACCAAAATTCATTTGAGAGAAGGTTGCTGCTTTCAAAATAGGTAGAAGACTCATTGGACCTTCGAATCATAGTCATCCTTGTTCAGGTGTAGAAGTATTTATAGGAAGACCACTTTATTGATTAGTTTTATGTCTACTAGATAATTAGCCAAGTGTAATATATACATTGTCTTTTTCATACCATTGACTTGTGTTATCCTTAAGCCTGAGAAGACACTATATTCTTTAGGAGAATAATAGGTTAAACTATATTCTAAAACCAGTTTTTCTTGTTTTTAAACTAAAACTTTTATTTACTAAATTATTTTTATTTATTAAAAGTGCCCTTTTAGTCTTATTTAGATGTAGGTTTTGCCATGTAACATACTTGTACACATATAAAAAGGCAAATAATAACACACAGTAAATTGGTTAAGGTGTCTTAAAATTTTAACACTTCAAACTGAATCTTGTTGTATTATTCTTTGACTCAGAGTTTCCATTGTCCGGGTTTTGTCCCCAAACAATATTGTCCTATATAGCCTTTCAAGTGTATTGGTGAAGAATCGTTTTTTTGCAAGAGGGCTCAACTTTTTTCCCTGGGATTTTCCTTCAAGCCCCTGATGCTCACTCTGAAAATTTTGATGGTTATGCACAGGCAATAAAAAGCATATCCATTTGCTGCCTGAATTCCTTGCACATCTACATTTAGAGGTGTTTAAATGTGAAACAACCACACACAACAATTGTGTCTTAAGGTCAGTAAAATACAGTAATGATCAACATAGTTATGTTGAATTAATGGAAGATTGATGATACATCTATTTTGAAGCCTACATCCCAGATTCTTCATAGGATACCAGAATTACATTTACATTTACAGCATCCCAAATACCATGTGTCCAAATGATGGGAGGGCTTGGAAATATCCAGGATTGCGCTTCTTTACACATAATTGAATAGACTTCAGCCTCCTCTCCCGCAGCCCCAAGCAACAGCTAACTCTGTGCTAATAACAGATAATGTGCTCTGACTCCTGGTTGCCAGCAGTCTTCAGTGGCCTCTAGAGAGGGTAGAAGAGAGCAAAATATTTAATTTTGTTTAATATCTGACCTTTAGAGTGAAATATTTTGAAATGCTGGGAAGATATTTACTGGTGAATTTGGACCTTTCACTGAGGACTTTTCTGACATAGGAAAATCCCCTGCAGGAGACATCAAATGAGGGATGCAAATGTCCCCTTGCTTTAGAGGTGGAAGGACTCTGATGGACCTCTCTAGAATAGCAGACATCACAGCAATCAGCAAATGCCTTCATATATTTTTAACATATGTAGCAGTAGCAAAGTTGGGCAAATCACAACGTGCATGTTCTAATAACATTAGAACATTATTACCTAGTAATAATGGCAATGAAAATTACAAGATGGGCCACTATGTGCCAGACACTATACTAATTCCTCTGCACATGTTAATTTACTCTATGCAACATATTTTTGTTATGGGAACTAGCTAAAGATCACACCCAGCTCTCTCAAAACCATTCTACTGATAATAATTCAATTTTATACAACTGATGGTTTTTGATCCACTTTAAAAAATGTAAAGTCAGTAAAACAGCAATACTTAATGACACTGATCCAGGGACAAAACATTTCCTTGTAACGTCTTAAACCTAAATTAATTATTTTCCTTTTTCTTTGCAAATTCCATACTAGTCTTGTTCACCTGCATCTATAGTTGAAATAATGAGATCCGTATTGTAATTTTTCCCATCTTATTATAAGCATACTTTCTTGTTTTCAATTAAAATTTTGGACCAAAAATCCAAAAATGCTTCCTAATGGCATTGACTTGTTGGTCTCTAATTCTTATTGTTGTAAATAAAGTCATTACATTCTTTTCCAGACTCTAGAATCCCAGGGGGCATATTCATTAAAGGTCAACCCTGACAGGAAGTCTTGAGAAATCTGACCTTCTTTTCTATGTCCCCTCATAGCCTAAAATCCCCTTGTCCTACATAATCCCAGCCCTAGTGATGGTGGGGTGCTGAAGGGAAGATTTTGATTATGTTTAACTTCAGTTTTCAAAGTGGTGACTTATCAGAAGACCTATGCTGGTCTTGCTTGAGAAGAGGATATCTGATATTAATTCACATATTTCTTGCCCAAGATTTTGATTGTTTTCTTAATTATTATTGAGCATTTTCACCAAGAATGTTGAATCGTAAAATTTCAAGTCCCACAGTCTGTTGCACCTCTAATTATAAGTAAATGATTTCAACTTCTGCCAGTCCTGGGGCATTGGTTTTATAGATTAGTCAGCAGGCTTATCCATCCCTGACTTCTCCATTTCCTTTTCCAGGAGAAATCACTGGAATTAACACTTCTGAGAGGGGCACTGGCTTCCATGGGGACATGCCCGCTCATTCTTTGTCCTTGAAAACCCCATTCAATGACCTGTCAAAGAGCCTGAGCAGAAAGGGAGCTTTGCAGCAGCTTAATTGAAAGCTCTCCAGTACTCTCTCCATCAAGTAATACATGCTAAGCCATCTCAACCATTAGCAGCTCCTGACCAAACTCCATCTTCTCTCAGAGGTTGTTGGTGAAGTTTTGAACATGTTTTACTCTGTTAGTACAGGGTCCCTTACCCCATATTGACTCCTGATTCCTTAGAAATGATGTGAGATCAGAAGGGAGCTGCTGTTTTGCTTTGATAAATCTGTCTGTCTCTCTTTTTCTTTTGAGTGGCATTACATATATTAGTAATTAAAATTGGAGGTAAGAAACTGATTTGATGACAAATGACTGAAGAAAGAAAAAGAGGTTTTCCTACAAATGCATGTGAGGCAGGATTTTTCACGGCAGGTTATTAAGGTCATGTGCTTTGTTTCTAAATGTTTGGAGTGGTGGAGATTGGATCACATTGGAATAAATGTTATTCTTCAATTGCTAAATTTTTCATGTGTGTGTGTGTGCTGTCTCCATCACAATGCATCTGGATTTTCTGGGTGAATTAATTTTCTTAAAACTGAGGCCATTCGATTACTTGTCCACCATACACTGTCTGGGACTCTTATTGCCTGTGATTCAAGCTCACAGTCTTCTTTCCAGTATTCATGAATTTCCACATATGGCTTCTGGCTTACTCTCTATGTCTCACTGATCATTGTTTCCTTTTACCTTCTTTCCCCTCTCTCTGGCTTCTCATTGACCCTGCTGTACATGCTTTGTCTCAATTTCACATTCCAACCTATGGTTTTTCTGCCTTCTACCCTGCCACTAACTTCTGCTATAAAGTCATGCACATCCTTTTAGGTCATACTTAAACCTCACCTTCTTGTGGAAATCTTGTGTTAAGAAACATTAGCCTCAGAGTAGACAGATTCAGTTCTGCCACTGACTAGTTATATAAGTCATTTAACCTCTGTAAGCTTTGGTTTTCTCATTGGTAAATTAAGAATTATTCCTATCTCATAGAGATGTGAGTTTTAGAGAGATCCTAAAGGAAATCCCAACAGGCATTTGTGCATGCATACAAACACACACACACACACACACACACACACGCACACACATCATTGGGTATGGAGGGAGCCATCATTTAGTAAGCTGAAAGTACCTAAGCAGTGATTGCTCTAGACAGACACTTTGCCTTATGAAGATATAGAAATGCTCAATAACTAATGGATATGATTACTTATATTATTAACTTTTATATATATATTTTTTATTATTATACTTTAAGTTCTAGAGTACAATGTGCACAATGTGCAGGTTTGTTAACTTTTTCTCTTAATCGATTTAGATGCTATTTTGCTTTTCTTTCTTTCAACTATTAGCACCACTTTTTCTGTTTGTATCATTCGTTTTGATGTTTAATGTTATATATCCTTTAACAACTTTTCTCATTCTAAGTGTGTGTGTGGGTGTGTGTGTGTTCATTTGGGTGTGTGTAGCAAACAAAAGTTATGTGGAGGTGGAATTCTTTCTAATCATATTTGCAAGTTCCTACAAATTATGTAGTTAACATGCTATGTTTATTGAATAAAAGGAGAGAATTGGGAAAGGAAATAAGAAAGGAAGAGGAGGAAGGGAGGGTTAGAAAATAATAGCCAATATAGTCTTCTTTGTTTTTCTCCCTTCCTTACAGGGCTCAAAACATGTATTAATAAATATCCCTTCAGCTGCCCAGGAGAAGCCACTTCTTGATAATGAGGTTCTCAACAGGGCTAGGGCCACACTGATAAAAATTCCAAGAATAGCAGTAGAAAGTCAAATTAATACACAGCGTCTGGGCCATCCAGCAATGCAGCCAAGGCCACTAGCAGATGAATAATCAGAAGTATCTGGAATCCCAAGCTGTCCGTCTATCATGGTTAAAGGCCAGGTAGTAGGTGACCACCATCTCTTGGGAGACTTATTTCAAGGTCAGGGCAGAAGACAGAGAGGTTCTAGATGACTTGAACTTGAATGAAGTTCAAATGAAAATAATAGGAGCTCAATAATTTTGGAATTTGATTGGTCCCAGACCACATGCCTAGAATTGAGTGTTAGGATACTTATTAGATCAGTATTATTAGAAGGATATTAAAATATGTTGATTCACAAACCTGGGAACTGCATGTCCAGATTTACAAAGGCAAATATGTCTCAGTCAATCTCTGGCCAGATGTGTTCCATTCATGATGAAGTATCAGTCTGTGTGTGTGTGTGCATGTATATAGTAGGGTCCACTCTAAGACTTTCTCATGTTATTTAATACATGTGGGTACTTATCAACTGAGTGGTCATAGATTGGGGGTGAATGAATCTTTTGTGATAGGAATTGGTGTTCCCAGAAGCAAGAAGCAGATCTAAGAAAAGGCCACATGCAGACAGCGAAGATGGCAATTTAAATAGGTCATATTAAGTGGTTGAGGGTAGAAAATAAGTTAAAGCTATGAGCCACTAGCTGGAAATCATAGCTTTGGGTCCTGAGATTCAGAGACCAAAGCTAAGCTGAGATGAGCTAATGGGAAATACATTTACTTAAAGTCAGATGTGAGTACCAAATGGTTTGAGAGAAGGGAAGGAGCCGAGAGGAGGATATTCAAGTCTAGTTTCAGGTGTCTCTTCTATTGCAGGCTGATGGACTATGGTTCCTGACCTAGAACATCTGAGAAAAGCCAAGATCTATCAGCCATTTATAGCAAGAAGAAATAACACCTTAGTCTTACAAAAAAAATCTCCCTCCATTATACAACCATAGGCAGGACTAAGTTACAGATGTGCAACTCTTAGCCATTTAGTGATAAAATACACTCACACACAAACACAAATACAGACAAAACCCCAAGAAATTAATGTCATTATTAGCTACCTTGTCCAGCGAAGACAATGTCTGTTAGGGAATTTCCAGTTTGTAATGAGCTCAGTACTTTAGCTAATCGTAAAATTGTCCAGTTTACATTAAATTTAACTTTTTTCCCATGTTGTTTTGAGTTTTGACTTACGGAACTTAATATCAAAAATCTCCAGGATTGAAACATAGCTCCATTTGTAAAAATGCACACGGCTGCACCTGTCATCTGGATGAAACTGCATTGGAACTGAAGACAGTGATGATAGAAAGAGAGGAAGTGATGCTAAGGTTAACACATGGGTGACATAGAGCTTGCTCATGCTGTAGGACCTATTTTCAAAGCCTGGGCACTTATTTTAGAAACTGTGAAAGATTTCCTAGAGATTTACCTCAAGAAATCGGTCCTGAGGCAGACGGGGTTCCGAAATGCTTTCTATCATGCCTTATGTAACTCAGGGAAAAAAATATTATTCCCCTGAATTGGGGGTGAGACAGGAGATGGATTTGTACAGTGACTAACTGCTTAAATACTTCAAGACTTGCTGCCTTCCCCCCTCTTCGAAGAACAGGAAATAATAAATCAGAAGAGTAGGGATTTACTTCCATTTCAAGGTGCCAATAGCCAAGCAGGTTAGCTGGCCCCTTGCCTAAGCTTTTGCATGTGGGAGGTGGAGCTGGAAAGAGACAGGCCTCCAGTGCTTCATATGGGATTGAGGGCTCTGAAGTCTGATAATACGAAAGGGAATAATTCTCATTGGAGTTACTTATTTTGTGGAGGTCAATAGACTAGTGCGAAAAGAAGAAAACTAGAGGCTCATATCTCCAGGCCTGTGAGGTGAATCCCCCTTGAAATTAGAATATGTTTTCTAGATTACCTGGGTATCTGGGGAAACATCTCTTACATTAACCTGACTATTACCACAACAGGCGTAAGGTCAGGACATTTGGGAAGGATTCACTGGGGTGCTCTCTGGTATGGAATTCCAACAACGTTTGCATTCCATTAGTTTGTAAGTGAAATTCCATATTTCCTCTATCGGAATTCTATCTTTTACCCTCACTCCCTACCTGCTGCCCCTTACTGAGCCCATCACTGGCTTCTGAGCTACAACATTCCCCTTTCTAAAGACAAGCCCAATCCATTGAGCAAAGTGAATGACTGAACCTGTTAAAAACAAAAGGAACAGTAGGTAAGCAGCTCAAATTATTGAAATACTCTTACCAAGCTGTCACAGGTTCAGCAGAAATAAATCTTTCTGTGTCTATAAGCCAGAGTCCACCCTGTCCCCAGGGAGCTATCAACTCGCCCTGTCCCATTCCAGGGGCCAAATATTTGTGGGGGAAGGGGTGTGAGCAGAATTATGTAAGTGCATAAGGCAATCATCCTTTCCCTGGAGACAGGAAAGTATGGTGTGTTCTTAAGTTCCAAATCCTGGTTTTACAGACTGCCAATCTGGAGTGATTTTGAGCCAAGGCTCTGTGGCTTGAGATGCCTCTCTACTCCATCTTTGGGCCATTTTGTAGAGTGGCGTGCTCATCTGCACATCATTTTTCTTGGAGTTTATCAAAGCCCTTTTCTAAGTCAGGAATGTATCCAGTCCTGACTCCCACTGGCCTACTCAGCTGCTGTTCTCTTGCTCCCCACGATAGCCTTTCGCTGTCAGTATTTCACAATCAGCTTCTCCCAAGCCCAGCTGGATCCTTCTCACCAGGGTATGGGACTTGGCCCACCACCACTATTCTCCTGACTTTGCACATCTGCTCTTTTTTCAATCCACTTGCAAATCTGGGTAAGAGAGGCTTCCCCTGACACCTCCTTCCCAGAACCTGCATCAGCAAGGCTTGACCCTTGTCCTCCTCGGTTGGAGTGCACAGATTGAAAGTTCAAGCCATAAAATCAAATCTCTTAGGCATTAGTGTACCACACACTGATGGATGAGCTTTGGGAAGTCTTCTCATCAATGCTCTGAACCAGCACCTCACCAAGCTAGACTGGAGCCTGAGACAAAAGGAAAAAAAAAATCAGCAATACTGATTGTGTCTTCATTTAAAATTTTGATATTTTATTGTAATACTTTTTCATTCTGATATTTAAAAATCTTGATTACTGAGGTTTTGGTGTCTCCTTTAATTTTGCACCCAAGTCAAGTGTCTTACTTGTTTCATCTAGTTCCAGCACTGCTCTGAAACTTGGTTTATTTATCTATAGAGTGGGAATTAAAATAGTGTATACCTTGTACTTTTTTGAAATACTTAAGGGAAATTGTGTGTCTAAAGTCTAACAGTGTACCTGACCCATTGTAAGCACTCATATCTTGCCTCATTTTATTATTATATGTTAATATGCTGTATTTCCTTAGAATGTTCATCAAGTCCTTCAAGCTCCGTGAGGAAAGAGTTTGGATTACTACTGCTATATCTGTCTGCTGTTGGATATTGTTTTGCACAGAAAAGTTTCTCCATCAAAGCTGTTGTCTATTAATTGTGGAATTAGAACAGATTATACTTAAGATCCATTTCTTCTACTGGTCCCTAGAAATCTGTCTGATTACTTCTGCATCACCCAGCTGACAAATATTTATGTGTAGTATTGCTGTCACCTGTTTTATAACATTTTTTTTAACTTGAGACCTACTTTCAATAGTCACTATGTTTTCTCTGTGCCTTTCTGGTTCATCGTTACCACACATACATGGGATGACCCCTACATCTGGGAAAGAATTCCAGCTCCCAGACTATTCAACCCACTGTGCTGGCAGCATTCCATGAGCTCGTCTTGGGAAATGATAATTGATTACTCTGGGGGGAAAACTCCATCTCAACACCAGCTGGCAGCCAGACCCTGCCCTAGAGCCCCCAAATGAGTCTCCAGTGAAATTCTCGGCAGGGACAGTGTACCCGTGCATGGGGCTGACATTATCTTCATGTCCAAATCGTTGCTAGGTGTGTGTGCTTTCTTAAACATACTCGAGTTTGTCATCAATAAAAGTCTCAGAGTGGTGAATTTTCCAGTGGCTACCCCAGAGAGCCCTGTAGTATTTTTTTCTTGCAGATTTAAGCAAGCAGCATGTTTTTCCATCCAACCCCATTTGAACAAATAAGCCAGGTAATAAAGAAACAACCCTGAAATGCAACAGCCTTGCCCTGGTAGCAGAAAAGAAAGAAAGGACCACCTTGAAGAGACCAGGTTTGAGAAGCAGTGAGGTGAAGGTGGATATTTGTATTCTGGAACAGATGGACACCTTGTTCTCAGGGATGTGTTGACTGTTACCTATTAAGTCCATCAAGGCTACCATCCTAACTACTGGGATTTGAAAAGGAAAACAAAAATGCTGATTATTCACTTCAAATGAAAGTGAGTATTTTTTTTTTTTTTGACAGAGTCTCGCTCGGTTGCCCAGACTGGGGTGCAGTGGTGTGATCTTGGCTCACTGCCACCTCTGCCTCCTGGGTTCAAGCAGTTGTCCCATCTCAGCCTCCCAAATAGCTGGGATTACAGACACACACCACCATGTCTGGCTAATTTGGGTATTTTTAGTAGAGACAGGGTTTCACCATGTTGGCCCAGATTTCACCATATTGGCCGGGAGTCAAACTCCTGACCTCAAGTGATCCACCCGCGTCGGCCTCCCAAGTGCTGGGATTACAGGTGTGAGCCAGTGCACCCAGCCGAAAGTGAGTACAATTTTAAAACATGAATGTGATTTCCATTCTCAGAAGTGGTTTCTGGATGCCAAAAACATATTTTGGAATAAATATGATTTTGCTGAATAAAATTCTTGAGAGTTCTTCCACTATTTACACAGCACATTCATTCACATGAACACATGCCTGGATACTGTCATATCCATCAAGTCATGAGATGCCGAGACCTCACCGTCCACTAGACATGAACAGTGAGGAATAAAGAATAAGAGAATGAATACACTATGTCACCCCTACACAAAACCCTAATTTATGAATATCTCAAATTCTTTAAAACTCAAAAATAAACTTTACCTGTAATATCCAGTAGTTTATTATATCTTGTATATTTGTGATTGTATCAGTTTGAGCTGATATTCCTAGCTCTGTTGATCTGGTCCCCAGTGCAGTAGCACAAAGGAAGAACTCACCTTCAGTGCCACATAAATAGATGTGCGTTCTCTCTCCTTGGTCGTGATTACTGTCAAGGTTGCGTGTGGTTTCTATTTTAGGCCCAAATGGCAGAAAAACTGCTTCTGCAGCCAAGAAGCAGCATTGTAGGATGCCAGTGTATTCTGGTGGAAATTACATTTTAAAAAGGAAAACTTTGACATACATCTGGCAATAGAACCATCCTGAACATATGGCAGCCTGGTAGGTAGGAAGTCGTTGGAACATGGTAACTTGAGCTGAGTGCTGCCCCATCGTGTTCTGGGGTGCATTTGGGAAAGATCCTGCAGTGAGACCATGTCTCTTCCAACCTGGTGTGGCACATTCACTGGGGAGGGAAGCTGGGTGAAACGCTATTCTTGAATGTATGACCTTCTCCTGGCAACCTCTGATCGACTCCAAAAAGCTAGTCTTAGTGGTGCAAGCGGGTGGGAGCAAGATCTCTCCGTGGGAGCCAAACATGTAATCACGACTCAGCCTATACATAAGACACTGGGAAGCTGGAGAAACCCAGGGACTCAGAATCCCAGGATTCTGGTGCTAGAGAAGACAGGCACCCAAAGTCAAAGTCCTGCTAGTGGATGGGGGACACATCTCCATGGTTCAGTTTCTGCTTGATCATGTCTGCTAACAGGAAGTTCAGCACCTCTTGTAAGGATCAAGGAAAAATCAGAGGAAAGAGGAAAGATGTATCTGTCTTCACTGTAAATTCATGAGGTTGTTCCCAGGACCCCAAGAGTTGTATTTATTAGAGGGTAATCCTCTCACCTCCTGGATTTCACACCTCCAGCCACACCACTTTCCACTCCCCCACATCTTATGTGTCTGGTTGTTGGGGCTGCATCACACATAGCAATGTTAGGATCACAATACCCTGAAGGATTGGCACTGCCACCCCTATTCTTCAGACAGGGGCATTAGGGTTCAGTGTATGAGCTTCTTGATCAAGATCACACAAGTGGTAAGTGACACAGTCCGGATGCAAGTCCAGATCTGTGTGACTTCAAAAACTGCTGTTGCTATTAGACATAGACAGTCTCAAAAATGTTTGCTTTTTCTGTATCCCATGGACTGCAGACTAAACTATGAGGATGGTAGTTTCTCACCTCTGATCCTTAAGCTTACTCTGGATGGGGTATGAGCCTTTTAAAGTTTCAGAAACTTGGTCTATGGGCCTTTGTTCTCTTCTGATTAAGTAACTGAACACTTTGTATAGCTTCTTAATGCAGCATGCACTTTCCCTCAGCACAGGCATTCATACATGCTCATGCGTATACTCTTAGCATGTCCTCACCACCTTACAATATATACACGCATGCCTTCACCCATCACCCCATACATGTACTCACTCTCATACTCAGAGATAGATTCCTATCTGCCTCCTTCAGAGCAGTTTTCTGTTCACATCCATAACTGAGGGAATCGTTAACATGTAGATTTAGCAAATACAGGCTGTGTTCCAGAAATCTTCATTTTTGACACAGCATCTAGGTGATTCTGATTAGGTAATCTGGGCACCATTGCTTGGGAAACATTGTCTTGGCTGTGAGATCCTTAAAGAGAAGCGGCGTTTCTTTTTTCTTTTTACTTTTTTTTTTTTTTTTTTTTTTTTTTGAGACGCAGTCTCACTCTGTTGCCCAGGCTGGAGAGCGGTGGCGCGATCTCAACTCACTGCAACATCTGCCTCCAGGTTCAAGTGATTCTCTTGCTTCAGCCTCCCGAGTAGCTGGGACTACAGGCACGTGCCACCATGCCCAGCTAATTTTTTGTATTTTTAGTAGAGATGCTGTTTCACCATGTTAACCAGAATGGTCTCGATCTTTTGACCTTGTGACCTGCCCGCCTCGGCCTGCCAAAGTGCCGGGATTACAGGCATGAGATACCGTGCCCGGCCTGAGGAGCGGTGTTTCTTACGCATTTCTATTTGCCCAGCACTAGTTACAGGCTAGGTGCAGGGTAGACAGATATTTGGCAACGGTGGGTTGAATGAATGCCTCTGTCACCGATTCTTATTCACTCAGGGATGATTATTTCAAGAGAGGAAAAACGTCAAGAGTCCAGAGGCTACCAAGGTCTCACTTGGCCTTCAGGGTCCTGTTGTCTGAACTACTCTTTAAAAAGGACTTTGAAAATTCATGAGGACTCTCATTATTTGCTCCTTGCTCTTGGGCAGACTCTATTCCTAAAAAACACTGAAGGGTTACTTCTACAGTATTAGAGTTTTTCCTTTCTTCCCCATGAAGCTCATCACAAACTGATATCCCTAGGAGATCAAAGACTCTGATGGAAATGGTCTCTGCCACACTACCTGCCCAGCACAAAAGGAATCACTTCTTTCTTTTTTCCTAGGTCTCTCACCACCTTTCATGTCTTCCCCTAATTGATAATGAACCTTGCTTGTTTTTGCTCGTCCATATCAGCTCCAATGCACAGGTCTCGTAATGAGTAGCCCATTGTCCCAGGCTACTTGGGACTTTTGCATTTCTCCAGAACTAGAATTCTCAGCCATCCTGTCCCTGAAGGTATGCCATCTATAAGGTTCTGCAAGTATCAAAGTGAATCTTTAGGTGCACTGCCAGTGATCCATGGCCAGTCAGACATTCACATATTTGCTGGCATCCTCTAAGAGTGAGCTCAACCAAATAAAATACCATCCTGCACTCGTAAGAGACTTTTGTAAAACCTGTTTCTGAATTTCTGATCCTCTATGTTTATGGTACTATCCTGGTTTTCTAGTCTGGCAACTGCACCAAGAAAGGAAATGTGGTTATTGAGGGTACTGAGGGATGGCGTCATCTCGATGACCTCATGCTGGTTCCCTTTTTATTAAGTGTTCATGAGGCTTCATTTCACTTGCCTACTGTCAATTTTTTTTTTTTTTTTGAGGTGGAGTCTCACTCTTGTCGCCCAGGCTGGAGTCCAGTGGCACAATCTCAGCTCACTGCAACCTCCCCCTCCCTGGTTCAAGCGATTCTCCTGCCTCAGTCTCCTGAGTAGCTGGGATTACAGGCGCATGCCACCACACCTGGCTAATTTTTGTACTTTTAGTAGAGATAAGGCTTTGCCATGTTGGCCAGGCTGGTCTCGAATTCCTGACCTCAGGTGATCTGCCCACCTCGGCCTCCCAAAGTGCTGGGATTACAGGCATAAGCCACCACGCTCAGCCTCTCAAATTCTTTTGACAAACTGTGGCAGGCTACTGGACTATGGTAAACAGTCTACCTCTTCTCTTTCCTTACACACCTAGACACCACTTACCTGTTTTCAGCACTCTGTAAGTCCTACTACTGCCCACTGGAGATGTTTCCCCTGATACTCCCAACATGAACAGTGGCATCTAGGCCAGAGTAGATTTTGTGAGCAAACCAATGCTTGGCTATCCTGCCTAACAGCTTTTCAAACTTCAATAGGAACTTCCAATTGTGAGCTAGGAGATCCCCAGGTAGCATGGTGCCCGGGGATGGATATCTTTAGGAAGCCACAGTGTCCCTTCTTTGTTTGGTAGCTACATCAGCTATGCTAGAAGCTGTCCCTAGACCAAGGGGAAAATAATGTTTCCCTGACAGATCCCAAGGAAACATCAGACTCATTTATAAGTGGGGGGAGAGCTTTGTCTATGCATCTGTGGTCTGTTAAGAATAATACTTCTATCTACAGGCGTTCATCCTTATTTTGATGATGATAATAAAACATCCATTATAAATTTCTAGGTAACATAAAGAATGACATTACAGAATGGAAGGAAGAAGGAGGTGGGCATTCGGAAAGGATAAATGTGATAGAAGTAGGTACTTGGAATCAAAAGTGATCATTTGGTCCAGGACACAGTTTAAGTCAAAGGAACTAGTCGCCTTAGAATAAATATTGTATGATCATATTAGTGCAAAAAATATGTATTTCTAGCAACTACATCCCATAAGTTTTTTTGCATATGCTTGAGACATTTCCAGAAGGACAGAGAAGAAAATAATAATTATGGTTACTTTTGGTGAGAGGGACTGAGGATAGAAAAGTACTTTAAAATTTTACCTTTCAAAATTGGTACTCATTGAAGTTTTTACCTTAAAAAACATGTCCCCAAATATTAAGTATTGCATAAATCGAAAAGCAAATGACAATAGTTGCACTTAGGAAATGCAAAACCCTGAAAGTTTTGTACCCAGCAGCTGCATACTGTGGTTCTCGCTTTTCATAGTGAAGTTCAGAGGAAGTCCAGAGGTGTTCTTGTGTATCACAAGCCCTACTGCTCTGGAAGGGGGCCTGGGCCACTATAAGATCAGTCTTTCCGTGCTCATTTCCAAATCCACAAGGTTTAACTGAGTTCATTTAGCTCCCCTGTGTCCAACCACACAGTCTGGATAGGGGTGGTGCTTGGTTTCCCAATAATCAGTACTTCTTCCTTCCCCTCCTGGTACTGGAGGAAATTTAGAAGCATGTATTTTAACTGCTGGGCTTTGACACTCAGGCAGGGTTGCTGGTAGATCAGACTTAGGGTTAACTCAGTGATTCGTACCCCTCCTTTTCATCTATCTTCCAGCCGGGAATCTTTATAAGAAGGAGGATATGTGGAACTCTAGGGGCAGTGGACCCTAAAATTCATGTGCAGAGCAACCACCAGTAAAGTATATTAAATGCTCATTCTCAGGGCCCACCTCTAGAAGTCAGGATACAGCAAATCTTGGGAGGAGTCCAGGAATTTGCATTTTAACAAGTTCGCTAGATGATTTGGATGCAAGAGACTCATGAAAGCACTTATAGAGAAAATCTGTTGGAAGGACTATAGAGAAATAGAACACTATGATGTAAAAAAGGGCTGATGCTACAGGTATTTTCCAAAACTGGGAGAAACAGGAAAAATTGGAACATAATAATAATAAAGACAAACACTTAGCACTTATTGCATGGAAAACTCCATTTTGAATGCTTGACATGTGTTTACTCATTTAACCCCCAGCACTCCCATGACATCTTTACATGCTTTACATGAGGAAATGAAGATGGAAAGTTTAAACAACTTCCCCTAGGTCATCCAGCTACAAAGTGACAAATCAAGAATACAGACTCACATGGTGCAGCTCCAGAATCCACGCTCTTAACCACCATACTCTGGGACAGGAGCTGACAAACCATAACCGCCGGACCAAATCCAGCCTGCTTCCTGTTTCCGTTAGGCTATATTAGCTAAGAATGCTTTTTACATTTCTAATGTAAAATGTAAGAAAGACCGTTTGTCCTTCAGTGAGAACAGTTGTTGAAAGAGTTGAAGACATTAACTCTTATTCCATGAAGCCTGAAATATAGGACTACAGGTTGAGTATCCCTAATTTGAAAATCCAAAATCCAAAATGCTCTGAAATCAAACTTCTTGAGCACCAACATGACACTCAAATGAAACGCTCATTGGAGAATTTTGGATTAGGGATGCTGAATGAGTAAGGATAATGCAAACGTTCCAAAATCTGAAAAAAAATCTGAAATCTAAAACACTTCCAATACCAAGCATTTCTAAAATGGGAACCTAACTCATATCAGATTCTTTACAGAAAGAGTTTGCAGACTTCTGATTGAGTAGAGAATAAACTCAAGGCTTTTGTTTCTCTGAAAGTATTACCGGTTGATTCTAAATCATTTCACTTGGGGGGCTGTGTAGAAACTCATGAGATCAAAAGCCAGCTCAAGTACATCTATGCCCCCTGGCACTCCTATATTGTAACTGATGTTGCCAAGTGTGATGCTGGCAGCCTTGGATCACTTAATAATTGTTGTTTAGGACCAGTGTAACTAATGATAGACTTTCTCCACTTATATCAAATTCCTTAAAAATGGTAACATACAACTGGGGCATAATGAAGAATTCCTCACATAGGAAAAATAGTGAAAATATGTTCTTGACCCTCATTTCAGTCATATTTATTCTGTTGATGTTATTATAACAATGCCACCAGTTCTCTACTGCTGGTAAGAGTCACAATAAAGCTGAAGGAACTGAGGCTAAAAGATCAAATAACTTTCTCATGGTCAGTTACATAGTGAAGTGGATAAACCTCAGGCAGTCAGATTCTAGAACCTGTGTGCCTAACCACTACGATGCAGTACAGCTTCCCCAGAAGGTCTCTGTGAGCTAGTTAGCATTCCTTTCTCCATTTTACAAATAAGGAAACTGGCTGTCAGAACATTTAAAATAATTGAACAAGGTCATTCACCTCTTCAGCCTATTTGAGTGCAGATCTGACGCAGTCAGAATTCCAGGCACGTTCCACTATTTCACTGGATCATAAAATGACCCTCCCAGGACAGCCCCAGTCTAGTGGCTAAGCCCTCCTTCCAAAGTCTGAGGTGTGCTGCATGTCCTTGAGAAGGACCACAGAGCATCATAAAGAGATCCTATCGGCTCCATCCTTAACAAAGGAATTTTGGGTAGTCTGGAGCCCTGATTTTCCACAACTCAGAGCAGGCATTAGAGGATACTACAATTCTACTGCTCACAGCCATGTAATCCTGCATAAGGGACTTAATGTGCCTGCCTCTCAATCTCCTCATCTGTAAAATGGTAATGATAATAACACCTATTTTACAGAGTTATTGAAAATATTTAATGAGATAATTCACATAAAGCACTTGGCAATTCACAGCATATAGTATGTGATCAAAAAATGGCAGCTATTACTATAATTAGATAAAAGGACCTGAGGCTATTATTAGATTAGATGGGATAAAGAAATAATAAAATGAAATTTAATGAGTGTAGATGATGTGTCAGGCACTGCATTAAACTTTTAGGTTCAGTTTCCTTTGAAATCCTTAAAATTGTCTCTAATTATTCCTTTTCTATAGATGAGGAAACAAAAGCATGTTCAGAGAGGTAAAGTTACTCACTCTAGGTTACACAGAAAGGTTTGGACTGGAACCCAGGTCTATTTAATCCTGAGTTTGCATTCTAACCCACAGTGCTATACCAACTCTCTCAAATTTCTGCCCCTTTTTAGAGCCCAAAAATATAGAGCAGAGCTCCTAAAACAAGTTTTAATAAAAGGGGAAATAATGACATTTATGCTAAATTTTATTAGACTTTTTTATTAAGAAGAAGGTGTATTCAGTGAAAACCTACTTATTAAAAAAGAGCTTGAATAATAATATACTATATGAAATAAAAAATAGTGTCTACTACTGTCAAGCCAAAGATAGATTATGATGTGTTAGACGGGTACAAATGATTCTGTAGTCCTGATCCAGGAAAAGATTTGGAGGCAATTTTGCCTCTTAAGAAAGTATTGTACAACACTCACTTACAGAAGATTTATTAGAAATGAAATGGAAACTCTCTCAAGATTTTATTAAGAGATATAGTCTTCCTGCATAACTTCTTTCCCTCCTGGACGTTTATGAATGTTTGGCTGGAAGGGTGGTCTGGGAGCTGGGTTTTGATATATGTGACTCCTACAAGGAGATGCCAAGGGAGACATTTTTCCATCAAAAGCCATATGCATGCAGGATCCTGGAAAGTCTTCCAGCAACTGCGGACACTGGCAATAAAGATGATCTAGGAAAAACACAGGCCAGCCTGAACCAGTCACTGTGAATGCTGGGAGAATCAGTGGCAAAATACATAAAGCCTTCAGAACTTTGTATGGAAAACAGTAAGGGTTGAATTCATTTTGCTACCTGATCGAGAGTTTTCCAGAACATGGCCATAGCCAGAGAGTAGCAAAGTGCTTTGTTAATTCAACCACCAAGTACGCTATTCAAAACCACAAGAGAGTCGAAATGAGAAAAGCGTATGTCCTCATGGCTATACACCCCACTCACATTGGGGCCACTCCTTTGCTCTACATCCAAACGGAGCCTCCCACAGAGCCATGGACAGGACGATCTTAGGTTGTGACCAGGGCAGCCTAGTGGCCCTCAGTGTGTCTTCATGGTATATGTGGCTGGACACTAATCATGATAAAATACCTTAAAGTGGGAACAGAAATTTGGAATGGAATACTACACTACTACCACTGCTACCAAAAACAACAACAGAGAAAAGCATGACTTTTGTATTTCTGTCACTTTTCTTCCTCTCCAAATCTGAAGCTCTACTCCCTTTTGATTTCTGAGCCCAGTACCCACTGATAATTTTAAGTTCCTTGATGTTGCCATTTGCCATAGGACTTTTGCACAAACTGTTGCCATTATTTGGAAAACTTTTTGATTTGCTTTCCCCGTGCCTATGCAATGTCTATTTATCCTTTGGGCATTAGTTTAAATGGCACCTTCTCAGGAAATCTGTGACACTTGCCTCCCTCCTCCCAGTTTAGAACACACTCCCCGTCATCCACATTCATACCTTTGTGGTCTCTACATTTTATATCACATATTATAGATATACTGTGTATTATTTGTGTGATTATCTGAGTAATAATTATTTGATGAATATCTGTCTGTATGCCTACTAGCTTCCAAGGAAAATAGCTGTGTCTGTTCTTCTTTATTATTTTATTCTTAGGGCCTTCACCAGACTCTGGCAAGGAGTAAACACCTAATATTTGTTAATTAACTGGCTAAATATTAGTAATAATTATAATATAGAACCGCCTAATGGCTGCTATGCCCTGTGCTAAGCACAATTCCTAATTCTTACACAAACCAACATGGTTTACCCTCCATTTACAGATGAAATAATCTGTAAAATGGCCATATTCACAGTTAGGTAGTGGTGGAACTGGAATTCAAATTCAGGTCAGCTCGACACTGCAGGTGATATGGTTTGGGTCTGTGTCCCCACCCAAATCTCATGTCAAATTGTAATTTTCAGTGTTGGAGGTTGGGCCTGGTGGGTGGTGATTGAATCAATGGGTAAATTTTCCCTTCGTTCTGTTCTCATAATAGTGGGTGAGTTGTGGTGAGATCTGGTTGTTTAAATGTGTGTAGCTCCTCCCCATCCCTGCCTCCTGCTCTGATTTTCATGCGCGTCCGTGTGAAGAGACCACCAAACAGGCTTTGTGTGAGCAACATGGCTGTTTATTTCACCTGGGTGCAGGTGGGCTGAGTCCGAAAAGAGAGTCAGCGAAGGGAGATAGGGGTGGGGCCGTTTTATAGGATTTGGGAAGGTAATGGAAAATTACAGTCAAAGGGAGTTGTTCTCTGGTAGGCAGGGGCGGGGGTCACAAGGTGCTCAGTGGGGGAGCTTCTGAGCCAGGAGAAGGAAATTCACAGGGTTAATCACTCAGTTAAGGTGGGGCGGGAACAAATCAAAATGGTGGAATGTCATCAGTTAAGGCAGGGCAGGGCCTTTTCACTTCTTTTGTGATTCTTGAGTTACTTCAGGCCATCTGGTCGTATACGTGCAAGTCACAGGGGATGCAATGGCTTGGCTTGGGCTCAGAGGCCTGACATTCCTCCCTTCTTATATTAATAAGAAAAATAAAAATAGTGTTGAAGTGTTGGGGCGGCGAAAATTTTTGGGGGTGGTATGGAGAGAGAATGGGCGATGTTTCTCCGGGCTGCTTCAAGCGGGATTAGGGGTGGTGTGGGAACCTAGAGTGGGAGAGATTAAGCTGAAGGAAGATCTTGTGGTAAGGGGTGATGTTGTGGGGATGTTAGAAGAAACATTTGTCGTATAGAATGATTGGTGATGGCCTGGATACGGTTTTGTATGAATTGAAAAACTAAATGGAATAAGAGAAGGAGAAAAACAGGTATAAAAGGTATAAGAATTGGGAGGACCTAGGACATCTGATTAGAGAGCGCCTAAGGAGATTCAGCATAGTCCTGCCAGCAAAGATTATTTATTTACTTCAAGAGTTAAGAGTGGCAGTTTGGGGATAGCACCAGGAGATGGCTGTGATGGCTTGGAGAAACAGTGTAAACTGGCAGTGTAAACAAGAGCAGGGCATGTATGAGTAGTTGAGAACGGTGAATGGGAGTATGACTAGACAGAAGATAGTAGGGATGACAAGTTTTTTGGGGGCACAGTCCAAGTTGGTCTGGTGTCTGGAATGAGACTGGGGCCTAATAAAAAGGAGCTCAAATGGGCTGTACCTTATAGTATTCTGAGGACAGGCCTAAATTCTGAGAAGCAAAAGTGGTAAAAGTATTGTCCAGTCCTTTTTAAGTTGGTGGCTGAGCTTGGTGAGGTGTGTTTCTAATAGACCATTTGTCTGTCACTGAATACTAAGAGCCTGAAAAAATGCTTGGCTGATTTGACTAATAAAGGCCGGTCTGTTATCAGACTGTATAGAGGTGGGAAGGCTAAACTGAGGAATTATGTCTGACAGAAGGGAAGAAATGACTGCAGTGGCCTTCTCAGACCCTGTAGGAAAGGCCTCTACCTATCTAGTGAAAGTGTCTACTTAGACTAAGAGGTATTTTAGTTTTTGTGACTCAGGGCATGTTGAGTAAAGCTAATTTGTCAGTCCTGGGCTGGGGCAAATCCTCGAGCTTGATGTGTAGGGAAGGGAGGGGGCCTGAATAATCCTTGAGGAGTAGTAGAATAGCAGATAGAATAGCAGATGGAACACTGAGAAGTTATTTCCTTGAGGATAGATTTCTATGATGGAAAGGAAATGAAAGTTTCTAAGAGGAAGGCTAGTGGCTTGTACTATAGCATATCCTGCCTTTGCTGGTGTATGGTGATTAGGCCTGGTGGAACTGCCATCAATAAATCAAGTGTGATCAGGGTGAGAAACAGGGAAGAAGGAAATGTGGGGAAATGGGGTGAATATCAGGTGGATCAGAGAGATACAGTCATGGGGGTCAGGTGTGGTATCAGGAATAATGTGGGAGGCCAGATTGAAGTCCAGGCCAGGAACAATGGTAATTGTGGGACTTAAAGAGTGAGTACAGCTGAAGGAGCCGGGGAGCAGAAAATATATGCGTCAGAAAGTATATGAGGAAGAAAATAGATTTTGGAAGTTATGAGAACTGTAGAGAGTGAGTTGAGCATAGTTTGTAATTTTGAGGGCCTCTAAAAGTATTAAAGCAGCGGCAGCCGCTGCACGCAGACATGAGGGCCAGGCTAAAACAGTAAGGTCAAGTTGTTTGCACAGAAAGGCTACAGGGTGCGGTCCTGGCTGTTGTGTAAGAATTCTGACAGCGCTAACTATGCCTAGGAAGGAAAGGAGTTGTTGTTTTGTAAGGGATTGAGGTTTGGGAGATTAATCGGACATGATCAGCAGGGAAAGCATGTATGTTTTTATGAGAATTATGCAAGATAGGTAACAGATGAGGATGAAATTTGGGCTTGACTGAAGTAATGGGGGCTGTCTATGAAGCCTTGCGGCAGTACGGCCTAGGTAATTTGCTGAGCCTAATGGGTGTCAGGGTCAGTCTAAGTGAAAGCAAAAAGAGGCTGGGACAAGGGGTGCAGGGGAGTAGTGAAAAAAGCATCTTTAAGATCAAGCACGGAATAGTGAGTTGTGGAGGAAGGTATTGAGGACAAAAGAGTGTACAGGTTGGGCACCACAGGGTGGATAGGCAAAACAATTTGGTTGCTAAGGCGCAGATCCCAAACTAACTTGTAAGGCTTGTCTGGTTTTTGGGCAGTAAAATGGGGGAATTGTAAGGAGAGTTTATAAGCTTTAAAAGGCCATGTAGTAGCAGGCGAGTGATAACAGGCTTTAATCCTTTTAAAGCGCACTGTGGGATGGGATATTGGTGTTGAGTGGGGTAAAGGTGATTAGGTTTTAATGAGATGGTAAGGGTCGCCAAGGAGGGAGTAGAGGTATCTTATACTTGTGGGTTAAGGTGGGGGATACAAGAGGAGGATGCAAAGGAGGCTTTGGATTGGGAAGAAGGGTGGCAACAAGATATAGCTGTAGTCCAGGAATAGTCAGGGAAGCAGATAATTTAGTTAAAGTGTCTCAGCCTAATAAGGGAACTGGGCAGGTGGGGATAACTAAAAAGGAGTGCTTAAAAGAGTATTGTCTAAATTGGCACCAGAGTTGGGGAGTTTTAAGAGGTTTAGAAGCCTGGCTATCAATACCCACAACAGTTATGGAGGCAAGGGAAACAGGCCCTTGAAAAGAAGGTAATGTGGAGTGGGTAGCCTCCATATTGATTAAGAAGGGGACAGGCTTACCTTCCACTGTGAGAGTTACCTGAAGCTCGGCGTCCGTGATGGTCTACGGGGCTTCCGAGGCAATCAGGCAGCATCAGTCTTCAGCTGCTAAGCCAAGAAGGAGTCAGTCAGAGAGCCTTGGGCCAGAGTTCCAGGGGCTCTGGGAGTGGCTGCCAGGTGAGTTGAACAGTCCAATTTTCAGTGGGGTCCCACACAGATGGGACACGGCTTAGGAGGAATCCCGGGCTGCGGGCATTCCTTGGCCCAGTGGCCAGATTTCCGGCATGTGTAGCAAGCTCCTGGGGGAGGAGGTTCTGGAGGAATGCCTGGCTCCTGCGGTTCAGGCGTTTGGAAGTTCTTGTGTGCTGGAGATGTGGCTGGGGTTTGTCTCACAGAGGAGGCAAGGAATTGCAACTTTTTTTTTTTTATTATTATTGTACACCTTGAAGGTGAGGTTAATTAAGTCCTCTTGTGGGGTTTGAGGGCCAGATTCTAATTTTTGGAGTTTTATTTAATGTCGGGAGCAGATTGGGTAATAAAATGTATATTGAGAATAAGATGGCCTTTTGACCTTTTAGGGTCTAGGGCTGTAAAGCGTCTCAGGGTTGCTGCCGAACGAGCCATGAACTGGGCTGGGTTTTTATATTTGATGAAAAAGAGCCTAAACGCTTCTGATTTGGGATAAAGAAAAAGCAGCATTAACCTTGACTATGCCTTTGGCTCCAGCCACCTTTTTAAGAGTAAATTGCTGGGCAGGTGGGGGAGGGCTAGTCACACAACGAAACTGTAAGCTGGACCAGGTGTGAGGAGGGGAGGTGATAAAAAGATTACAGGGTGGAGGAGCGGAGGCCGAGGAAGAATTGGGACCTAGCTTGGCCTGGCAAGGAGGGGAGAGGTCAGATGGGTCTGTAGTAAAGGAAGATTAGAAAGACTCAGCGACGCTTGGGGTTGGGACTGAGGGGACAGGAGGGAGGGAAAGAAGGAAGATTTGGGACGAGTTGCACTGGGCACAGAGACTAGGAAGGGACTGATGTGTAAAAGAATGCCTGGATGTCAGGCACCTCACCATTTGCCCATTTTACTACAAGAATTATTTAGATCTTGCAGGATGGAAAAATTCAAAGTGCCATTTTCTGGCTATTTGGAACTACTGTCGAGTTTGTATTGGGGTCAAGCGGCATTGCAGAAGAAAATAAGATGCTTAGATTTTAGGTCAGGTGAGAGTTGAAGAAGTTTTAAGTTCTTAAGAATATAGGCTAGGCCGGGCATGGTGGCTCACGCCTGTAATCCCAGCACTTTGGGAAGCCGAGGCGGGTGGATCACCAGGTCATGAAATCAAGACCATCCTGCCTAAGAAGGTGAAACCCCGTTTCTACTAAAAATACAAAAAATTAGCCGGGCGTGGTGGGGGGGGCCTGTAGTCCCAGCTACTCGGGAGGCTGAGGCAGGAGAATGGCATGAACCTGGGAGGCGGAGCTTGCAGTGAGCCGAGATCACGCCACTGCACTCCAGCCTGGGCGAAGGAGTGAGACTCTGTCTCAAAAAAAAAAAAAAAAAAAAAAAAAAAGCATATAGCCTAAGGGAGAAGAAGGAAGAATGGAAGGTGGAAGCTTGCCCATAGCGAAGGAGGCAAGCCCAGAGAAAAGAGTAGAGACACGGAGAAGGGGTAGAGGTTTCTTGCCCTCCAGAAAAGCAGAGAAAGGGTTGGGGCATGGAAATAAGGAATTGGGGCACAGAGATAAGAGGTTGGGGTGTGGAAATAAGGGATTGGGGGTTCTTGCCCCCTAGAAAAGCGGGACTTGCCGCTAAGGGTGAAGGAGAAGGGGTTGAGGGGTACTTGCCCCTCTCCCAGAAAAGCAGAGAAGGGGTAGAGACAAGGAGAGAAGGGGTTGAGGTACTTGCCCCTTCCCCAGAAAAGCGGGACTTGCCGCTAAGGGTGAAGGACAAAGGCAGGCATCCCTGTGTGGTCTGACACCCTTGAAACATGGATGTATAATCAGAGAGGCGTCCCTGCAATGATTAAACACCAAGGGAAGGCTGCCTTCCCAGTCCGTGACTGGCGCCAGAGTTTTGGGTCCATGGATAAAACGTGTCTCCTTTGTCTCTCCCAGAAAATGAAAGGAATTGAAATTAAGAGAAGGGAGAGATTGAAGAGTGGAAAGGAGAAAGTGGTTGAGGGACAGTGAGAGAGGTTGGAGAAGAGAGTAAGAAGAGGCCGCTTACCTGATTTAAAATTGGTGAGATGTTCCTTGTGCTGGTTGGTCTGAGGACTTGAGGTGATAGGTGGATCTTTCTCATGGAGCAAAGAACAGGAGTACAGGGGATTGATCTCCCAAGGGAGGTCCCCCGATCTGAGTCACGGCACCAAATTTCATGCGTGTCCGTGTGAAGAGACCACCAAACAGGCTTTGTGTGAGCAACATGGCTGTTTATTTCACCTGGGTGCAGGTGGGCTGAGTCCGAAAAGAGAGTCAGCGAAGGGAGATAGGGGTGGGGCCGTTTTATAGGATTTGGGAAGGTAATGGAAAATTACAGTCAAAGGGGATTGTTCTCTGGTGGGCAGGGGCAGGAGTCACAAGGTGCTCAGTGGGGGAGCTTCTGAGCCAGGAGAAGGAAATTCACAGGGTTAATCACTCAGTTAATGTGGGGTAGGAACAAATCACAATGGTGGAATGTCATCAGTTAAGGCAGGGCAGGGCCTTTTCACTTCTTTTGTGATTCTTGAGTTACTTCAGGCCATCTGGTCGTATACGTGCAAGTCACAGGGGATGCAATGGCTTGGCTTGGGCTCAGAGGCCTGACACTGACCATGTGAAGTGCTGACCCCCTCTTCACCTTCTGCCATGATTATAACTTTCCTAAGGCCTCCCCAGAATCATGCTTTCATTATAGCCTGTGGAACTTGAGCCAAATAAACCTCTCTTCTTTATAAGTTACCAAGTTTCAGGTATTTCCTTATAGCAGTGTGAGAATGGACTAATACAGAACATTGGTACTGAGGAGTGGGGCATGGCTATAAGGATACCTGAAAATGTGGAAGCAACTTTGAAACTGTGTAATGAGCAGAGATTGGAACATTTTGGAGGGCTCAGAAGAAGACAAGAAGATTAGGGATAGTTTAGAACTTCCTAGAGACTTGTTGAATGATTGTGACCAAAATGCTGATAGTGATATGGATAGTAAAGTCTAGGCCCTCAGCCTAGGAAGTCTCACATGGAAATGAGAAACTTATTGGAAACTAGAGCAAATGTCTCTTTCTTTTTTCTTTCTTTCTTTCTCTCGCTCTCTCTCTTTCTTTCTTTCTTCCTTTCTTTCTTTTTGACAATGTCTCTCTTTGTTACTCAGGCTAGAGTGAAGTGGTGCAATCTCAGCTCACTGCATCCTTGACCTCCCAGATTCAGTGATTCTCCCACCTCAGCCTACCAAGTAGCTGGGACTACAGGCATGCACCATCATGCTCAGCTAATTTTTGTATTTTTTGTAGAGATGGAGTTTTACCATATGGCCCAGGCTAGTCTCTAACTCCTGAGCTCAAGCTATCTGCTCACTCAGCCTCCCAAAGTGCTGGACTATAGTCAAAGGTCACATTTGTTTGTGTTAGTGAAGAAGTTGGCTGCATAGTTCCCCTGCTCTAGGGATCTGTGGAAGCTTGAGCTTAAGAGTGATGTTTTGGGGTATCATGCAGAAGAAATTTCTAAGTAGCAAAGCATTCAAGATATGACCTGGCTGCTTCTAAAAGCCTATGCTCACATGCATGAACAAATAAATAACCAGAAAATGGAACTTATATTTAAAAGGGAAGAAGAGGATAAAAGTTTGCAAAATTTGCAGCCAGGCAATATGGTAGAAAAGAAAAGCTCATTTTCAGGGGAGGAATTCAAGCAAGCTGCAGAAATTTGCATAACTAAAAAGAAGGCAAATGCTGGTAGCCAAGACAATGGGCAAAGGCCTCAAAGGCATTTCAGAGACCTTCTTAGTAGTCCTTCCATTACAGGCCTGGAGCCCTAGGAGGGGAGAATGGTTTTGTGGATCAGGCCCAAGGACCTGTCACCCTGCACAGCCTCAGGACACTGTTCCCCTGCTCCTCCAGCTCCAGCTGTGGTTCAAAGGGTCCCAGGTACAGCTCAGGCCACTACTTCAGAGGTTGCAATCCATAACCCTTGGCAGTTTCCATGTAGTGTTAAGCCTGCTGGCATGCAGAGTGTAAGAGTTGAGGCTTGGGAACCTCTACTTAGATTTCAGAGGATGTATAAAAAAGCCTGGATGTCTAGACAAAAGACTGATACAAAGGAGGAGTCCTCATGGAGAACCTCTACTAGGACAGTGCAAAGGGGAAATGTGGGACTGGAGCCCTCCCACAGAGTCTCTACTGGGACACTGTCTAGTGGAGCTGTGAGAAGAGGGTCACCATCCTCCAGACCCCAGAATGATAGATCAACTGACAGCTTGCACTCTGCACTTGGCCACAAGCACTCAACTTCAGCCCTTAAAAGCAGCTGGGGGGACCTGAGCCCTTCAGAACCACAGGGGTGATGCTGCTCAAGAAATTGGGAGCCCACCCTTTGCATGAGAGTGCACATGCAAAGATGTGGGACACGGAGTCAAAGGAGATCATTTTGAAACTTTAAGATTTAGTGACTGCCCTGCTGGGTTTTTGAGTTACATGAGGCCTGTAGCCCCTTTCTTTTTGCCAATTTCTCCCTTTTGGAAGGGGAGTATTTGCCCAATGCCTGTACTTCCTTGTATCCTGCAAGTAACTTACTTGTTTTTTATTTCACAGGCACATAAGCAGAAGGGACTAGCCTTGTCTCAGATGAGACTTTGGACTGTGGTCTTTAGAGTTAATTCTGGAATGAGTTAAGAATTTGGGGGACTATTGGTAATGCATGGTGGGATTTTGCCATGTGAGACGAACATGAGATTTGGTAGGTGCCAGGGGCAGAATGATTTGGTTTGAATATGTGTTCCCCACCAAAATATGATCTCAAATTATAATCCCCAATATTGGAGATAGGGCCTGTTGGAAGGTGATTTGGTCATGGGGGTAGAGTTATCATGAATTGTTTAGCACCATCCCTTCTTGGTACTGTATAGTGAGTAAGTGAGCATAAAATCTGTTAGTCCCCGCACCTACTTCCATATTCTCTGACCATGTAAAGTGTGTCTGCTTCCCCTTCACCTTCCACCATGATTGAAAGTTTCTTGAGGCCTCCCCAGAAGCTGCTATGCTTCCTGTATAGCCTGAAGAACTGTGAGCCAATTAAACCTCTTTTCTTTATAAATTACCCAGTCTTGGGTATTTCTTTATTGCAATGTGGGAACAGACTAATATAACAGGTTAAACTTGTTCTACTGACCTGCTGCTTCTCCTTTAATGTGCTGTGTCTTACCTGGCACATGAATCTCTGACTGTTGGAAGAAATGGCAAAGAAGATATGGTGAGTCACACTGTGATGCCAAAACCTCGTTTCTGGATGCCCTGACTCACATCCACACCAAATCTTTGTTTTTCCCAGCAGAGGGCAATAGGGTTGTGTAGACTTCTCTCTAGCTTGACTGGTCCCTTCTGGAGTCACCCTCTGCAGGAACCATAAGAACCCTCTACATCTTATACCCCAGAGGGTGCAACTCCTCTAGCGTTCTCCAATGCTGCCAATGACTCCTCTTCTAATCTCTGCTGCCCTATTGCCACCTTTGTTGTGATACCAACTTTGCTCTTAGAGAAGAGACTTTATTTTTTATTGAACTGGCCTTGCACTGAAGTAGACATGTTTAAATCACTCTCCCTAATCTTGTCAAGGCAGCAGGAAACCCATCATCACCTCTTCTACCTCTCCCTAGCTCCAAAGCATGGCCAGGACTCAAGCAGTTTCATCTACCTCTCATCTAATAGCAGCAAATTTCTCACAATGGCAAAAAGCCATGTAGTGGCTAAAATTGCCAAATCACCTCTCTAGATTAGAGGATCTTAAACCTAAGCATCCATCAGCATCACATGGAAGGTTTGTTAAAATATACTGGCTGTGGACTATTCAATTCCAGAAGTCTGGAGTGGAGCCTGTGAGTTTGCAAATATAGCAACTTCACTGGTGATGCCAGTGCTGCTTATCTGGAAACAAGAGTTTGTGAACCAATGAACCAATTGCTGTCTACCTTGGCATACCTCATAGGATCACCTGGGGTGCTTCAGAAAATTCTGTTGCCTACAACACACCTCAAACAAATTCAATTAGTATCAATGGGGGTGAGGCACAGGCATCAGAATTTATAAAGCTTCCTAGGGGATATCAATGAGCAGCCAAAATTGAAAACCATTGTGCTACATAGAATTGGTACGTGTGTGTACATGTGTGTGATTGTGTGTGTGTTTTTGTGTGTGTGCATGTGTTCTACCTTCAAGAGTAAGTGAGAATACATAGGCCAGACAAAAGGCTTTTTAAGATATGGATGCTCAGAAGATATTACTAAAAATATGGCTCTCCCAGTATTTTGTACTGGCTTTGTGCTCAGGCTTGTCTTTTCTTTAAGGCAGCATAAATAGGCCCAAGAAAGCAAACTGAAATATAAATTCTCTTTTCCAATAGTTCTAGCAACAGCCTTTTGGAAGAAAAGAACTTTGATTTGGGTCTCGAATGGTAACAGAAAGTCAGCCTCAGGAAAATTTGCAAGAAGAGAATTCCGTGCCAAGAAGAGAACAATCCAAGGTTCCGAGCTGGAAAAGAAGAACAGTATGGCTTCTTCAAGCTGATATGGTAATAAATGTAGAGCAAGGACTTGAACCCAGACAAGCTCATTCTAATTCCAGTATACTAACTTGCATTCCTAAAACAGTTAATCCCAACCGAAGATGGTTCCTGCAACCAGAGTCACTTCTGTTGCATTGAAGCTGCAGCAATTTAGGTAGAGGGAAAAAAGATGAATCACTTGACCTTTTTTATCTGTCCTATACATGGGCTGAAATTTGTTCTCAGTGTTTTTTTTTTTCTTTTTACCCACTTTTTCCTTTCCAAAATCAGGTTTTATTTCTTACACTTTCAGAACAAAGACAGGAGGCTGATTTTAGTCCAAATTTTGATTTTGGTTATAATTCACCTAGAAAGAGTACATAAAAAGGTGTGGGGATCTGACTCCCTCACTGGAGTCCTAGTGAGAAATCACAATCCTTGGCATGGTCTTTGCAGACCACCGTAAAGTGTGGTGGGTCTGGAAACATTGCCTCCTTGGAAGAAGGTTTCCATGGATATCTGAGCTCCTATGGCCCAATGCTTCTGAAGCCAAGAACTTAGACCCAGGAGTCTAAAATTTCCTATCTTCTAAAATGGTTTTCCTAGAATAGGTTAAGACTGTGGTGGGAGTATAATTTGATACAGTTTTTTAGGATGGCATTTTGACAATATCTATTAAATTGCATAATGTGCTTACCCTCTAACCCAGAATCTACATTTTATTCCCTAAAAAAATGCTCAAAGGCAAGTATAGAAAATTTCATTACAGAGCTGTTTATAGTAATGGAAAATGGGGGAAAAACAAAATCTACGTGATTAAGGAAGTGGTAAAATAAATTATAACATTCCCATTTTACGGATAAGTATGCCACAGGGCAAAGAGAGCCAATAATTGCTTTTAACATTGCAACACTTAACATTTAAAAGCAAATTGCATAAGAATGCATAGTGTCTGTTACTGTGTTAAGATACAGAACACAACTCTGTATTTCTGCATATAATATTTATGTATCTAAAAACGTAGAAAAAGGTACGGGAGGATACACACTAAATTGATACTAGTTATTCCTGAATCTAGGAAGGGGACTATGAGGAGAGTAGGTAAAGGGAATGACAAAGATGTCAAAGACATTTGACTTTTGACTCTGAAAATTCCACATATTTGAATTTTTACAAAATAATATAATAGTGCATTACTTGAATAATAATATATACTTTTAAGCCTGGCAAACATACTCGATAGGGGTTAAGGTAAATGAGGTAGGAGCCTCAATGTTCCTGGAAGTCATGACTTACATTTCTTTTTGAGTAATATTTCTGCTAGCCAGGAAGGCTGGTCTACTCCTAGGATGGGGCCTTTTGGGGCTATCTGAAGAAAGTCTGAGGACACAATCCTTCCTAATTAAAGAAAAAAGAGAACAGTTGTGATCCAGAGGTTGAAAAGCCTTGTGAAATAGCCATCTGATGTTCCATGCCACACCTTCTCCTGGAATCTGTTTTCAGCAATTCCCCTAAATGTGGCTCTGACTCTTTACCCCAAGACCCAGCCTCCCACATGCCTGCTTGCCATCAGAGAAGCAGCAATTCTTTGAACTTTTAGACTCTTTCTTTCCAACTGTTTGTTCCATGCTTGGAATTCACTAGGTAAGTTAGCAACCTTCCATAGACTCTGTAGGTCTAGTGACATGGAGATGCCCTAATTTACACTATTCCATAAGCTTCTGCTGCATGGGAGGCAGCTGCCTACCCTGGAAAGGTTTCTTTGGGATACCTTTAGAGAAAATATCCATTTGCCACATAACACTTTAGCTGGAAGATGGAGAAGATGGAAGCCAACTTAGCCATATGCTAAAGGAGAGAAGTGCCTTTCGTTCCCATTTGTGGGAATAATTTGAGATGCAGTGGCCTCTGTTATTTTCAATGATGAAAACGTGATGATTCCCTTGATAAAGTCCTCACAAACAGTTGCTAGCTAAGAGCTTCTTGGAAAAGAAGCATAATTTTCCAAGTGCAAGTTTTAATTTTTTTCAAATGAAAATATATAGCACATGTACTTAGAGTGAAATAAAAAAGCTATTGATACAATTATTTTTATGCAATAAGTGTTTGCCCAAGATTTGTAATTCCTTGACCTTTTTATACAAGGTTTTCCTGACCCACAACATCTGCCCTGTTTTGAACAGCCATATTGAGATATAATTTGCATACCATCACATCGGCTCGCTTTAAGTTATAATTCAACGATTTTTAATAGTTTCCTTTCTATTTTTCAACCAGCTCCCCCTCTATTCCAGTCCTCCAGGACACATGCACTCTGATTTTTGCAAAGTGAAGTATTTTGGGCTCTTAACTCTCCCTTTATTGTTAGGAAAAGCACTGTCTATGCCATTGGCATCCCCACACTTACACTCCACCATTTCTGCTTCCTCGGTGGAAAGTGATCATTTCCCATGATGCTAAGGTGCTGACACATAGTACAGCACTTGCTGTCCTTCACCTTCCATGGGTAACAAAGCCTTACCCATGAGATGATATCACTCTTGCTTGTAGTTTTCACTGCCTTTATTATACTATTTCCCTTAAGATACCCTTTCTGTGACTCCATCTTTCATCCCGGAATTGGCACAGGACTTTAAAATAGGAATAGTATTTTCATCTCTACAAACTCATTAGAAACTCAAACAAATACCTAAAGCAGGGTATGGCTTTCTCTTTCTTAAAAGGTTACAAAAACAAAAATGAAAAGTAAAGAGGGTGAATCTGGTCAAGTTAAAAATTATATCAAAAGGAATTATTACAAAACAAAAGGAAACTTGCCCAGATTTCTTACCTAGCAAATACCAAATTGAATCCTGAATACACATCTTAGGACTGCTTTCTATTAACATGAGCCTTCAAGACCTAGGGAGAAAAAGGAAGACTGTAAAGTCAATTCAGCATGAGGAAATTCAAAGACTACTTTTGGTGGGTGGGACTAGATCTTGGTGTAATATTACTGTATTATGAAAGCTGACAAGAAAGTTCCCTTCTTTTTTCTTCAGCCACCAAAAGACATCATTAAAAGTGGGGAGCACTTTGAGAGGCTGAGTCAGGAGGATTGTTTGAGGCCAGGAGTTCAAGACCAGCCAGGGAAATGTAGTGAGACCCCGTCTCCAATAAAAATAAACAAATTAATTGGATGTGCACCTATAGTTTCAGCTACATGGGAGGCTAAGGTGGGAGGATCACTTGAATCTAGGAGTTTGAGGCTGCAGTGAGCTACAATCATGCCACTGCACTATAGTCTGGGCAACAGAGTGATATCTTGTTTTTCTAAAAAAATTAAAAGTGGAAAGACCATAGAGTGCCTCTGGAAGGCCATATGTGTCCCTAATATGGATTGTTTGGGTTAAAGAATGCATAAGCTCAGGGCACTATCTTCCGGGCTTCAAGATATGGAAGACTTTGTGGAAATTAACAAAGTGATATTGCTGACATCTCAAAACATCACAACGAAATGAATTAGCCTTTATAGTTAATTCACTGTTGTATATAAATCCCATGGAAAGCAATGTAAGTTTTTACCCAGCAACATATATCAATCTGTGCAAAAGCCTTGATATCCAGCTTATTAACCTTGATAATGTTAAGTTTGCATGCATCGTGGCAGTATACTACTTCCTCTTTCTTGCTCTGCTTCATCTAATAGAGTCACCTATGCCCACATGCATCACCTTTCTCCAACTGGTGACTTAGAAAATTGAGAAGCTTACCTAAAACTATCTCTTGCTGCACAGGTATTGACAATTGTTTACTATGTCGAATGATGAGGAAGTGAGGATTCCCATTCTTCCCATTGTGTTTGCTCCTCATACCTCATACCTCCTACCTCCAAACCTTTGTTGGTTGTACCTTACTTTGTACACCTTTCGGATTGACTACATCTTTTTTATGTTTTGTAGCCACAGTTTAGTTTTTTGTTCATTGCCTGTGTATTGATTCTAAAAGTTGGGAAACAACAACCAGTGTTATGTATTATTATGATGATACCACAAAGACAACTACTGTGATCCCTAAGGTTCCAATGTCACCACTCTGGTGGTACTTCAGAGGAAACAGAGTTTCCTTTTTTGTTGATATGGCCCTAGTTGCTCAAATCCATGTCATATTTAATTTTGACTCATTTCGTTTTTTATGAAGTATTTTTCTTTTTCTTGAGTTGCTGATTATCTATTATTTCTTTCTTCATCTTTCTTTTCTGTCACCATGTCTCCCTCTCTCCTTCCTTCTCTTCCATCTTTCTTTTCTTCTTCCTCTCTCCATTCCTCTCTTCCTTCTTATTTCCTTGGTACTTTATTGTATTATTATTATTATTATTTGAGCCAGCGCCTCACTCTGTCGCCCAGGCTGGAGTGCAGTGGCACGAATCTCAGCTCACTGCAAGCTCTGCCTCCTGGGTTCACGCCATTCTCCTGCCTCAGCCTCCCTAGTAGCTAGGACTACAGGTGCCCACGACCACACCCTGCTAATTTTTTGTATTTTTAGTAGAGACGGGGTTTCACCATGTTAGCCAGGATGGTCTCGATCTCCTGACCTTGTAATCTGCCCACCTCAGCCTCCCAAAGTGCTGGGATTACAGGTGTGAGCCACCGTGCCCAGCCGGTTGTATTATTATTATTATTATTATTATTATTAAGATGGAGTCGCACTCTGTGGCCCAGGCTGGAGTGCAGTGGTGCGATCTTAGCTCACTGCAACCCCTGCCTTCTGGGTTCAAGAGATTCTCCTTCCTCAGCCTCCCGAGTAGCTGGGATTACAGGCTCACACCACCACGCCCAGCTAATTTTTGTATTTTTAGTAGAGATGAGGTTTCACCATGTTGACCAGGCTGGTCTCGAACTCCTGAGCCCAGGTGATCTGCTCACCTCAGTCTCCCAAAGTGCTGGGATTACAGGCGTGAGCCACCGTGCCTGACTCGTGCTTTATTGCAGATCCATTAGCTTTTCTCAATTACACTGACTCTTCTATCAAATCCTCCTTTCTTGAGCCCACCATCCATCTAGTCAATTCTAGGCAGGTTGTTTCCTAGGCACACTGCACATGAGCTATCCTTTCACTTCCAGACACTCCTCTTCTGGGTTGGAGCTACTCTTGAATAGACCTCATGTCATGTTCAGTTTATGACTTCATTTATCAGGCATACAATCTCAAGGGGTGATTGGGTGGGGGAATCTTCTTTAGCCTCAAATTTCCAAAAAAGGAAATAAACTTCCATTACTGCTCTATGACAGTGGTTCTCCACCATAATAGTGCATTACAATTACCTGCAGGGCTTATGGAAACGCAGATCACTGAGTTCCTTTCCTAGAGTTTCTAATTTGCTAAGTTGCTCAGCTAGTGCCCCAGAATTTCCTTTTTGTTGTTGTTGTTGCCAAGTTCCCAGGTGATGTTGATGCTGCTGGTTTAAGGACAACACTTGGAGCACCACTGCCCTAGGCGAAAAAGAGAAAACATGAATGGAGGAAATTCTTCTGGCTTGTCTCTTGTTTATTCCCTTGTTCCCAGTGAAAAAAGTCTTACTTTTATGGTGAATAATGTAGAAAGAACATGTGGCTCAGCCCCTTCTGGGATTTCTGTTTCAAGGAGGCCTGCCCTAGCTGTTGGCATTCTGGATCTATTTCAAATAGCAAGCACACCTGGGTCAGGAACCAAGTCTTCCTTTAATGTCTAGCTCGAGGCCCTTTCTATACTGCATCCAGGCAAAGCGATGATTCTGGAAAGACCGACTGACTGCCCTTAAAATCCCTCAGGTGATTGATCCTAAACTCCAGATTTAAGATCCATCGAGGGTTTAGTAAGGGACCCAAATGGCCATAGGTCCAGTTCAGTACTGTCAACGACATAGATCACTTTTAAATTGATCATTCAGCTTTTTGTATATATTTCTTAACTGGCTACTAACTTTGGAGAAAGATGAAAAATGTAATTAGTTATCAGCATTCAAATGCTAACAGAAACTTAAAATTAACTTAAAATGTCTGAGTTCTGTCTCACCTAAAAATGTTTTCATAATATCCTTATGCCTTGGTTGATAGTTTGGTTGGGTTTGCAAATCTAGAGGGGAGGGATACTTCCCTTGTAATTGTTAGGTTTTAGGGCCTAGAATTAGATTGCTAGCAAGACTTTCGGAATTTTTGTTAATCCAAGGTACTGTAAGTTTTGGAGTCCCACCTCTCATATGAAACATACTACAAAGTATCATAGTATAATATTATCTACATACATATTTAATAATTTCTCATACTTGATTTTATAGTATAGTATTATAGTTTTGAATCTCAATCTATATACATATACACACATGTAATATGGATATAGCATCTCTGTATATTATATATTTGGCTCTTTTTACTCACAGTACTTTAGCATCAAATATGTGAGTTTTTCCACACCAAAAATGAATTCTCCTAATCTCTGAACACCAGCTGGTTATTCTACCGTTCAAATCCACACTGACACTAACTACTCAGAGGTGACATGGACCCCACAGGTTAAGGTTTCAGTCCCGTGAGACAGAAACACATCAGACACCAGTTGCAAGTCTCAGATCGCCATCTGTACTTCTGAACAATTGGCTATAAACCAGGGATTTCCATACTTCACCTCAGGTTCTATAATTGGCTAGGATGGTTCACAAAACTCAGGGAAACACTGTACTTATATTTACTGGTTTATTATAAAGGATATAGGGTCATATCTGGAAGTGTCCTGAGCCCAGGGGATTCTATACTGTGGAGTTGGGGTGTGCCACCCTCCCTGCATGTGGATTCGTTCATCAACTGGGAAGCTCTCTGAACCCTGTCATTTAGGGAGTTTTAAGAAGTCTTCATTATATAAACATGACTGATTAAATTATTGAAAATTGATGATTATCTAAATCTCCAGTCCTATCCCCAGAGGTTGGAGAGTGGAACTGAAAATCCCAACCCTCTAATCATGCCTTAGTTTTTCTGGCCACCAGCCCCCATCCCGAAGCTCTCTAGAGGCCACCAGTCATGTCAATAGCACACTAAAGACACTCTTACCACTCCAGAGATTCTGAGTTTTAGGAGTTATGTGCCAGGAATGAGGTACAAAGACTAAATATTAGAACAAAAGATGACTCTATTGAAACTAAAGGCTAACCTGGTTAAGTCTACCAAACCACTTGTGTGGTTTTAATTGGTTACTTCCAGTTGATCTTAAAACCTATGTGGCTAAAAGTAACACAGTCAAACAATATATAACTATACTCCTACTAGCTTTCTTGTAGATAACATCTCTGACATATATATCACTATAGTTAATGATTGCTTAAAGTTATTTTTCAAGAACGAGTCCAGTTTAAACCAGTGGAGACCACTAACGCTTCAACTGGGCAGGTGCAAATACCTGAGAGGTCACGTTTTGATGTTAGAGGGCCCAAACCTCCTCCCTCAGATTATGCTGATGCCACCATTTTCTGAATGCACATGTGTCCTATGAAAAGCCACAAACTCTGTCTATTCTTGCACAAACCACTGATTACCTCATTTTTTCCCACTGCCAATCACCTTTCTCCATGACCAGCTTGCTTCTTTATCCTGTAAATACGCCTAAGCCCTATATTCAGGGAGGTGAATTTGAGATCTGGTTTCCCATCTGCTTGCTGGCTACCTAGCGAAAAAAATCTTTACTGCAAAACTCATTATCTCAGTGATTGTCATACTGCATGATGGGTAGAACAGGCCTAGCTTGGTAATACTATTGTAAAATTACAAGGGTTTTTGTAACTCTGTGTCAGAAACTGCGAACAAAGACCAAATTTATATTAACAATATATATTACATATGTGTGTGTGTGTATATATGTGTGTATATATATTCTATCACAATCATATACATTATATATCTATAGAAATATATATAGTTATTATATATAATATATATCTAGAATAAAGTTTCTCTTCTATAAAATATTTCCATAGAACTTAAAAAACTCATAGGCCCCAGGCACTGTGTCTCAATGTCTGAAAGATAAAGTAGCCCTAAGCATACAATATTGCTAATGGAAAATTTGAGGTCCGATTAATTCTTACTCTTTTGTAGGTGACTATTCTGCACCTTGCAAGGTTTTTGGATCTCCTCTTTATTCTTAATCCTTGAAATTTTACAGTAATATCCCTAGGTTTGGCTCTTCCTTTCCTTTTACTCTAAACTCTTAATATACCCTTTCAATAGGAATACTTGTGACCTTTATATCTCTGGGAAATTCTCATCTATTATAACTTTGATATTTTCACTCCTTCTAGTGTCTTTTTTTTCTAAAGTTTTAAATATGGGGCAAAATTATTAATAGCTGCATGACAGTCTATTAAATAGATATGTCACCATCCTAATGTTATAAACTTAGTTTACTATAAGTAACATCTTTGCCTATGTATTCGTTTTTTGAATTATTTCCTTAAGAATAATATTTATTAGGTCCAACACTGAAATATTTTACACACACTTACTTGAGACCTCTGATACCAGAAGCCATCCTTGAAGAATATCTTCTAAACTGAAGAAGCAAGTCTGAGGTCTGTGGCTGCTCCCTGCTGGAATTTAGGCCACAAAGACACAGTCCCAGGGGGTCTTCTGGAGAGGCCAACTTGCTTTCTTGGGGGAAGTTCATGTGCTATGCATATACCTGACACCCAGGAGGCTAATCTATCTTCACTATAGCTGTCTGGCAGGTAACATGCCTGATTCAATGCCTGACCTAGGCCCAGGGGACCATATGTAAATGGCCTTGCCTTGTGATACACTATCTACTGGCTGGAATGGGCCGAACACATTTATTTACAAGACCATTGACTGTGTGTGCCAGCCCCACCCCAGCTTTCCTGATCCATGAGGAATCTGTAGACAACTGTGCCTTTGGAGCTAGAAAAAGCCTGCAGGCCCCATCCCAGCTCATTCCAGTGCCTGAAATTGCAGAGCCACACAGCTGGCTTATAGCCAGGGTAGCCCTGGCTGTGGGACAGAACAGGGCGGCGAATTTTTGTTTGTTTTAATAAGGAAATAAACAAATCACATGGCTCATTTTGTATGCTACAAATGATTATTCGGTGAAAAAACAAATGGTGCTTTTTCAGTGAAGAGTTAGGGTGAGAGAGGCGTCTATAAGGCTTATGTCAAATATTTCCATGCAGTCTCGTCCTCTGACTGTTCCAGATCCTGTGCTGCTTGGGCAGGTGAGTAAGTGAGTAAAGAGATGAACATACCTTTCACTTGGCCACAGTGACACTTACCTACCAAATGCATACATTCTCATGGGGTTTTGAAATAGTTCTACACCATCAGAACATAGGTATAAGCTCCTAGTGGCTTCCCACTCAGCTGTGTCCCAAGATTTGGGTCCCCAGAGGCATTTCTATTGGGCAACATTGGACAGATTTTTATGCTTGAGAATTCCAGGTCATGTAATCACCTGTTCAGTAGCTATTTATTGTGTCCATATTATAGAGCAGCACAGTTTAGTGGGCAGAAGATAAAGCCTGAAATTTGTTTGACTTCATTTCATCAGTTCTTGGCTCCGTGATTTTGAGTACTCATCTAACCTCCTTGAGCCTCAGTTTCTGCATCCATGAAATTCTTGTAATAATTGACTTCATTCCACAGACAATCAAGAGAACCAGACTAAAATATCATCCAGACAATGAAACAACTGGAAATATAAAACAAATATTATCAACACAGCAAAGATTCCAGTGCAAAAACATGGACAACATGCATGAACACATGAGAAATTTCAACACAGAGATGGACACTGTGAAAAAGAATCAAATAAATGCTAGAAATTTAAAATATGGGATCGGAGATAAAGAACATCTTTCATGAGTTTTTTAGTACACTCGATACAGCCATGGAAAAATTCAGTCAACTTGAAGACAAATTAGAAGAAATTATAAACATGAAATTAGATATAAATGAAAATGGACATAAAAAATAGCTTTTGAACAGTTTGTTTAAATTTACACATAAAAAAACAGAAACAAGAGTGGAAAATAAAAAGAACAGATTATCCAAGAACCATGGGAAAATATCTTACAAACGTATATGTAATTGGTGTAATTGGAAATGTGGAAGATGACACTAGCCCAGAAATCCCGGGGACTCCATACACCAGGCAGGATCAATAAGGAAACACATATATTGTGCACACAGTGCACGTGCGCGTGCACACACACACAAACACTCTTCAACCAGCATATTCGACATTTTGAAAATCATATATAAAGATAAAATATTTAAAGATACCAGGAAAAATATGGTATATACAAAGGAACATATACAAGAATTAAAACAGATATTGTCAGAAACTACACAAGCAAGAAGAAAATCAAGTGACATCTTTAAAGTCCTGAAAGCAAAGCAAACAAACAAACAAAAAAAGCAAAACCACTTTCAACCTAGACTATTACACCCAGACCCACACTCAAAAAATTCAAAAATAAAGAAGAAATATTTTTTTCAAACAAAAATTGAGACACTCTCTTATTGGCTGAACTGCACCACAAGAAATACTAAAAAGCGCTTCAGCAAGAAATGCTAGACAGAAATTTTGATCCACACACACACAAAAAAGAAAATTGACTGTCTAAAGCAAAAAGGAATAGCAAGATGTTAGGTGTCCATAGCATTTATAGAAGTAAAATGGATGGCAATAATTGCATAAACTATGGAAAGGAGAATTTTGGAATATAATTTTGTAAGATTATGAAGAAAACTAAAAGAAATTCTTTGCAACCTTGTGGTACACAGTGATTTCTGAAATAGAACACAAAAATTAAACAAATAAAAAAATTAAAAATGATAAAGTAGACTTCATAAAATTTAAAGTTTTGCTCATTTTCATTAACAAAACGAGACAGGACACAGTCTGGGAGAAAATATTTGGAAAAAACATATTTCCTGAAGGACTCATAACTACACTCTACAAAGGACTCTCAAAAATTAATAATTAAAAAGTCTACTTTAAAAATGGACAAAAGAACTTAATAAACATTTCACCAATGGATAAATACCAATGACAAAATGACATGAAATATCATTAGTAATTTAATTGCAAATTAAAACCACAATCATACAACTACATACTTGTTAGAAAGACTTAATAAACTAAGAAGAGCTTCACAGATGAGGATGTCAAGCAATGGGAACCCTCATACATTGCTGATGAGAATGCAAGATATCACAGCTACTATGGAAAACTTTGGCAGTTTCCTATTAAGTTGAATATACACTTAGACCCAGAGATTCTCTGTATAAAGACTTATCTTGACTTTACTTATAATTGCCTTATACTGGGAATAAACCAAATGTCATTCAATCTGTAAATGGATAAACTGTGGCACATCCATACAATGGAATACTATTTAGCAATAAGAAGAAACATGCTACTGATCCACTCAACACATAGATGAACCTCAAATGCCTTATGGGAGATTTTAAGAAGCCAGATTTGAAATGCAAAATTCTAGGGACAGAAATCAGTTCAGTGGTTGCCAGAGGCTAGGGTCGTAGGGAGGAGTTGTCTATAATGAGACATAGGGGAACTTTGTGTGGGATTAAACTGTTCCACATCTTGATGATACTGGTGATTACATGCTTGTATGCATTTGCCAACACTGGCAAACTGCACACTGAAAAGAGTAAATTTTATTTTGTGTAAATTATACCTAAATTTTTAAAAATGCCTCCTTTGAAGCATTTTGGGAATTTTATTTATCTTCTTTGCTTAATTGATCCCTAACTTAATCCCTCTAGTCAGAGAACATGCTCTATGTGGTTTCAATAGTTTGCAATTTATTGAGACTTTTTTTATGGCCCAGCAGCTGGTCCATTTTGGTAAATGTTCCATTTGCACTTCAAATAAATGTTCATTCTGCATTTATAGGATGCAGAATAACAACAACAAAATAACCCAAATTCTAAGTGGCTAGTAGTTGCCTTCACTAGTAAATAGAGACTTTAACCCTTGAAATCCTCCACTTTCATCTTGGTTATATACTTTTCACCTCTCTGATTCCTTAATAATGAATACTGGCTTTGATAGGGCTAGCTCAGGCAAAATTGGAAATGCAGTGATACTTCTAAGTTTCTTCACTGTTCTTTGTTGTCCACTTTTCCATTCCTATCTCATTTTGCACCCCAGAACAGTGTAACAAGAACTTAGGATGTAAAAGTTTTTCTGAATCCAATATATTATGGAAGATGAAAATGTGATACATTAATAACCCCTGCCTGATTTGTCTTACAGCAAAGACATTCACATTTGGATAAAAGTTTATGGAAATGACAGCGCTTGACCCAAGGGTTTATCTCATTTAAAGAAAGAGGCATTGTGTGGGATTGACCTAAACTCACAACCCAGTTGCACTGTTTACACTGCATGTCACCTGCAGTGATTTACTCAATCATCCTGCCATTCATTTTTTTCCTACTGTAAGATGGAGATAATAATCCAGCCTGAATTTACAAAGTCATTGTGAGGATCTTATGAGATAATACACAGAGCATATTTATCTCCATGCAGCAGGAATGCTCACGACGAGCTAGGCTTAAAGTCAGGATTTCTGGGATGAGGTTTCAAGTAGATTTTGTTTGTCCAGGACATTGGCTGAGCTTGTAAGCTGACATACCTTGTGGGAGGGACCAGGAACCATCTTAAATGATCAGCTGGAAGCTAGAGGAAAGAAATTCCTCCAAAAAAGAGCTCATGTCTTTACTCTTCATTTGTGGCTGATTATTCATAAGTGCTGTGCCAATTTGCAAAACCTCCAGGGTGATGTTTGGAGATGGAGTCAGTAGCAGGAGATCCCCCAACAGGAGATATTTTTTCATCCCCTCCTCTGAGAGCATCTGGAGAAAGGGGGACTTTTTTCTAAATAGACATTGAAAGGAAGTAATCCTAGAATCAAGCTCCCCTTTGAGTTGGCCATGTAAATTCAATTTCTTCTAATAAGTGTGATTTGAGCTCTTATTGTTTGCAAGCCTGAGATAGGCCTTATCGCATGCTTGTGTCTCTTAGTGCTTGGAACACACATGAAAAGGAGTCTATGAGATTTTGATAGATTTGCATTTTCTTTGGTTCACTGTGTCTTTGCTAAACTCTATGCTATATCTCCAAGAAAAAGACTGACAGCTATATCCTTTGAAACAGGTAATGGGCAGGGGGAAAGATACATGGATCAGTCTCTTCATCTTGAGTTCAAGTTAGAGATAAATACTAACAGGCCATTTTTGCCTATTTTCTGTCCTGAGCTTCTATATATTGGATGAATAAACAGCAGCATTAAAGGAGCATTTATTAAACTCCATTTAAGCCAGTATGCAAGTTAGAAAAGGCAGGAAAGTAATTAAAGCACAGGCTCACAAATCAGACCATCCAGGTCTGAATCCACTCTGAATCACTATCTAGCTGCTCAACTTAACCTCCCTATGCATCAGTTTCCTCCTTTATTAATTGATGATGGTAGTGGTAGCTAGCTTGTAGATATATTGTGAAGATCACATGAGTTATAATATGTAAAGCCCACAGAATAGTGCCTGGCATGTAAGAAGCACTAGGGATGTTTTCGTCATATAATTTTACCCAACGTTTTCAGTGACTATGACAAAGAAATCATTTTCCTCAAATAGAAATGAAAAAAATGAGGCTCAGAGAATTGGAATGACTTGCCCAAAGCCATATTATTGATAAACAGAAGAGCTCACTGAATTCAGTGCTCTTGAGTCTCCTTCCTTCCCACGCTAGGATCTCCCTGGGTCCTAGTAGGTTGGATTCACCACAAACTCTTTAAAGGATGCTCTCAGGGAGAACGGGATGTCATAGTACAGGGCTGCAGTCTTTTGCTTCTGATACTAGCTACTTGGATGGTCTTGGGTTGTCACCTGTCTTCTTTGACTCTGTTTTGTTATCTACTTAACATGAATGAGTGAAGAGTACATATTAGACACTCAAATTCCCTTTCCTTATGAGGAAGCTTGATTTTCTTCCTTCTTTCCTAGCTGGGGATAGTTGGGAACTCACTCCAGCTCTCTATCCTTCAAAGCCAGAAGGACAGAAGGCACAATGAAGACATGGAATTTGACAGTATTCTGCAAATCAAACATCTTTGAGGCAGTACCTTGTACCTTTGGGCTGCTCCTTGAGGCCAGTGGCATTTCTGAAGAGAATTCTATGTAGCAACCCTGCAGAGCTTGGAGTCTCCCATCTGCTGATCCTGGCTTTCTTCCTACCTTGTTCTAACTTTGCCCCTACAAATTCTCTACCAGTTCCAACAAATAGCTTTCTTGACTCAACCCAGATCTAGCTAATTAGCTTGAATTTACTGGCTAATTGTCTTAAAGAAGATTAATGAGTTATTCATCTCTGGCAACCACTATGTACACAATGGTTGAGATAAAACAGATTAAGGAGGGGTTTGTGTATGTGTGTGCATGCATGCATATATGCAAGACTCTGGTTACATTTTGCCGAAGTTAGATCCTAAAAACAAGGTTTGAATTTTCCCCTTGTCCCCAACAAAGAAATTAAGTTACCTTCTTTTGTCAAAAAGCAGTAACATTTCCCAGTGAAAGATAAAAATCAAGTTCAATTTAGCATGTGCTAAAGTTCGGATACTTCCATTGAAGCATAACTAATGGTTCTCAGGTGCTAATGAAATAAACTGAGAAAGCCTTTCACCTTCTGTGCTAGAGGCAGGAAGGGATAAGTGTGTGTCCCAGGTCTTTGTAGAGAGAGAGAGGTCTTTTAAGAGAAAGAGGAAGGTAGCACTTTTCATGAGAGGCGCCTATGGCTTAGGGAAAAGAACACTGTAGAGAAGTTAGGTGATCTGAATTTGCAATATGAAGTTGATTACCTGTGCTACTTTGGATAAGCCCTTTATATCTAGGATAACCATATAATTTATCTTTCAAACCAGGGCATTCCTGAGAATAGTGCCTGGCATGTAATAAGCACTAGGGATGAGACTACACTCCTGAGAATAAAAGACAAACCTGTTAACAACTGCGTTATCTTCCCCCTACATGTAAAATCTCACCACCCCTTTCCACTCCTTCTTACACCATAAGCATCTGGCTTGAATTGTAAATCCAGGAAAGCTAAATCTATGAAGGTTTCAGTATAGCAGCCTGAGTACTGGGTATCCTAAGCAGGGGTAGCAGACCAGCTGTAATGCCAGGACATTTATAGCCCACATTTGCCCGTGACCTTTCAAAGAAAATTTAGGCACCCAGAGTGTTCACATTTCCTCTGAAGCACTTGGAATGTTGGCAGGCAGACCAGGGCGATTTACATGAACCACTTGCATGGTCTTTAGTGGGGAGGAGGGATTGGTATTAAGCAGAGGAATGTAGGACACCATCAGAGATTTCCTGGTCTTTACTGAAAACGGAAGGCCCCACTTGGGTTTCTGCAGCTCCAAGCCACATCTTAGGCATACTATGCATAGTGGTTCCCTGGGGACCAGCAGTCTTGTGTTACCAGAGTTCAGCAGGCTGGCCAGGAAAATCAACACCCCACTGTGAAACGTTAAGAGTTTATCCAACTTGGAAAAAAAAAAAAACAGTGTTGGGTTTTTCTGCAGGCCTCCAAAGTGAATGGAGACAGGCTCCATCCTTTGTAGCTCCACTCTTAGGGTCTTGGTGTGGGAGTATGCAAGCTCCAAAACCAAAACCACCAGGAACAAACACTTACAATAAAATCAGAATCACATACTTATAAAGACTGGGTTTTTAAATTAACAATCAAATTCCTTTAATTGACAGAAGAGAAAAAATACTGAATCCCTGGAGTGTGAGTCTTTTACTGTTCAGTATGAAATGTGCTAGATTTCAGGAACATTCTCCCGTAATATTTCTTTTTTTAAAAAAAAATCTAAATAGCTTATTAATTTCAAATTTAATTCCATTTTGGTTAGAAAACACTTTATAATATTTGGATCTTTTGAAATTTATTGAGACTTGTTATTTTACCCAGCATATGAGCCATCTTGATGAATGTTCCATGTACACTTGGGGAGAAAAATGTGTATTCAGCAGTTATTATGCCAATTCAATCAAGGGAGTCAATAGTATCATTCAAATCTATAATTTAACTGAATTTTAGTCTAATTATGCTATCAATTACTGAGAAAGGGGTGATAAAATCTGAAACTATGATTGCGAATTTTTCTATTTATTTTGTTTTATTTTTTTAACTTTTGTGTGTATGTATTATGGGGTATATATTTATGGGGTACATGAAACATTTTGATACAGGCATGCAAAGCATAATAATCATATCATGGAGAATGGGGTATCCATCCCCTCGAGCATTCATCCATTGTGTTACAAACAATCCAAGTATACTTATTTAATTATTTTTAAAGGTACAATTAACTTGTTATTGACTATAGTCACCCTGTTATGCCATTGTATAGTAGGTATTACTCATTCTTTTTATATTTTTTTAACTCCCTAATCATCCCAAATTCCCCTCTACCCCAACTCCACTACTTTCCCCAGCCTCTGGTAACCATACTTCTACTTTCTATGTCCATTAGTTCAATTGTTTTGACTTTTAAATCCCACAAATAAGTAAGAACATGCAATGTTTGTCTTTCTGTGCTTGGCTTATTTCACTTAACATAATGATATCTATTTCCATCTATGTGTTCCAAATGGCAGGATCTCATTCTTTTTTGTGGATAAATAGTACTCCATTGTGTATATGTGCCACTTTTTATTTGTCCATTCATCGGTTGATGGACTCTTAGGTTGCTACCAAATCTTGGTTACTGTGAATAGTGCCACAACAAACTTGGCAGTGCAAATATCTCTTTGATACACTGATTTCTTTTCTTTTGGGAATATACCTAGCAATGGGATTGCTGGATCATATGGTAGCTCTATTTTTAGTGTTTTGAGAAATCTTCAAACTCTTCTCCATAGTGGTTGTACTAACTTACGTTCCCACCATCAATGTACATGGGTTTCCATTTCTCCACATCTTTGGAAGCATTTGCTATTGACTCTCCTTTGGATATAAGCCATTTTAACTGAGGTGAGATGATATCTCATTGCAGTTTTGATTAGCATTTTTCTGACGATCAATGATGTTGAGCACCTTTTCATAGGCTGGTTTTCCATTTGTGTATCTTCTTTTGAGAAATGTCTATTCAAATCTTTTGCCCATTTTTGATAAGATTATTAGATTTTTTTTCTATAGAGTTGTTTGAGCTCCTTATATATTCTATTTATTAATCCCTTGTCAGATGGATAGTTTGCAAATATTTTCTCCCATTCTGTGGGTCATCTCTTCACTTTGTGGATTGTATCCTTTGCTGTGCAGAAGCTTTTTAACTTGATGTGATTCCATTTGTCATTTTTGCTTAAGTTTCCTGTGCAACTTAATAGGGTATTACTATTACCCACAGGGTATTACTAAAAAAATTTTAGCTCAGGCTAATGTCCTAAAAAGTTTCCCCAACGTTTTCTTACAGTAGTTTCATAGTTTGGGGTCTAAAATTTAAGTCTTTAATCCATTTTTATTTGATTTTTTTATATGGCAAGAGATAGGGGTCTAGTTTTATTCTTCTGCATATGTATAACCAGTTTTCACAGCACCATTTATTGAAGAGACACTTTTTCCTAGTGTACATTCTTGGCACCGTTGTCAAAAATGAGTTCACTGTAGATGTGTGGATTTGCTTCTGGGTGCTCTATTCTGTTTTATTGGTCTATGTGTCTGTTTTTAATGCCAGTACCATGCTGTTTTTGTTACTATAGCTCTGAAGTATAACTTGAAGTCAGGTACTGTTATTTCTCTGGCTTTGTTCTTTTTCCTTAAGATAGCTTTGTCTATTCTGGGTCTTTGTGGTTCCATATAAATTTTAGGATTTTTTTTTTCTATTTCTGTGTAGAATGTCATTAACATTTTGATAGGGATTGCCTCAAATCTGTAGATTGCCTTGGGTAGCATGGACATTTTAACAATATTGAGTTGGGCATGGTGGCTCATGCCTGTAGTCTCAACACTTTGGGAGGCTAAGGTGGGCAGTTTTTGAGCCCAGGAGTTTGAGACCAACCTGGGCAACATGGCAAAACCCCGTATCTACAAAAAAATACAAAAATTATCCAGGCATGGTGGCACATGACTGTAATCCCAGCTACTTGGGAGGCTTAGGTGGGAGGATCACTTGAGCCCAGGAAGTCGAGGTAGCAGTGAGCAGATTGTGCCACTGCACTCCAGCCTGGGTGACAGAGTGAGACACAGTTTCAAAAAAAAATTATATATATATTAGATAGATAGATACTACCAATCCATAAACATGGACTATCTTTTAATTTTTTGGTGTTCTCTTCAATTTCTTTCATCGGTTTTTTTATTTTTAGACAGAATTTCACCCTTGTTGCTCAAGCTGGAGTGCAATAGCGCATTATCAGCTAACGGCAACCTCCGCCTCCAGGGTTCAAGTGATTCTCCTGCCTCAGCCTCCCAAGTAACTGGGATTACAGGCTCCTGTCACCATGTCTGGCTAATTTTTATATTTTTAGTAGAGATGGGGTTTCACCATGTTGTCCAGACTGGTCTTGAACTCCTGATCTCATATGATCCACCTGCCTCAGCCTCCCAAAGTGCGGGGAATATAGGCATGAGCCACTGTGCCCGGCCTCATCAGTATTTTACAGTTTTTATTATAGGGATCTTCCACTTCTTTGGTTAAGTTAATACCTAGCACTTAATTTTATTTGTGGCTATTTTAAATGGGATTATCTTTTTATTTCTTTTTCAGATTGTTCACTATTAGCATATAAAAATGTTGCTGTTTTATGTATGTTGATTTTGTATCTGGCAACTTTACTAAATTCTTTTATCAGTTTTAGTAGTTTTATTTTGTGTGTGTGAAGCCTTTAAGGTCACACAAATTTAAGATTATATCACCTGCAAACAAGGATAATTTGACTTCTTCCATTCCAATTTGGATGACCTTTATTTCTCTCTTTTGTCCGATTGCTCTAGCTAGGACTTCAGTACTGTGTTGGGTAACAGTGGTAAAAGTAGGCATCCTTGTCATGTTCCAGATCTTAGAGGAAAGGCTTTCAGTTTTTTCCCATTCAGTATGATACTAGTTGTGGATCTGTCATATACGGCTTTTATTATACAGAGATATATTCTTTCTATCCCCAGTTTTTGAGAGGGTTATCATTAAAAGATGTTGAATTTTATCAAATGCTTTTTCAGCATCAATTGAAATGATCGTATGGTTTTTGTTCTTCAGTGTGTTGATGCAATGTATAACATTGATTGACTTGCATATGTTGAACCATCCTTGCATCCCAGGAATAAATCTTACTTGGACATGATGAATGATCTTTCTAATGTATTGTTGAATTTGGTTTTCTAGTATTTTGTTGATAATTTTGCACCTATATTCATCAGTGATATTGGCTTGCAGTTTTCTTTTTTTGATGTGTCTTTGTCTGGTTGTGGTATCAAAGTAATACTGGCCTCGTAGAATAAATATGGAAGTATTTCCTCCTCCTCTATTTTTTAGAATAGTTTGAGTGGGATTGGTATTAGTTCTTCTTTAAATGTTTGGTAGAATTCAGCACTGAAGCTACTGGGTCCTCAGTTTTTCTTTTCTGGGAGGCTTTTTGCTATGGCTTCAATCTTGCTATTTGTTATTGGTCTGTTCAGGTTTTGAATTTCTTCCTGGTACAATCATGTTAGGTTGCATGTGTCTAGGAATTTGTCTGTTTTTCTAGATTTTCCAATTTTTTGGCATATAGTTGCTCATTGTGGCCACTAATAATCCTTTCAATTTCTGCAGCATCAGTTGCAATGTCTCCTTTTTCATGTGTGCTTTTATTTATTTGGATCTTCTCTCTTTTTTTCTTAGTTAGTCTAGCTAAAGATTTGTCAATTTTGTTTAAATTTTCAAAAAGCTGACTTTTTGTTTCATTGGTCTTGTGTATTGTTTTCTTCATTTCAAATTCATTTATTTCTGCTCTGATCTTTTTTTTCTACTACTAATTTTGGGTTTGTTTGCTCTTGCTTTTCTCCTTTAAAATGCACCATTCAATTATTTATTTGAACATTTTCTCCTTTTTTTGTAGACACTTATAGATTTAAACTTCTGTCTTAGTATTGTTTTTGCTGTGTTCCATAAGGTTTGACATGTTGTGTTTCCATTATCATTTGTTTCAAGAAAATTTTCAATTTCCTTCTTAATTTCCTCATTGAACCACATGTCATTCAGGAGCATATTGTTTAATTTTTATTTATTTGCATAGTTTCCCAAATTCCTCGTTATTGATTTCTGGTTTTGTTTCATTGTGATCCAAGAAGTTACTTGACATTATTTCAATTTTTAAAAATGTTTTAAGACTTATTTTGTGAAGTAACATATGGTCAATCCTTGAGAATGATCCATGTGCTGGGGAAAAGAATGTGTATTCTGCAGCTGTTGAATGAAATGTTTGTAAATATCTGTTGGATCCATTGGGTCTATAGTGCAGATTAAGTCACACATTTCTTTGTCAATATTCTGTGTGGAAGATCCTGTCCAGTGCTGAAAGTGGGATGTTGAAGTCTTCAGTTATTATTTTATTGGGTGCTATCTCTCTTTTTAGCTCTAATAATATTTCCTTTATATATCTGGGTGCTCCAGTGTTGGGTACATATTTGGTCTTATATAAGTATAGCTACTCCTGCTATTTTTTGGTTTCCATTGGCATGGAGTATGTTTTTCCATCCCTTTATTTTCAGCCCTTTTGTGTCTTTTTAGGCAATGTATGTTTCTTGTAGGCAACAGATCAATGGGTCTTTTTCTTTTTGATCCATTCAGCCATTCTATGTCTTTTGATTGGAGAGTTTAGTCCATTTATATTCAACTTTCTTATTGATAAATGAGGACTTACTCCTGCCATTTTGTTATTTGTTTTCTGGTTGTTTTGTAGTCTTCTCTTCTTTCTTTCTTTCCTTTCTGTCTTCCTTTAGTGAAGGTGATTCTCCCTGGTGATATGATTTATTTTCTTGCTTTTTACTTGTTTATCTGTTGTTTGTTTTTTGGTTTGGGGTTACCATGAGGCTTGCAAATACTATCTTAAAATCCATTATTTTAAGCTGATAACAACATAACACTGTTTGCATAAACAAGCAAGCAAAAAGAAAACTAATAAAAACTATGCCTTAACTTCATCCCACTGCTTTGTATCTTTTTGTTTACTTATTCTATTTATATCTTATTTGACTATGTATTAAAATCTTGTAGTTATTATTATTATTGGAGATGGAGTCTTGCTCTGTCCCCAGGCTGGAGTGCAATGGCACGATCTTGGCTCACTGCAAACTTCGCCTACGAGGTTCAAGCAATTCTCCTGCCTCAGCCTCCCGAGTAGCTGGGATTACAGGCACACACCACCATGCCCTGCTAATTTTTGTATTTTTTTTAGTAGAGACAGGGTTTCACCATGTTGGCCAGACTGATCTCGAACTCCTGATCTTGTGATCTGCCTGCCTTAGCCTCCCAAAATGCTGGGATTACAGGTGTGAGCCACCACACCCAACCGCAGTTATTATTTTTAATGGGTTCATCATTTAGTCTTTTTACTTAGGATAAGAGTAGTTTACACACCACAGTTACAGTATTATAATATTTTGTGTTTTTTCTGAGTACTTACTACAAGTGAGTTTTGTACCTTCATATGATTTCTTATATCTCTTTAACGTCCCTTTCTTCCTGATTGAAGTACCCCCTTAGCATTTCTTGTAGGACAGGTTTAGTGTTAATGAAATCCCTCAGCCTTTCTTTGTCTGGGAAAGTCTTTATTTCTTCTTCATGTTTGAAGGATATTTTTGCCAGATATACTATTCTAGGGTAAAAAACGTTTTCCTTCAGCCCTTTAAATATGTCATGCCACTGTCTCCTGGCCTGTCAGGTTTCCACTGAAAAGTCTGCTGCCAAATTATTGGAGCTCCATTGTATGTTATTTGTTTATGTTATTTTGCTGCTTTTAGGATTTTTTATTTATTCTTGATCTTTGGTGGTTTAGTTATTAAATGCTTCTCAGGTATTTCTTCAGGTATTTCTTCTTTGGGTTAAATCTCCTTCATGCTATATAACTTTCTTGTAGTTGGATATTGATATATCAAAGTATAAGATATTGGGGTTTGGGAAGTTCCCTGTTATTACTTCTTTGAATGATCTTTCTACCCCTATCTGTTTCTCTACCATCTCTTTAAGGCTAATAACTGTTAGATTTGCCCTTTTGAGGCTATTTTTCTAGTTTTTGTAGGCATGCTTCATTATTTTTATTCTTTTCTATTTTGTCTTCTCTGTCATTTCAACTAGCTTATCTTAAACTCACTAATAGCTCATGGATTCTTTCTTCTGTTTGATCAGTTCTGCTATTAGAAGACTTTAATGTATTCTTCAGTATGCCAATTGTGCTTTTCAGCTCCAGAATTTCTGCTTGATTTTTTAAAATTATTTCAATCTGTTTGTTACATTTATTTAATTGAATTCTGAATTCCTTCTCTGTGTTATATTGAATTTCTTTGAGTTTCCTCAAAACAGCTATTTGGAATTCTCTCTCTGAAAGGTCAAATATCTCAGTTTCTCCAGGATTTGTCCTTGGTGCTTTATTTAGTTCATTTTGTGAGGTCATCTTTTTCCTGGAATGCCTTTATACTTGTAGATGTTCATCTGTATCTGGGCATTGAGGAGTTGATATTTATATTAGTCTTCACTGTCTGGGCTTATTTGTAGCCGTCTCTGTTGGTGAAGCTTTTTAGACATTTGAAATTACTTGACTGTTGTGATCTGAGTTGCGTCTGCTTTAGGGGGTACCCCAAGCCCAGTAATACTGTGATTGTTACACACTTGTACAGGAGCTGCCTTGATGGTCTTGGACAAGATCTAGAAGAATTCTCTGAATTATCAGGCAGAGAATCTTGTTCTCTTTCCTTACTTTCTCCCAAATGAACAGGGTCTCTCTCTCTTTCTTTTCTAATCCACTTAAAACTGGGGGGTGGAGTGACACAAGCCCCCCTGTGGCCACCAGCACTATGACTGTACTTGGTCAGACCTGAATCCTGTACAGCACTGGGTGTTGCCCAAGGCCTGTGGTAACCGATTCCTGCTACTGCCTATGTTTGCTCAAGGTCCCGGAGGTCTACAATCAGCAGGTGGTGAAGTCAGCCAGTCTTGTATTCTTCCTTTCAGGGCAAGGAGTTACCCTTGTCCCCTCGTGAGTCCAGAAGTGTCACCTGGGAGCCAGGGACTAGATTCAAAAACCTTAGATGTCTACTTGGTATTGTTTTGTGCTGCAGTTTAGCTGGCACTCAAACCAAAAGATGCATTTCTTCCAACTCTCCTGTCTCCTTTAGAAGGCAAAGGAGCCTCATCGTATTGCTATCACCACCACAGGTCCATGGGGAGTACTGCCAGACTACTGCTGATGTTCCCTGAAGGCCTAAGGGCTCTTGCATCAACTTGTGGAAAATGCTTGCTGGCCTGAGACTCACCTTTCAGGGCAGTGGGCTCCCCTCTGACCCATGGTAGGTTCAAAAGTGCTGTCCAAGAGCCAAATTCTGGAATTGAGTACTCTCAGAACCCACTTGGTGCTCTACTCTCCTGTGGCTGAGCTAGTACCTAAGTGCAAGGCAAAGTCCCCTTTACTTTGCCCTCTGTTTTTCTGAAAACCCATAGTCACCAAAGATGGGAATATTTTGAGTCTCACCTGAAGCCAGCAATTCTCAGAGCCTCACCCAAGGCCCTCAACATAGTACCTGTGTATCACTGCTGGTTTTTCAGGGACCAGGGGCCCTTCAGTTAGCAGGTGATAAATTCTTCCAATTCTGGGTCCTTCCTTTCAAGGTAGTGGGTTGCCTTCTGGCACAGAGTGTGCCTAGAAATGTCCTCTGGGGGCTAGGACATGGAAAGAGGGCTTTACAACTTTAACCTGTGCCCTATCCTGTTGTGGTTGAGCTGGTATCCAGGATGAAGACAAAGTTCTCCCCACTCTACCCTCTCCTCTCCTCAAGTGGAATGAATAGGTCTCATTTGGAGCCATGAGCTGTGCAGCCTGGAGTTAGGGGAGGGTTCATGTTAGCACTCCTTCTGAAGCCCCAGCTGGTGTCTTGTTAGCTCATGTGCCCCACTAGTTCACTGTTTCTGGGCCCAGTTCAGCACTAAGACTTGGGTAAAAGTTGCAGTCTTTGTGACCTAGACTGCCTTTCAAGTTTACTAGGGCCCCATAGCACCTTAGCCTGCAGTGGTGAGGTTTATAGGAACTCAAGTTCTGACCACTGCAACTGGTGATTCCTTTCTGGCTAGGGCTGGTTTAAGTGCTCCCTCCAGGGGAGGACATGAGCTGAGTCTGGTCTGGTTTTCCTTTCTGCTATATAACAGGACAGCCCTGAGTTCAGTGCCTGCTAATTGCTGCTCTGTCCCTTTGACAGCACAAAAAAACACACTTTGCACCATGCTACCACTGTAGGTGAAGTAGGGTATGTGTGGTGGGTGATTCAAGACTGCTTTTCTATCTCTTCATTGTGTCTTTCAGCGATATGAAGTTAAAACGAGGTACTGTGAGTGCTCACCTGATGAAGGTGTTTTTCTTGTGTAGATAGTTGTTAAATTGGTGTCCTTGTGAGGGGGACAATTAGGGGAGCCTTCTATTCCACCATGTTGCTCTGCCTCCCTCCTCCCATAACATGTTTTAGGAAGCACACCTTCCACTTGGCTGCTTTGTGTCCTTGTAAAATGAGCATAAATCTTTTTGTTGTGTGTAAATAAGACAAGTTTTTGGAACTTCTGTTGGAAATTCGATAAAAGATAACTTATTTTCACCTTGGGGTAGCTGAGAGAATGTGAATTGGAAGAGGATGATAGACATCTTACCATCAATAGGATGCCAAAAGAGAGGAAAGCTGAGACTAAAGAGAAACTGAAATCAAATGATATCATTTGAGTTCTTGGATACAGCCATATATGATTCACTAATCTTAAAATACTTTGTTCAACAACCAACATATTTCCTTTTTAGGTTAAATTATTTTGAGTTGGATTTTCTGTTACTTAACTACTTAAGTTCTGCAGATACCAAAAGATAGTGATGTGTCAAAGGTCACATAATAAGAGTGGGAAAAAATGGTGAGATAGATTTCGAATCAACATAAAAATCACTTCACAACTAGAACTGGTCAATATCATGATATAGTTAACTCATAACTAGTTTTGTTCAAGAGTAAATCCTAAATCAGATGAAAGTAAGATATGAGTAATCTTTTTTTAAATTTCTTTACGCTCTTTTAAATTTGTTTTTATTTAAAATAAAACAAAATTTATTTTTATTGAGGTAAAATATGCATACATAATTTACCATCTTTACCACTTCTAATTGTACAGTTCAGTGGTAATAAATTCACTCTCCTAAAGTCTTATTTTAGAATTGGGTTAGGCTGGGCATTGTGGTTCATGCTTGTAATCCCAGCACTTTGGGAGACCAAGTTGGGTGGATTACTTGAGCTCAAGAGTCTGATACCAGCCTGGACAACATGGTGGAACCCTGTCTCTACTAAAAATACAAAAGTTAGTAGGGCATGATGGTGTGTGCTGTAGTCCCAGCTACTTGGGAGGCTGAGGTGGGAGCATCACTTGAACCTGAGGGGTAAGTGTTGCAGTGAACCAAGATCAGCAAGATTGGGCAACTGCACTCCAGACTGGGTGACAGAGCAAGACCCTGTCAAAAAACAAAATAAAACAAAACAAAACAAACAAAAAAAAAGGGTTAGGTGGTAGAAATTTTAGGAAGTTTATCTGGATCTCTTGGGAATAGCATAGACCCCCACATGAGCATATACATGAATATTTTTCAATGATGTTTTAAAGGTTTTATTATCTTGCTTCTTTTTACTAACATGTATTTACTTTTCTCAATACTTTATATTAAATATTTTCAAACAACCAGAAAAACTGAAATAATACAAATAAATCCAACACTTAGATTTACCATTTATTATCATTTTGTCACATTTGTTTTCTCTCCCCCACCTTCTCTGTTTCACTGTCTTTCCAAATATGGTACATTTTTATCTGTTGAATCATTTAGAGGTAAGCTGAAAGCATAACTTAACTTTTTCCCTAAATACTTCCACAGGTTTATCCTAAGAATAAAGTCACTCTCTTCCATAATCACAATGTAATTGTAATATCTAGACTATACTCTGGTTTCTTTTCAGATCATATAAATCTTTTACGTTTTATTATACCTAGACCTTTTAACATCTATTCAGCAATATTATCTAACATTCTGTCCATGTTTTATTTCCCCAATTGTTCCAAAAATGTTCCAGTAGATACTATGCTTTTCAAATCCAGTATTCAATTGATTTTCATACAATTGGATTCAGTTGTGTGTCTTTATTTCATCTATATCTATCTATCTATCTATCTATCTATTTCATCTATATCTATCTATCTATCTATCTATCTATCTATCTATCTATCTATCTTTCTATCTACCTATTCAAGCCTGATAATTGTCATGTTTTATATGGAGAGTTTCCTCCTTTTACATTTGTGGCTTCAATTTGATTTATTTTTTAATCTTTTGCTATGACTGCTATTTGTTCTGCTTATTCTTTTTAATTTCTTTTCCTTTTTGACTTTTGTAATGAATTAATTTTTGTTTTGTCTTTTTCTATTTCCATTTCCTCATTCTCCAATAGTTTATTTTAGGTAGTGTAATGTTCCATTGTAGAATTCCCTTTTTTAAGTAATTTTTACTCATTTGCTGAGACTCCCTATCTCTTTATTTATTATGAGCATACTTTACTTTATGTCTTTGGGCATAGTTAGAATAGCTGCTTTAAAATCTTTCCTATTTTCTGAGGTTTTCCTTCCTTGCTTTCCAGTTTCCCCATGGATTAGTCTGTATTTAGTCTGCTATAAAGAACTACCTGAGAGTGGGTAAGTTATAAAGAAAAGAGGTTTAATTAACTCACAGTTTTGCATGACTGGGGAGGCCTCAGGAAACTTACAATCATGGCTGACGGGGAAACAAGGCATGTCTTATATGTTGGCAAGAGAGAAAGCAAGAGAGGATGTGCCACACTTTTAGACTGTCAGATCTCATGATAACTCAGCCACTATTATGAGAACAGGTTGGGGAAAATCCACCCCCATGGTTCAATCACCTCCCCACAGGTCTCTTCCTTGACACATGTGGATTGCAACTCAAGATGAAATTTGGGTGGAGACACAGAGCCAAACCATATAATTCTGCCCAGCCCCTTCCAAATATTATGTCATTCTCACATTTAAAAATGAATCATGCTTTCCCAACAGTCCCCCAAAGTCTTAACTTCTTCCAGCATTAACTCAAAAGTCCAAGTCCAAAGTCTCATCTGAGACAAGGTGATTCCCTTCCACCTATGTGCCTATAAAATTAAAAGCACTTGGTACTTCCAAGATACAGTGGGGGCACAGGCATTGGGTAAATGCTCCTGTTCCAAATGGGAGAAATTGACCAAAACAAAGGGGCTACAGGCCCCATACAAATATGAAACCCATCAGGGCAGTGATTAAATCTTAAAGCTCCAAAATAATCTCCTTTCACTTCATGTCTCACATCCAGGACATGCTGGTGCAAGAGGTGGGCTCTCAAGGCCTTGGGAAGCTCTGTTCCTGTGCCTCTGCAGAGTATAGCCCCCTCTGGGCTGCTTTCACAGGCTGTCATTGAGTGCCTGTGGCTTTTCTAGGTGTCTGATGCAAGCTGTCAGTGTATCTACCATTCTGGGGTCTGGAAGATGGTGACCCTCTTCTCATAGTTCCACTAGGCAGTGCCCCAGTGGGGACTCTTTGTGGGAGCTCCAATTCCACATTTCCCCTCTGCACTCCCCTATTATAGGTTCTCCATTAGGGCTCCCCACCTGCAACAGACTTCTGCCTAGACATCCTGGTGTTTCAATACATCCTCTGAAATCTAGATGGAGGCTCCCAAAGCTCAACTCTTGTCTTCTGCACACCTGCAGGCCCAATTGCTTATGGAAGTCACCAAGGCATGGGTCTTGCACCCTCTGAAGCCACGGCCCAAGTTGTACCTTATTCCCTCTGGCCATGGCTGGAGCTGAAGTGGCTGGGGCACAGCAAACTGTATCCTGAGACTGAGCAGAGCATCTGGGCCCTGGGCTAAGCCCATGAAACTATTTTTCCCTCCTAGACCTCTGGGTCTGTGATATGAAGGGGCTGCCATAAAGATTTCTGGAATGCCATGGAGACATTTTCCCCATTGTCTTGGCTATTAACATTTGGCTTCTTGTCCTTGTTACTTATGCAAATTTCTGCAGCCTGCTTGGGCTTGAATTCTTCCCTGGAAAATGAGTTTTTGTTTTCTACCTGTATTAGTCTGTTTTCACACTGCTGATAAAAACACACCTTAGTCTGAGTAATTTACAAAAGGAAGAGGTTTATTGGACTTACAGTTCCATGTGGCTGGGGAGGCCTCACAATCCTGGTAGAAGGCAAAGAGAAGCAAGTCATGTCTTACATGGATGGCAGTAGGCAAAGAAAAAGAGCTTGTGCCAGGGAACTCCCCGTTATAATACCATCAGATCGCATAAGACCCATTCACTATCATGAGAACAGCATGGGAAAGACACACTCTCATGATTCAATTATCTCCCACCAGGTACCTCCCACGACATGTGGGAATTCAAGATTAGATTTGGGTGGGGACAAAGCCAAACCATATCATACCATATGGTCAGGCTGCAAACTTTCCAAATTTTTATGCTCTGCTTTCTCCTTCCCTTTTAAACATAAGTTCCAATTTCAGACCATCTCTTTGTGAACACATGAATGTATGCTTTCACAAAAAGCCAGGTCACTTCTTCTTCTTTGTTTTTTTTCTTTTTTAAAGATGGAGTTTTGCTTTTGTTGCCCAGGCTGGAGTGCAATGGCATGATCTTGGCTCAGTGCAATCTCCGCCTCCTGGGTTCAAGCCATTCTCCTGCCTCAGCCTCCCGAGTAGCTGAAACAGGTGCCCACCACCATGCCCAGCTAATTTTTGTGTTTTTAGTAGAGATGAGGTTTCATCATGTTGGCCAGGCTGGTCTCTAATTCCTGACCTCAGGTGATCCACCTGACTCAGCCTCCTGAAGTGCTGGGATTACAGACCTGAGCCACTGCATCCAGCCCATGTCACTTCTTGAATGCTTTGCTGCTTAGAAATTTCCTCTCCCAGAGAGCCTAAATAATCTCTCTCAAGTTCAAAGTTCCACAGATCTCTAGGGCAGGGACAAATTGCCACCAGTCTCTTTCCTAAAGCATAGCAAGAGTAACTTTACTCCAGTTCTCAATAAGTTCCTCATCTACATGTGAGACAATCTCAGCCTGGACTTTATTGTCCATATCACTATTAGCATTTTGGTCAAAACCATTCAACAAGCCTCTAGAAAATTCCAAACTTTCCCATATATTCTTATCTTCTCCTGATCCCTCCAAACTGCTCCAGCCTCTGCTCATTACCCAGTTCCAAAATCATTTTCACATTTTCAGGTAAATTTATAGCAGTGCCCCAAACTCCCACTACCATTTTTCTGTATTAGTCCATTTTTATACTGCTATAAAGAACTACCTGAGACTGGGTAATTTATAAACAGAAGAGGTTTAATTGACTCACAGTTCCACATGGCTAGGGAGACCTCAGGAAACTTACAATCATGGCAGAAGGGAAAGCAAGTCAAGTCTTACACAGCAGCAAGAGAGAGAGAAAGGGGAAAGTGCCACACTTTTAAACCAGCAGATCTCATGGGAACTCACTCACTAGCACCAGGACAGCATCAGAAAAACCCACCCCCATGATCCAATCACCTCCCACCAGGTCTCTCCTCTGACATGTGGGGATTACAATTCAAGATGAGATTTGAGTGGGGACACAGAGCCAAACCATATCACCCAGTGACCTGTTCTCTGGTTTGTCAAGAAAGTAGGACTTTAGGTTTTCCATAAAGAGCTGTAGCCCTATAGCACAATTCAGATTGAATTCTGCCAACAAAGAAAAGCTCTTAAAAGGGAAAACTCACCCATGCTCTTTGATTCTTTAAAATGTCAGCTAAGCTTCAGTATCTGCTTGCTTTTAGTCCTCTTCAATGCTTTCAGATAGTTTTTTTGCTTATTTATTTGCTTACTGACTGGCTGGCTTAATTTTTGTCCAGATTATATGGTTTGGCTCTGTGTCCCCACCCAAATCTCATCTCAAATTGTAATCCTCACGTGTTGAGGTATCGAGGGAGGGACCTGGTGGTAGGTGATTGGATCATGGGGGCGCTTTACCCCATGCTGTTCCTGTGATAGTGAGAGAGTTCTCATAAGAACTAATGGCTTTAAAAGTTTTTGGGAGATCCCCCTTTGCTTTCTCTCCCTCTCCTGCTGCCATGTAAGATGTACCTTGCTTCCCCTTTGCCTTCTGCCATAATTATAAGTTTCCTGAGACCTCCTCAGCCATGCAGAACTGTGAGTCAATTAAACCTCTTTCGTTTATAAATTACACAGTCTAGGTAGTGTTTCACACTGCTTTATAGCAGTGTGAAAACCGATTAACACACCAGGAATTATAGTCGTAATCTGTGGGAGGATTGGTCTGATAGGTGTTATCAAGACTTTACTAGAAGTAAAATGTACATTGCTCTAGTTTAGAAGCTATATTTCCTATTCTATTCTTTTATTCTTTATATTAAGTATCATAGCATACATTTTAATTTTATAGAATCTGACGTTAATAAACAAATGATCTTTCTCTTGAATAGGAAAAAGTTGTTTACTTTAAAATCTCAGTGATCTCAAACCCCACCTTAGCCTTGTTAATCAGGACTTTAATTATATTGTATTATTAGTTTGGACTTAATAGGTTTTATTTATGAAGTTAGTGTGTAATTTCATGAACATACAGATAATTGCCCTTATAATTAATATTTTCATTGTATTATTTCTTGTTTTTGACTAAATAAAGTATTTGATTTTATATTGGGTTATTTATATTTCTTTTTCATATTTAGGCTTTCTTAGTATATTTAGGTAATTTATATTTTTCATAAATTTAAACATTTTTTAAGATTCTGTATTTTCTGAATCATATCCTCAGTGAATAGTGATAGAACTGTCTTCTTAATTATTATTAATTATTTTGTTTCTTATCTTATTGCCCTTGCTAGAACTTTACAAACAAGCTTAAAAAATAATAAAGCAACATTTCTCACCTTGTTCCTGACTTTGAAAGAATGGTTCTACTTTTATGCTAGATTGTGCTGCTTAAAAAAGTTATCTTTTATCATAAAAAAATTCTGGTTATAGTAGTAATATTAACTTTTAATTGAATTATATAAAGTGTCATTTCTGCCACTAAAATAAATATAATATTTTCTCTTTTGGCCTACTGATATATCATACTAAAGCTATAGGATTGTTGCTATTGGTGCTGGTGTTTTTTGTTTTTGTTGTCTGTTTTTTTTTTTTTTTCTTAAACAACAGACTTTTATTTCTCATAGTTCTGGAGGTTGACATGGTCAGGTTCTGGTGAGGACCCTCTTCCTGGCTTGTAGACAGCTACTTTCTGGCTGTATCTTTGCATGCTGGAGAGAGCTTGGTTTTTATATTCTAGTAAATTGTATTGCTGGGTTAAAGCTTACCTGGTTTTGTTGGATTCAATTTTATTTGGATTCTTCCAGATGACTCAATTTAACTGGGATGCATTGCATAATATTTCATGGCATGTAACTATTATTTTCTCATGGAAAGTGTATTTTTCTAAAATTTCTAATAACTCATTGGAAAACACAATGGCCCTTGCTAAATTCTCTCACCCAGCTCTCTGCCATTTTCTCAGGTTATTGGTTTATTTAGACTATATTTTTTCTTGAGTATGTTTTGGTAATTTTTTTTATTAAAAATATTCTTGTCTTTGACACTAACATTTGTTTGCCTCAATGGATGCATCAGATTCTTATCATTTATTTACTCTAATATCTGATGTTATATAACTGATCAGTTCTATTTGTCTTTATATTTATGTTGTTCTCTTCCCACCATTTATGTTTGCTTTGCTTTTATTTTAATTCATTAGTTTCTACTTTTATATGCTTCATCCTTTTTTCTTTATGCTTAATTTGTTGTGCTTAATACTAACTTCTTGATATAAATACTTAGGTATTTTTTATTCTTTCTTGTTCAGTAAAACCATACATTGATGTGACGTTGCCTGATAAGAAAGCTTTACCTACAGATAATAACCTTAGATTGGTAGCATCCTCACTCTCATTATTTTCCAGTTTTTGCTTTCTCTTTCTTCAAAGAGTTATTTGGAATATTTTAGTGTCAACTTGTTCAAATTCTCATTGGTGTGCATTTAGATTATAGGGTGATAAAATAATATCTTCTATGAGCTTTGGATAAATTATTTCACAAATAGATTGAACTGAAATTTATCAAACATGCCATAGTTTTTTGGTACTTTATGTAATCTTAATCTAGTAAAATAATCTTGCTCTCCAAACACAAGCCTCTTGAAGTCTCTCCCTGTGTGCCTTTTCATATGCTGGGTGAATTCCTCCAAGAATGGTAGTCCCTCTTGTTTCCCATTAAAAATCTACCCATCTATTTGGGAAAATTTAAAATGGTATTTCCTTCTTGAATTCTTTGCTGGTTACTTCAGTTGAATAAAGTCTTCCTAACATCTGAGCAATTTGTTAATTATTTACTCTGATCATGGCACTTACCATGTCTTATTTTATAGTTTTCCACTTGGTTAATTTTAGTATTTCTTCAGGGCACAATAAAATATAAAGAGAGAGAGGTGTTACATAATAAGCCCTCAGATATTTGTCGGGTCAGATTCAATTGAATTCAGTTTCCAAAATAGAAAATCATTGTTCCCAACAGGAATAATTTCCCCACAGTGGACTGCCTGGAATATAGACCCTGGGCTTGTGGATTTAGCAAGTTAAATTGGATCAATACAAAATTGTTCTCCACACAAGTGGAAACTGTTGCTGTTAATAATGAATAGAACTACTGGGTAAAGAGAAATGGATGCCATCTGCTTCAAGTTACCTTCTACCTCCTCCTTTGCCTTTTTCTGGATCTTGAAAATCCCCATGTATCTCTGCTTTTTCTACAGTAAACCTTCCCTGGAGAGACTCCATTCTGAAGGCAATTTTCCAAGACCATTTGCAGAATTGGCTGGGCCTTCTGCTGAGACATAAAAGGGCATTTATTCTGGGACTTAAAAATGGAGTTGGAGGGTTGGAGGAGACATTGCTGAACTTGTTTCAGAAATAGGTACTATATGCATCAGTTATATTGCTTCATGTATAAATGCTAAACCTAATATGTTCCACTTAAAGAATATGCATTTGCATGTGTGCATGTGTACACTTTGAGTTTCGTGTTGTTTACCTAAGTTTCTGGAGATATTTTAACACTTCCACGTGCAAGCTAGGGATTTAGTGCTGTGTTCTCAGACACATAGTGACTGTAGAAGCAGATATTTGTGTTCTAATGCTAGATTGTATGCCAAAATCATAATACCCTGCATTCTAGAAACATACAGTGTAATAGAATTTTGAGCCATATGGTGAAAAATTTAGAAGTATTATTCTCTATATGTATATACTACGTTTAACATCAATGAATGTGATTTTTTGTCAACTTTTGACAAGGCCAGGCAATTTTATTTGAGCCCTAGGAGGGTTACTATAATTTAGAAAGGCTCTTACCTTCCACTCTATAATTTTAAGTCTCGGACTTAGGATGTAGTAGAACTAATCTCATAGGCTGACCATCATACATACTGTCCAAACTGGGACAAATTTGAGAGTGAAATGAGGTGCTGTCAACCAATATCTACAAGTGTAAATCCATCCACCATGGGGAAAAGTGACATATGATCATGCTATATTTTAAGTAATAAAGAAAATACACTTTATTTCTGAACATGTGTAGGTGTTGGCCACATTTCTGATGCATCCATGGAAGCTTGTATTCTAGGCATGAAATAACAAATATTTGGCACTCATGATAACGTTTCCCCTCTCTCATATTCATAGCATATTTAATTAATCAAATCATGATTTCACATTGATCTTTGGTATGGTATCAGATTCCTTCTCAACACAGCTCTTCAGATGGCCAATAACTCTTATGAAGCTTGACTCATATTAGGCTGGTGCAAAAGTAATTGGTTTTGCCATTACTTTCAACCACAATTATTTTTGCACCAACCTTTATAAAATTGAACTTATTACTTCTGTGCTCAAATGAATTCGCTATGACATTACATGGCTACTTTTTATTTATTTTTATTTTTGGGGAAGGGGCAAATGTAGAGATTAACAAAACCTCTTTCTTTGCTAGTTAGAGCTTGGTGGTCCAGAGAATGTTTGCAGTGATTCAATAACATCAGCTATAAGTTATCATTATGGTAACTTACTAGACAACGACCAAGTAAGTCAATGAGAAGGGCTACAGAAAGCAGCCCAGTAGTTTGGCCTATACTAGATTATGGGTTTGAGAATACCCTTGAGTAGGCCAGAGTAAGTTTAGGGGACTATTAGGTTGGTGCAAAAGTAATTGCGGTTTTTGCCATTAAAAGCAATGGCAAAAACCGCAATTACTTTTGCACCAACCCAACAGAATGGTTCCAATTGCACCTCCTCTCTTCTTTGGTTCCCTTCCATGAGGGCTATACTTAGACAAGGATCAAAAGCAAAACAGTGACCAAATTAAAGTTTATCAAAATTTGACAAATGCTCGAAAACATCCCCTCTTAAAATGCAGCTTCTTTGTTTAAAAAATTAGGAGCTTTCTTTAGGCCATGTGGCAGAACTAGGGCCTCTTACTTCCCTCTGTGAAATGCTAAATGGCAAGCATACATGTCAGTACCAATCCTGCCCAATCATAGGGAAAGCAGAGAGCTGGACATGCAGGTAGGGCCTGTCAGGCCTATTTACTACATAAAAAGACACAAAGATGAAGCTTTCCCTTGCCTTTGGATCTATCAGGCACAGGATAAGCATCTACTGGAAGATGAAGGCCCAAGAATATCCTGGGCTCTGAATACCCAGTTTAAAGGATTTTCTTCTTCTGGAGATAGAGAGGAGTTAATAAAAAATAAGAAAGAGGGACAGAATTAATGTGAGTGTGCCTAATCTCAAGGATAGAGTTGTAATTATGAAGAAAAGAGTATAATTGTCCCTCTTCTCCAAAAAAGACAATGACTTATTCCAAGCCCTGACAAATGTTGGGGGCATGATGGCTGGTCTATGCCCTGCCTGATCAATGTTGGCTCAGGATCTCATGAGTGTCTACTGGTTGGAGCAGTAGTGACTCCAGCTCTAAAAATTTGGGAGCAGAAGATCCTGGGGAAATTAGGTAGGACTCACATAAACAAACATTGCAAGTTTACAATTAGATCCACTTGGCCATTATTAATGTGGCATTAAAGCAATCCTGTTTGAATCTCAGTTTCTCTTCTCCATGATAAAGGGGAGCCACATCTTAAGCTTGGCAAAATGCTTCTTTAAGAGGTACTATAGCTCTTTGATAAGCTGTGCTCACCACCATGACTAAGATTAGTGCCATGCTGTGTGTTCCGTACTCAATAGGAAGTGTTGAGATACCTCCCAATATATTCATTTGTGGCTCTTTATATTGCTCTACTGGGACTTCCCATATTTGGATCAATCTGCTCTCTGCTTCTCTGACCCTGAACTGCTGAGCCAGGATTGCTGAAGAATTGAGTGTGGCCAAAACCAAGAATTTGAGTGTCATTGGGCCATTTAGAGATTCTGCTCCTAGTTATCCTTCAATGTGATTCAATTTCTATCTCTCCCCAGTCAGCTCCCTGTCTCATGCTTCCAGCGATGTTGTCCCTCCCCAGAAACTCATATTCGGAGTCAACTTGTGGTGCCCTCTCTCCTAAGCACTGGCCTTAGCAGCAAGCTTTCCACTAGGGATAGAATGTGGGTTTTGTTTAACTGATATCTCTGGGAATTAGCTGTGTAAAATAATAAAGTGAGGAAAACCATGTGACCATGTCTGGCCTGGGTGTGGAAGTGCACACTAATTGATTAAAAAGTCTTTGTCAATCCCTGTTTAGAAACAAGGAGTAGTGTCATAAGTGCCAGGGATTTAACATCCTTATCCTGGGACCATCAAATGACTCTATCACCCTGTCATAGGGAGCTCTAGCATAAACATGTCGGACTGAGACTCCAGGTGTGTTGAAACCTGAACAACAAAGGCAGTCAAGAGTTCTGAGCCATTGGTCTGCAGGAATTATCCCATCATGGGCAGCTGGCTAGTCCCATACAGACAGATTAGAGACTGAAAACCTGGCTTGTAGAGGTTTCAAAAGCTGGGAAAGACTATGAGTATGAAGACGCTGGTGTACTGAGAATATATTCCAGGAACATGCAGACATCAGAAAGACTCCAGATACCAGCACTGACATCTAGGTAAGTTGCTTATTCATGAGGAAGTTAGGGGCGTGGGGAGAACCTAAATGTTGGAGAAACTGTCTGCAAGGTAAAGGCAGAAGAGCTACTGTTCAGACCAGGATTTCAGATCCACAGAGGAACAGGATAATTTGGTTGGAAAACGAAGTCTCAGATTCAAGTGGCCTTAACAGATTTAAGGAAAACGTGTGTCTGACACCAGTATCCTGTAACAGTCAGACTGTCTCACCTGGCTTAAGACAAAATCAGGCCAAATCTACAGGTGAAGACATTTGCTTAGAAAAGTAACCCTTGCAATCTAGGTTCTAGAAGATTCCACAAAAATGGCACCTCAACCCTTACTCTTAACCTTGAAGATCATATACAATATCTTGAAGATATACAGCTGTCTCCTTATTCAGTTGGTCATTTTAAACCTTATTAATTTGGCTGTGTGTTAAAATGGAATCTTTGGATAAACCGATGAGATCTCTAATCTCTGTTTGTTTTTTCCTCCAGAAAAATTAAGAACTGAGCATTAGAGAAAAGTAGAATGGATGATTTTCCTCTGCACAATTTCCCATTGGCCCCACTGCCTCGCTTATAGTTTCACCTTGTACAGTGGTCATAAAGTCAAACAGTCCCCATGGCATCCTGAAAAAGATCGTTCTTTTCCTATCAAACCTAGATCCTATTGACACTCAGATCCTTAGATTCATCCCTGAATTACCATCTTTGAACTGAGGACTTCTTAGACAACCTAGGGGTTTCCTGGGGGTTTTCATCCCTTTTTTAAATATCGATTTTGGAATTTTAAACTAGGTTTGTGCCTCTGATCTTTTATCAGCATCTGTAAAATCCTTTATTTCCCACAAGTTTGACAGAAGCTGACTGTTGGAGATATAAAAGGATCAGGACAGAAGGCCTTAAAACAAGTTAGCCAGAAGTTTATCTCCAGAGAAGTCTGAGGCAGATATCTAAAGTGTTACAATGCATGGGAACCAGATGGAATTTGGTTCACGGTGCCTTATAGAAAGTACGGAAAGAAATAACTGCAGAAAGAGTGTGTAAAAAACTCATTCCTGATTTCTCCTTTGCCCTCATAGCTGTCACGACTTGATAATATCTGGCTCTCCAGAAACCACGCTATGAAAAAGAGGGAGCAGGAATATACCCCAGTGGCAGATCTAAGAGGTGTTTACATTTGACTTTGAAATATTTTCTTGCACTGATGTCTGAATATGTCAGATAGCCTAAGAATATAATTTATAATTAAAAGAGCCAAAAAAGGATACCATTGTCCTAACTATTTGAACCACTATTCACCTCCTGTCTGTTCTACAAAGCAAACTGAATAATATGTTATCAAACTATGCAAAGGATGAATTCAGGAAGGTTGAAGATGCCTTTGTCACCAGTTCTCTCTCTTGTTCTCTATAACAGTCATTGCTGGTGCCTTCCTCATATCTCCTAGGTATTTGCTTTTTCTACTAAAGGCTTCTTCCTGAAAACACCTGCAACAGATGTTTTAGAGAGCTTGGGAGTGGGCTTAACCCCCCATATAAGACAGGCTGCAAGTGTCAAGGAATCAATGACCCTTGTAACAGTCTTCAATCAATGACAGATTGAAGTTGGTAGAAAAATAGCTCAGCTACCTCACCCTTTTGATAACATCTCTGTACTGTAACCATCAACAGATATCCCTCATGAGGTTGAGCCCTAGTTACTCAACTAGGATAATGAGCAGTAATGGACTCAATTGTGCATCCCGTACTGTCTTATTTCCTTTCTTTTCTCATTTCCTTGCTGTGCTTTCTGAGATCATCTCCCAAATAAGCTACTCACCTTCACATCCTTCACTCAATGTTTATTCTAGGGAAACCACCTTGAGGCTCTGCCTGTCTCAACTTGTTGTGGGCATCAAAGAGCAGTTAGAGGCTATTGATATATTAGAGGTAAACTACCTTCCTGAGATTAAATAGTTGAATATGGTAAAGCCTTCTTCAGAATAGAAATATCGTACTATTGTAAGATTATCAGCATACATATTATGTGTGCAAAGAAGGCAACATGCTTATTTATTAGCAATTAAAGGTCCTAGATATTATATTTAGATAGATGTATACAAAGGCAGATAATGTATTATTTATTTACATATAATCATTATTTTTTCTTAATGAATGTGTGTCAGTTATTTTTAAAGATGCAATAAAAAACAATAATTAAGTCAATGGAAGCCATTGGTTAGCAATTTGAAGGATAGAATCTGAGTCCTACTCAGAACTATATATCATAAAGTATTGGCAATTGCAATAGGTGAGCTGTAAATGTAGTTATTCCTAAGCTTCCTAGAGAAGAAAACACTAAAGAAAACAAGCTTTCTTAAAAGCCGACAAAATTAGGAACATAGTTGTATATGGTTTTATAATTATATGCTTTATATTTATTATTGTGTATTATTTACAATCATCTCAGTTACTTAGATTTCTGGCTCAATTTTTGGTGCCCTTCAAAATATCTGTATTGTTACATTTTTGACTTCCTTATTTAGGGTCAGTTCCTCCTCTTTCTCCACTGGGTAAACAAAGATTTCCCCAATTTTAGGACTTATTTTGTTTGTTTCCATAGTTACTGAGCATGTACACATATATACACTTACCACATGCACACAAATACTCAATGACTTTTGATAATTTTGAGATAAATATCTTGCATGTAGTTTTTCATCTACCACATTCAAAAATAAATATTTTATTCTTAAAACATGAAAAAAATTTATTGTTTTAGACAAAGAGGCCACTTTTGGAAAATAATACTTTTTTTTAGTTGAATCAGGTGAAGACAGAGTTAAAATCACATAGGATTTGCATTTTTAAAAAAGGAAAGCACTAGGATTGTTGGCCCTGGAGTAACTATTTACACTGAACAGAGGTTTGGCTTTTTACATAACATCAATACAATGCATTTTCCAAAGTCTGAGAAATAACAAGGTTCTGTCTCGAATGCTTCACAGAGGAGGTTCAGATTTTGGGACAAGTGTAACCACCCAGGGTCGGATTGCATGTGACTCTGAAGCTGATGAACTTCCATGGCCCTCATTAAAAATGAATATTTTTAAGAGTATAGTTTCTTTAAACACATTCTGATTATTTTAAAAAATGGTTTACTTCTTCCTTTAACAATGCCAGATCTTTGGTTTGAGTAGTCATTATTAAGGCAGGTTCTGGGGAGATGTATCAATCATCAAAGTTAGAAAATTGTAGAGTAGGTCTGTTCTAAAAACTAATAATTGGTGTCTTCTAAATTAATAAATTATTCTTAGTTCAAACAACTCTATGCCCAAAGGACAAACCAAATATGAATTTCAATAACTAGTGAATATAAGGATCAGAAATCTTTTGCAATATCTTCTGGGAATGAATATTTTTTGTCAAATTTAATGTGTTCTCTCTTGTTAAAATCTAAAGTTTAAGATGTAAGCTCTCAAAATAATCTAAGATAGGAGTTTTCAAACTTGAATTGGGCATGCAGATAGATTATCTTATCCCTGGGATAAGATAACTCAGGTATTTTCTATGGATGTCTACCTCACACGAGGAAGAGCTGATTTGTCTTCAATGTAGTGTGAATTAAGCTTGAAGAGGTCAACTGAACAGACATTTTAGAACAAGCATGCAAGTCCTCAGCCAGGTATCAATCAGGCATCTCATTCTCAGAACCTATGTTCCTCCATGAGTTCATCAGATCGTTTCCCCCTCCACTGCACCCAAGGACCACAGATAGCACTCAGTTTCAAATAGTTAAACAAGTAACATCAAATCTTTCTAGCCAAATCAACATTGAACTGACAATGTATAAAATCAAATCCTCCCAATCTACGAAGTTTGAGAATCTTGGATTACAATAACTACAGAAGTGAAAACTTTTCATTTGTATACTAATGACATGAGTCTTTAGTAATATTTTCCCATGCTTTCTGGCATATTTTCTGCTTACTCTTGTGCTATGGTTTGAGTGTTTGTGCCTTCCAAAACTCATGTTGAAATTTAATTGCCATTGTAACAGTGTTAAGAGGCGGGACCTTTAACAGGTGATCAGGCCATGAGGACTCAACCTTCACAAATGAATTAAGGCTGTTATCAAAGCAGTGGGTTCTTTACAAAAGGGTGGGTTTGGTTCCCTTTTCTGTCTCTCTCTAACCCTCTATTTGCCTTTCCACCACGTGATCCCCCTGCAACGTAATGACGCAACAAAAAGGCCCTTGCCAGATGTCAGCACCTCAATATTGGAGTTCTCAGTTTCCAGAACTGTGAGCCAATACATTTCTGTTCACTATCAATTAATCAGTCTGTGGTATTCTGTTATAGCAGCACAAAATCGACTAAGACACCTTGGGAATAAATTTACTGATATAAGATCAAAGCTTGTTTGCTATTTGGAAAAAAAGAAGAAAATAAAAATTCTGGATGCAGAAAGAATGCCAAGAAATATAGTTAAAATGTGAATAAATGCATATATTTCTTCAAGCTCCCTAAATACAATGCTAGTTGCAAAACAGTCCCTGGGAAATAATCTTGATTTTTTCAGAATAAATGGTGACTTCTGTTGGTAGTGAGTTCAGTGAGATGAACTTTAATTTCTCTTTCAAATTTGTAATCCTTTGATTGTTCAAGCAGTGTGTTTCTTTGGAGAAGGCTGAGGAAGTGGTGTGGACTACAGTTTACTTAACAAATACATTTTTACAAGAGAAATAATTTGGAGAATCCAGTTTCCTAGACTCAATGATACATAATTGTTTACATTAGCTACATCAGAGAATTTCCTCAAATCACCATGTCTATATAGAGAGTTGTTATTTTTCTCTTAAGGAGAAAAGTTCAACTGAGGGTTTTAGTCACAACTAGAACAAACTATTTGGGTATGAGTCCAGCTATTTCTAACTGACCTTATTTGAGCCCAAAATATATCATTTTATACGTTTTTCAAAAAAAAGTGAATCAGAAAGGAGACAGGACTTATCATTTGGAAGAAATCAAATACTTATCAGATGATTCCTCCAAACAATGGTAGCCCTGCCTTCCTTAGCACTCATTTGATTCTTCAAAAATGTGTTAGCTCCATAACATGTACCTTCTTTGTGACAGTTAGTTAGGATTTTAGAAATGCCTATTGTCAAGAAAAATTAAGGTTACCTAAGGATACAGCAGTTGATTGGAATGGATATCCAACAGAAAATGACTACTGAGGGAAGAGGACCCTTAATATCACAGGTTTGCTGGTGACTGCAGGAAAACTATCCATGCAGTGACTTATAAGATGGGCCTGACTTGCAGACTGCACAAGTTACTTCCACAATGGTTAGTGACTCTTTGGTAAAATCTGGGCAGTTAGCACCCTACTGCTGCTGATATTTCAATTAATAAAGTAGTTAAAATTGAACTAGTATGGCAAGGAGGTACAAGCCCATTGTATTTTATTTATTTAATAATAGGGGCTCATTTATTAAGTTCTAATGGCCAAATGGCAAGGACAGTATGGCCTCACCCTTTGGTCCCAAGTTAGTATATTCATAATTACCCAAGACTCAGAAGTTTGGTGTTCACTCCAGTGGTGAAAATAATGAAAATATGAAAAAGTACTCTTCTTGGAGTCAGCCTCACTACTTGACCACAGCAGCAGGATTCCAAATGCTTACGAGAGCAGCAGCATTCCAAATGCTTGAAGAACTAATTTAGGTTTCTGAGGTTTCTGGAAGCCTTCATGAGACATCCACCATGATGACCTCACCTGTCTATCTGGAATGGAACCTGCAGGGTTCTAATACACTGTTTCTTTATTCTCAGATACAGGGAGAGCCTCAGATTGGCCGGTACTTCATCTCAGGTATGAATAGACAGTACATTTTTATAAAAGGCATGCTTACTTTAAAGCAACATGAAAATCTTTTTACCAATGCCTGCACATCCTGTGTATAAAACTTGCAATCTCAACCATGTTTGAATTCCCCAGAAACCATAAGAGAAATAGTAAATGAAATGTCGTAAGTATAAGGAGGCTGTAAGCTATAGCTTAAACAATAAATACCTTTCAATTGCTACAGCCGTAAGTACACTGTAGAATCATTTGAGAGCCTTTGACAAAATATCATTGCCCAGGCCCACATCTGACTTATCTTGTATTTTTGCCTTTTTAAATCTGGGCTCGTGTTCAAATAATAGTGATTTAAAAAGCATCCTAAATGATTCCAATGGCAGCAGAGCAAAAAATAAACCCCAACTAAAATCAAACAGACTTAAATGTCTATCCAAGCAAAAGGAAAAGTTAAAAGGGTCTACAGTTTCTTCTTTAATCACCTCAACATGGCATGCTGCATTATTAATTTATAAGATGGACTCTGATTCTACCACGAAAAGCCAAAATAACAAAATGAAAGATCTGGGGGAAATAATTATGGGAAAATAATGTTATCTGTATAGTGGCTGATATTTGAATTACACCTTTAAACAAATGAGATCATGTCGCAGATTACTAGATGCCAGCAATATTCAGAGTATAACCAATCTAAGTGCCTAGAACATTTACCTTTATAACCTTCTCAGAAACTCAAGAAATATCTATTAAATGAATGACTGCATTTATGAATGAATCAATGTATGAATGGGTGTAAGAAATTGACAACTATTTATCTATGCCTATGTGGTATGCCCAGTACTATACCAGGGCCTTAGGCAGGGGATTAAATGAAGATAATTCCTGCCATTGGGGAACACATAGGCTAAGGGAGCAGACATGAATCAATTGATGAAGAGCCATGAAAGAATTGAAAGGTTAAAACATCATTAACTTTGCAGGGCCTGACAAACATCATAAATTACAAGAAAAGAAAAGGAAATGATATAATAAAGAAAATATTTAGAATTTAATGAAAGTGAAGTTATTATATATATAATTGAGGGATACAGCTAAACTAACATTTAAAGAGAATTGCAGCTCTTTAATGTAATTCTTTTAGAAACAAAAAAATTCAAAATTAATGAGATAAGCATTCAGTTAAGAAATACTAGGAAAACATTTTAAAAGTAAATAAAGCTGAAGGAGGGAAATAATAGAAAAGCATAAATAAATTTTTAAAATATACATAGTATTAGACATGGTCAGTGAAACCATAAACAGTCTGCAGAAAAGACTAATACAAATAAACCAAACAGATCAAGAAAAAAAACTGGAGGAAATTATAAATTAATTATGAAAAGAAATGGAGAGGAATAAATAATAATAGGTCAAGAGAGGTTTCAGATATCAGAATAGCTTCATGGCAGTAAATGAGAAGAGTTAGACAAAATGGGAAATGTAAGAAAAAAATTCCAAAATAGAATCAACAAGAAAAAGGTCATTATAAAAAGATAAACATTAAATTAATAATAAATATTTTAAATTTTTATTATAAAATTTTTAAATTTTATAATGAAAATTTTAAATTTTTTATCATAATTTTTCCATCATTCTCAGCAAACTAACACAAGAACAAAAAATCAAACACCGCATGTTCTTACTCATAAGTGGGAGCTGAACAAAGAGAACACATTGACACAGGGAGGGGAACATCATTCACCAGGCCTGTCAGGGGGTGGTGGGCTAGGGGAGGGATAGCATTAGGAGAAATACCTAATGTATACAGATCACAGGTTGATGGGTGCAGCAGACTACCATGGCATGTGTATATCTATGTAAAAAACCTGCACGTTCTGCACATGTACCCCAGAACTTAAAGTATAATAAAAAATTGTTAATTTTTGTAATAATTTTTTAAATTTTATAATAAAAAATTTTTACAATTAAAAAATTAAATTTTTAATAACAAATTTTAATTTTTATAATAAAAATTAATTTTTATTAGAAAAATGTTAAGATACTAGGGCCAAGAATTTTTTATTTTCTACACGTGATGAAAAATATAATCCACTTATTTTATAAACTGCTTCAGAAAGTAAAGAAATAGGAAAAGCTTCTCAGGTCTTTGAGAGAATATTAAAATATCAATACCAGACTAAGGCAAGGGCAGTTCAATAAGACAAAATTATAGGTCAATCAGAATTATGAACGTTCATGGAGAACTCCCAAGATAAGTGTCAGCAAGTCAAAATTCACATTTTATTTAAAATTTTAAATGTCACTTAAAATTTTTTACCAAACAATCAGTGGGCTCACTGCCTGATACCCATACAAGCCAATGTCATGGCACTGGCTTTGGAGAAAAGAAAAGGTTCTCTGCAAGCTGACTGGCAAGAAGATAGGAGGAAAGGCTCAAATCCATTTCCTTGAGCTGGAGAGCTGGGGCAGGTCTTATAGCTATAGAGTAATGAGGTGTGATTTGATTGGATTTTTAAATCAGATGATTCCACTAGGCATGGATCTCTTGATCTGACAGGATCCTGCTATAAGGTGACACCAAGTCTTGATCTGATTGGATCCTGGATTGTTCCATGTGGTATCCATGTCTTAATTAAGTCCCTGTTTCTTGGTCTGAGCACTTAAGTTCCAACTGTGGTTGCATAGTTGGTTCAACTGGGCATGCTCAGGTTATGTGACTGTCAATGTGTGGGGGTCCATAGCAACTGAAAAACTCACAACTTTCTTACATAAAAGTTGAAACAGGTTTGTCTGGTATGGTTACAAAACCATAAACAAGTAGAATTTACCTCAAATGTGTATTTCTCAGACATCTTAGATATGTAATGATGGGTCAACATTAGAGAAGACTCCAACATTTTAGTAGATTAAAAGAGAAATCATAACTGTGTTTATTTAAATAAATGTGATAAATCAAGAGGAAAAGTTAATTTTCATTTATGATTTTTTTTGTAGTTTAACAAAACAGAAATAGAAACAAACCTTCTTAACCTGGTGAAGTATATTAACCTGATAACTTCAGCTGTTAGCACACTTAATAGTAAAGATGAGCATTTGCATTAAATGCACAAAAAAGACAAAAGACTGTTATCACTAGTTCTACTCATTATAATAATGTTATTCCTAGGCAATGTAATAAGACAAGCAAAAAAAAAATCAGAAAGGAATTTGTTTAGAAAACTCATTATTTGCAGACATAATTGTCTGCATAGAAAACCCAGGAGGTTTCCATTGGGTCTCCATATATGTAAGTTCCACATCTGCAGGAAAATATTCTGAAAAAATAAAAACAACAATAAAAATACAAATAAGAACAATACAGAATAAGAACTGTTTACATAGCATTTACAGTTTAATAGGTATATACATCATCTAGAGATTACTTAAAGTCTATGAGCAGCCATGTGTAGGTTATATGCCAATACTCCACCATTTTATTTAAGGGACTTGGCACCTGCGGATTATGGTATCCACTGTGGGTCCTGGAACCAATCCCCCATGGACATGAAGGGACAACTATATACATTTCTTAAATCTATTAAGACAACTATATACATTTCTTAAAAGTATTATTCTTAAAACTACTATTGTGATAGTCCAGAAAAGTGTCTGAATTTAAGATATTATGTATAACTCAAAAATTAAGAGAATTCATACATATTAATATCAACAATAACCAATGAGAAAATGCATTTTGAAAGTCTCATTCTTTTTTTTTTTTTTTTTTTTTTGAGACGGAGTCTCGCTCTGTCACCCAGGCTGGAGTGCAGTGGCACAATCTCGGCTCACTGCAAGCTCCACCTCCTGGGTCCATGCCATTCTCCTGCCTCAGCCTCCCAAGTAGCTGGGACTACAGGCGCCCGCCACCACGCCCAGCTAATTTTTTTTTTTATTTTATTTTTTAGTAGAGACGGGGTTTCACCTTGTTAGCCAGGATGGTCTCGATCTCCTGACCTCGTGATCCGCCCGCCTCGGCCTCCCAAAGTGCTGGGATTACAGGCGTGAGCCACCGCGCCCGGCCGAAAGTCTCATTCTTAATCACAGTAAATTAATTAAACATGTGGGAAGAAACACATCTTTGAAAATGCTCTTTGTAAGATTACTGTGGAGTGATTTAGAAAAGGAGCCATAGCAAATACAAACTGTCTCCTAAATTATCAGTGAGTTCAATGCAATGCCAAAAAGTAAAAGTTTGTTTATAAAACTTGACGTGTTAATTCTAAAATGCATGTGGAATAATATTCAAAAAGTCAAGACAATTTTGAATTTTATAAGATAGTAGAAGAAGATAATTGAGGGAAAACTGACTTGAACAGCTGTGAAGACATTATAAAATTATAGTGAATAAAATGATCATATCCAACATTTTATATAAATAAGGTAGCATTATAAAAGTGAGGAGATATTGAAATATTTAGTATATTAGATTGTCTTAATTGTTCTCCATATATCTAAAATAACTCCTATAGTCACTCAGAAATACATTATTTCCTATTTTCACAATTAAATATTAATATTAAAAAATCAAATCTATCAGATGGAAAGGCTTTTATGATATCAAGATAGGGAAATAACTCAAACACACAAGAGAAAGAATAAGCTTCAAAGGAAAAGACTGAAATATTTGATGACATCAAAATGAAAAATTTTCACACTAAAAAATGAAACCTTAGACAAAGTTTTTAAAAGTCCCATTTTGTGTGGGAGAAAATATTTGCATAGTACATAAAAGACAAATTATTATCCAGGTTATGCCAAGAACTGTACAAAAATGGTCAAATGCATAAGAAAATGGAAAGAGTTGATTACCCTGTGATTCATGGGGGGTGGGGTGTAGACTTGAGAGCATTGAGGCCAAAATTATATAAGAAAATGTACAAATTTACTAGAAATGAGCAAAATGAAAATTAGCACAACATTGAGATACATTTTACTGCCATCCAAATGCAAAAAAAAAAAAATTGGAGAGTAACACATCTAGACTTAGAAGTGAGGAAAGGGACCTCTCAGGCTGTGCTGTGTGAGTTGGTACAATCATTAAAAAAAAAACAACAGTTTGGCAGTATATATAAAACTGAAAATAGATATCCTTTAGAGACCAGGCACGCAGTGGCTCATGCCTGTAATCCCAGCACTTTGGGAGGACAAGGCAGGCAGATCACTTGAGGTCAGGAGTTTGAGACCAGCCTGGCCAACATGGTAAAACTCTGTCTCTACTAAAAATACAAAACTTAGCCAGGTGTGGTGGTGCGTGCCTGTAATCTCAGGTACTCGGCATCCCACCTACTCAGGAGGCTGAAGCAGGAGAATTGCTTGAACCCAGGAGGCAGAGGTTGTCCTGAACTGTGATCACACCACCATACTCCAGCCTGGGTGACAAGAGTGAAACTCTATCTCAAAAAAATAAAAAATAAAATAAAATAAAATCCTTTAAAGCCTAGTAGTTTTTTTCCAAGTCTATATTCTAGAAAATTCTAGAACATGTGCACAAGTTGGTATGTGCAAAGAAGACTTTAATAGAAAGAATAAAAGTAAAATGCTAAAATTTTAGCTTGAGGTGGAAAACAGGAAATGAAAGTGCAGTGTAAGGCAAAAGCACAAAATATTAAATACTATATCATCTATATTTAAATCTATAGCTACTACATTCCAATGTGAATGGATCTCAGAAATGTGATCTTATAAAATTGAAAATTAATAGCTGATATTACTATAATACATTACCATTGATGTAAATAGAAACCAAAGAAACACTACATATTATTTATAGTTACATTAAGTGAATATATAAAATGGATTAAAAAAATACACACTAAATTTTTGATAATGATTACTTGTCAGAATGGAAGAAGGAGAAGAAAATGGAACTAGTATAGGAAGTGTATTTGTGTGTGTGTGTGTTTGTGTGTGAGAGAGAGAGACAGACTACATGTAAAATGAGATAAAAGTGAGAAATAGTTATATTTATCATTATACTGTTCACTTTGTTCATAGTTTCCTGTCCCTTTAAAATTTCCCAGAGACTATAATTAAAAATGACATTCCAGTGATATTTCCATATCTCTAAACATCACTTGGAATGTGCGTTTTAAAGACTGCATAGCATTCTGTATTATTGACCAATCATAATGACTTAATGATTCTCCTATTATTATGGCTTTTAAATTTCTCCTTGCTATAAGTTGTGTTGTTAGCATATTCTTAGATGTGAAAGTTATTTTTATCTACTTGATATTTCTTAAGTAAAGAATATCGTGGTTAAGGTTGTTAGTATAACTTTATTTCCCAGCATCTCATATTATTGCTTACACGTTTTGCTTTATATAGTTTAATATTACTTATTTGGCACATAAAATTTCATAATGATTATATCAGCACTATGCATTGTATTTGTTATTTGTACAAAATGGACAGGATTTTCTCTCTTTAATGTTTTTTATTGCCTTTAATTCAATTGTACTTGATTTAGGAATAATCACTGGTGGTTTTTTATTTTTATATAGAACGTTGATCTTGGAAGGTATAGATAATTTCTAAACTATATAAGTTATTTAAACAATACAAGACTGGCTTCCTCATTAATTTACTGGATTGATAAAATTCTGATTTATTATAAATGCTGACAGTAAACAGAAAACAGTGATACTTTGGTTTCTGAAAATAGAAGAAAAAATATCCTATTAGAGTATTTCAAAAGAGATATGATGAAAACAGAAAATTCTTTAGGAATAAACAATGACAAAATGTATTATAAGTAAAATTGAAATAGATAATAAGCAATCTAAAGTATAGTTTTTCTTATACCAATGGCCAATGTCATACTTAAGGCTGAATCACTATAGGCTTTTCTATTAAAATAATAAAATGAAAATGACACCAGAAATCTAAATATTTTCCAATTATTAGCATTTATTTTTATATAAAAGTCTATCCAATTCATAAAAATGACTAATAATTATGAATGCATAAAGCAGAGACCCTAGATAGCATTATTTTTATTTAATGCTATCTAACTAAAAGACTTATTTTTACAAATGGTCAGCCAAATTATAAATACATTTTCAACAAGTTTTAAATATCCCTTTGCCATGTATTAATTTATATGTGGCTCACAACTTCAAATGAAACGTCATTGCATTGAATTTGTACATAATTTTGGAAATAATATACTTCATTTAACGTTGGGTCTTCCAGTGAAGAACTGATTAAATCTCTACACATATTTAGGTGTTTCTTCTACATGTATTCATTCCTTAAATATTCATTAAGCACCTAATATATGGCAGACCTGGGGAATATAATCATGAATAACTAAACTTGAATGCTCTTCTTCAATCTTGAGCATTTGTGCTTACTATTATCTTCAAATGTTTTGTAGCTTATTTGCTCTGTGTGTGTGCATACCTTTGTTTTGTTGGCTCCTTGTAGATGGTTTGTTTCTATCTGGAACTTCTCATTCGTTACTGCTTGGACATCAGAAAATCATTGATTTCAATGCAGTCACCAGTGAAATGGCTTCCTAACATTTTAGTTTTAAAAGCTCTAAAGTTGATTTCCATGGATTTATCTGAAAAAATTTACTTATTTCTCCAAAAAATTAGAGTCATGGCTTCACTACAAATATTTAGACTTTTATTTGTTTTTCATATTTTATTGCATTGTTTAGAATTTCAAAATTCGTTTGCATAGCAATTTGCTTACTTTAATAGCAATGGATGACAAATTTAAAATTATATGATGAGTGTCATTGACTTTCTGTTTTATCAAGTTTCAAATCTTTACATATTTATATTTTAAGGAATTTATTTTTGCTTTTAATTTTTCAGAAGTAGGTGCTATATTTTATCAAGTGACTTTTTTGCCAGACATCAAAACATCCAAATGATTTCTTAGCTATCATCTCTTAATGCACTGAATAATATTAACCTATTTTCTGGCATGTAACATCCTTGCAATCTTTTATATTATTCTTCATTTTAATTACAATCATAAACATATTGAAAACAGAAAACAAGAAACAGCATATATGCTATGAAACTAGTTGGGAACTACTAAAATTCATAACTTGAATATAACAAGTATTGGCATTTGCTATTTTTCCCTTTATATTTTCAAAATACATTCATTTCAGATTCTCAGGATGCAACAGTGAACAAAACAAAGCTCCTTCCTTAAAAAAAATGTAAATATTTCAGGTGATGATAAACAGAGAGATACATAGGGGCAGAAAAAGTGCTGGAGCTGGGGGGTATTATTTCACATGGACTGATTCAGGAAAGTCCCACTGAGAAATGACAAATGAGCAGAGACCTGACAGAGGAAAGGGAACAAGGCACGGGGGCATCTTGAAAAAGCATTTCAGACAAAAGGAGCAGCACGTGTGAAGGTCCTGTGGTATGAGTGTCCTTGGAAAGTTCAAAGAGCAGTGATATTTTTCTCCCAGGATTTTTTTATTGTAGTTTTAAAGTTTTGCATTTTAACATTTGAATCTTAAATAAAATTGAAGCTTATTTTTCTTTGGTGGTATGACATAGGAATATAAAATTACTTCTTAAAATCACATTTTCTTACTGATTTGCAAAAGCCACTTTTGCCTTAAAACCAGGCCCCAGCTAAGTACTTTGATAAAGTTTCTTTGTTTTGTACATAAAAGTCCATATCATTTTAAGAGTTATTTTCAGGAAATTGATAATAATTTTGTTAATAGTTCAAACATATGGCTTTATTATAGACTATGACTATGTATTAATTAGTTTTTTTTTATTTTGACATAGGAATGCTATTGACCTTTGACTTTTGATCTTGAGGCTGTAATGGTGCTAAATTCTTTTATGCATTGCAACAGTTTGTAGATTATTTTACGCTCTTCTAAGTAAATTGTCAAGCCTGTGAAATAATGTTATTTTGTTTTCTCTTTTGGAGCCCTAAATTTCACTTGTTTTTTCTTAGCCACCATTGAAAGTTTCTCCAGTATTACAGCAAGTAGTGATGGTGCTGGTTATTTTTCATTTGACCAAATTTAAGAGGAAGAGTTCTAACATTGCAAAATTAAGTACAATATTCCCTGTGAGGTTCCTCTTTAGCAAGCTATATTGGAATATAACTGACATAATATAAAATGCACCCATTTGAAGTGTACAGCTCAATGGGTTTCAGCAAATGGATACATTCCAAAAACTACTACCACAATTAAGAGACAGAATGTTTTTAATCAACCCAAAAGTTTTCTTAGCTTTCTGAGATTTTTATAAATCCTGAGTGAGAGTTTAATTTTGCTGTTTGCTTCTTCTGCATTTACTAAGATGATCAAATTGTGACTTATATAGCTTAAAATTTTAATATCAAACTAACCTTACATTGTTTGGATAATGTCCATTTACTTATGATATAGTACCTGTCTCATATATTGATAAATTCAATTTGATTATTTTTAAAAGAATTTATGCTTATATTTTCATAAGTAATATTGATTTTTAGTTTTCTTGTAATAATAAATTAATTCTTGTTTATGGTATTAGTGTAATGCTAGCCTCTTAAAATAAATTAGAAAATGTTCCTTGTTCTGGTGATAAATAATTGCAGAAAAACCTTTTTTCTGAAATTTTCTCTATTTTGTCTATAATGTTAATGATATTTTCACAGGATATAGGATTCCTGAGAGGGTTTCTTTAAACTGGCATTTTGACTATTTTATTCCAATATTATTTCACTTCCGCTATTTCCAATGAGAACTAAACTATTGATTGTTCCATTGTTTCTTTCACTGCTTTTCATATTTTTAAATTATGTTTGCTTTTTACCAGTTTGACCATCATGTGTTTAAATGTAGTTTTATTTGCATTTATGTTATTTGAGGGTCATTGAGATTTATGAATCTGTAAGCTTATGGTTTTCACCAAATTTGGGAAATTTAGTTGCTATTTACTCAAATATGTATTTTCTTCTGTCTTTTCTCCACATTGTGTTCTCCAATCACATGTATGTTGGACTCCTTGTCATTTTTCCACAGATCTCTGGAGCCTTATTCATTTTCTTTGGTTTTATACTCTTTGTTCTTCAGTTTGTATAATTTCAATTACTCTAACTCCAAATCGAACAATTCTATCTTCTGTCATTTTCAATCTGTTGTTCAGCAAACCTGGTAATTTTTTTCTTTATGTATGGTGTACAACATGATGTTTTAATATACATATACATAGGTAAATCATTACCACAGTGAAGCAAATTAACCTATCACCTTCCATAGTTATTTTTGTGTGTGTGTGCGCATATGATAAGAACACTTAAAATCTACTCTCTTAGCAAACTTTCAGTATACAATCCAATATTATTAACTATAGTACATTAGATCTGTAGACTTATTCTTTCTATATAATTTCAAGTTTGTACTCTTTGACTTACTTCTCTCCATTTCTCCCTGTCTTTGATCTTGGTAATCACTGTTCCACTGCCTGTTTCTATATATTTGACTTGTTTTAGATTCCACATGTAAGTGTGATAATGTGGTATTTGCCTTTCTGTTCTTGGCTTATTTCACTTAGCATAATGTTCTCTAGGTTCATCCATGTTATCATAAAAAGCAGTATCTCCTTTCTTAAGGCTGAATAATATGCCATTATATATTAAGTAGTCATTGACAGATGAATAAAGAAATTGTGATCTACACACATATGCATTATATATACATTGAGATACATATGTACGTATGCATACACACATACACACCCACAGATATATCACAATTTATCCATTCATTCATTGATGGACACTTAGGTTAATCCCATATCTTGTCTATTGTGAATAATGGTACAATAAACATGGGAACACAGATTTATATATCTCTATGAAGTTCGGATTTCATTTCCTTTGAGTATATACCCAGCAGATGGATTGCTGGGTCATGGGTTAGTCCTATTATTAGCTTTCTGAGGAACTGCTATACCATTTTCCATAATAGTTTTACCAATTTACGTTCCCATATATAGCATACAAGAGTTCCCTTTTCTCCACACCCTCACCAACTCTTGTTATTTATTGTCGATCTGATAATAGCCATCCTAACATATCTGAGGTGATGTTCTATTGTGCTTTTGATTTGCATTTCCCTGATGATTACTAGTAATATTGAACACATTTTCATATATCAGTTGGCCATTTTTATGCCTTTTTTGGAAAGATGTCTATTCACATTCTTTGCCCATTTTTAATCAGGTTTTTTTTTTTGCTATTAAATTATGTGAGTTTCTTATATATTTTGGATATTAACCCCTTATCAGATATATGGCTTGCAAATATTTTCTTCTAAACAACAGACTGCCTTTTTATTTTTTTAATTGTTTATTTTCCTGTGAAGAAGCACTTTAGTTTGTAGTGGTGATTTATTTTTCATCTTAGTTATATTAATTTTTAGTTCAATAATTTTCATTTTGTTGTTTTTTTCTTTTTTCACTCATGATATACTCTAACTTTTCAACTATCGAGACATTTTCCTTATTTATTTAAATATAGGTTTTATTAATTGTTGAAACCTTAATAATAGCTTCTTAAAATTCTTTTTCTACTAAATCTGACATCAGGCACACTCAGTCAAATTCTATTGACTTCCTTTCTTCTGTATATGGTTCATACTCATCTTTTTTTAAATTTTTTTGCATGACTACTCATTTTTGGTTGAAAGATAAATATTGAAGTCTATATATCTTAGTGATTTGGATGCTCTTATGTTCTTCTGAGGATTAAAAAAAAAACCTCACAGATAGTACTTGGCATGTTCTTGAACTGCAAACTCTGTCCCCTGCAGTGAGCAACAGCTGTTATTTCTCCTCAATTCTTTGTGTTTCCAGCAGTTGTATTTTTACCTTTATTTCCTTTGGGTCTCCCCTTTACCTGTGTAGTTTTGCTGTCAGCCAGGGATTTGGACAGAGTTTACATATAGATTTTGGGACTCACCCTCTCTGTGATTCCCTGCTTTTAAGGTTTTCCACGTAAATTTCCAGCTTGCTCTGCCAGCTCCAAGATCTCTCTCTCTCTCTCTTTTTTTTTTTTTAACTTCAGAATAGGAAGATTTTAGCATTCTGCCACTTCAGCATGCTCTCAGTCAAAAATGTAACAAATCTCACCCAATGTAGTTCTAGCTTCTAAGAATAGAAACTTCTTTTGTTTTTACCTGTGCTTATGCCTGGCCTCTGGTGTCTCCCATAGGCGTGTATAGTTTAATTGTCAGTAAGGTGTTCAGGAAGGGTTTATACTTAAGTGTAGTCTCAGCCTTTCTTCAATTCTCCTAATTCCAGGAATTCTCTCCTAAATATTAGGTTGCTTTACCTGCCTTGAACTGTATTCTTTGATACCTCAGACCAGTAAGGTTGTAATCTCTTACTGCTAGAAAACCTTACAAAAAAGTAGCCTTAGCATAGGAGTTTATTTCTCTCTCACATACAAATATTTAGAAGTAGGCTTCCAAGACTTACATGCACCCTCTTGGTGTCATCAGGGACACAGGATACTATCTTTTTGTATTGTTGTCAAATTAAGCTTCTTGTCACCTTGTTGTCCAAGATAGTTGCTGCATCTCCAGCGATCATGTTTGCTAAAAACCAAAAGAAGAGGTAAGTGTAGAAAGGCACAGTGGCACTTCCAGCAGTATCCTCTGACTTTATATAGCTGCTCCCACCAAAAAACAACAACAAAAAATAAACAAAACAAAGCCACTGCTTCTACTAATTATCTCTCATCGGCCAGCAATTAGATATAAAACGGTTATACCTAACCACAATGAAGGATGGAGAATGTAGTCCTTTTATTCAAAATGCCCGTGTTTCCAGCTCAAAATCAGTGTTCCATTTACCAAAGAGCAGTGAGATGTTGAGGTAAGAAAAGAAACACCACAAAGCTTGTTTTTAATTGTGATGACAAAAGCCAGATTAGTAGGGGTTGGAAATGGATTAGATGTCAGAGAAAAATGATCATAGATCTATTAGTCAAGAAGTTTGTCTATAAAGAGTCCACAATAAATCCAGGATACATAAGACATTAACAATTGGTAAAATTGACCTCATAATGTTTGCTAAGTGAATAAATGAGTGTAGGCACAGCTTGCATGACTAAGCTAAAAGATCTTACTGGTAAGCTCTGTAATTAGCATGGTAGCCAACATCAGTTTTCTTTCTCTTCCTAACACATTTCAAAGAGTATTATTTTCACCATGGATTCAAAGAGTGGGAGTACAGTAGACTGTGGCCTGGTGCTTAGCCATTGAGCTCTCTTGCCAGGGACTTCAATAATAAGCATTTCACTCAGTAAGGTCTCAACAGAAGGCCTTAAGAATTCCTTGCCCTGCTAATGCATGACAAGGGCTGCTGTCTGTCAACAGCAGGGAAGACAGAAACTCTGAAAACATGATTCATCTTTCAGACAAGTTTTGCCACCGGGACACAATTCCAAAGTGTCAGCAACTTTGGAGAGATGGGTCAACAGGAAAGTTTACTAAAATTATCAGAACCAACACTTCAATGCAAAATGTTAATCTTCTACAGCAGCAATATGGCTCCTTATTGACATATCTTTTACTTCTTTGTCAAAGTAGGTTTCTTACTGAAGAAACATTAGTTGAAAATTTTCTCTTCTTCAGCAAAATGAATAACCTATTCCTCATTTTCTTGTCTTGGAAAGGCCAGTGATATTGAATTTATTACATGTTGCAATCAGAGTTCTGGTTACTGAGACCAATATTCTTGTAAAAGAAGAACCTGCAAGAACCACTTCCTGTCTCTAGAAACAAGGGGATTTTCAGATTCTTTTCCTTTAGGACCACATTCAGAGACAGGGTATCAGAAATTTAGACAAACTCCTAACTGCTCCTTTGTGAAAAATTTTGAATTTAACTACATTTAGTTTGGAAATGAATGCAAACATAGTTGGGCTACATTTATGCCCCAGCCCAAGAGAACGCTTTAAATGTGCTTACTGTCAGTTAATACCATACAGTGAACTCTTCAAGAGTTCGGAATCTGACCATAAATAGGTCTAGATTTGATTCCAACCCTAACACTTGTTATCTACTTGATTTTGATCAATCTTAAGTGTCCACATCTGTAAAATAGATGTCATATTATCATTAAGCCCACAGGGCTGCTGTGAGAATATAATTTTCTAGAGAGATAGATGAAATTAGAACAAAGCTTGTATAAAGTAAATGTCAATAAGTATAAGCAGCAAAATAAGATTACTATAAAAAGGAATAAAAACATCTGGAAATTAATTATCTTTTAGTTACATCATGCTATAACAATCTGGATTTCATATTTGTTTCACGTTTCATGATTTCAAATATAATCAAATTATCTCATTTAAGGGCAGAGTGATCATACAACTAGATAAACAATATATGTAAACATAGACTTTTACATGTATATATGTATATATGTGTTTTATATATAAATATATATGTATACATGTTTTATTTATATCGATAGATAGATATCTCTCTATATATAAAATAACTAGCTGCTCCAAGAACATTCTTGATTTCCCTGCCAAGAGACCTAAAAGTTTTGTCATTATGATCTTGTCATAAAAAGCTTTGAACAGTACCAAATCAGACAACTGTGAATATAAAATTTACCCAAAACTATGATGGCTAAGTTTGTATCTGTCTAAATTTTCCCCTCGCGTTTCATCTGACAGGGCCAGGAATTCCAGGCAGCAGAGTTCTACAGAGCTAAGAATGAGAATAGGGAATCCCTACTTGAGACAATAAGAGATGAGTGGACCAAAGATAGGAGGCAGTAGATAGAGTGGATTTTGTTCCCTAACTTCACTTCATTGAAGTTGTGTCTGAATGAGAGGAAACTGTTAAGGAACTTTGTGCACCTGTCTTGAAACTGCAGGCTGGAGCTGCAGGAGGATTAAGAAGAAGGTGGATTGCATTGCTGTGGCCCAAGGGAGAACAAGATGGTCTGGGGCTGTAATTCAGTTATTTGAAAGTGGAAGTAGTAAGGAATATCAGGACTGAGGGAGGGAAGCAGAAGCCAACGCTCAAAGGCTGGAAGAGGGGTCCTGACCTTGACTTGACTGTTCTTCAGCTCTGATTGGCTGCAGCTGCCAGGTTCAACTTCCTGCATCAGTGGCAGACCTATGCCAGTTGATTCAGGATTCCTCTGCCAGTATACTCCGAGTATTGAAAATCGTCATTTGTTTCTTGATGCTTAAGAGTAAACATACTAGACCTTCTTAAGACATTGTCATCTATGAGTCACACTCCCTCCTAAATGTTCTATCAGGCTGACCCCTTATTTCCTGATTCATTGACTGCCAGGTTGCACCATAGGTCCAAGTTCTCCAGCACAGCATTAGGATTGGAGACTTTGATACATAAAAGGAAAGTGTTTCCTGCTTCAGCTACCTCACAGGGTCTTTGGTCTTGACAGTTCCATAGCCTGTGAACTGACATCAACCCTTACCCCTTTGATTTTTATTAGAATTCTTAGAATGGCCCAGACCTCACCATCACTTTCATCATCTCTGCTCTTTACTTTTGATGCTTGTATTCCATGGCTAATCTCATTTAAGTACTGACTTGCATGCAACCCACCAGCAAATCCTGTCGGCTCAACATTTAAAATACATCCCTAATCCAATTATGCCCCTCCTTTCCATTGCTACCACCTTGGTCCACCATCATGTCTTACCTGGATAGGTGCAGATGTTTTCTAAATGATTTCTCTTTTCAACTTATTCAAGAATGCTGAAATGATCCCGATAAAATGTAAGTCGTGTCTTCTTGCTCCTCTGCTCAAAACCCATTAATTGTTGTCAAAATAAACGTCATTCAAAATAAGTAAAGCCCTTAATGACCTGAAAGCCTCCACCATCTGGTCCCTCGTCGCCATTCTGACTTCATCCTCCATTTCCCTTCTCCATTGCTTTCTATGCTGCAGGCATGCTGGCCTTCTTAGAAATTCTGCAGGCACACTCCAGCTACAGGGCCTCTCCACTTATTGTAATCCACTATGGATCTCTCTGTTCTATATTGGTGATAAAGTAATACAATTAAGATGGAAACCAAAAGCTTTGCTTGTAATTTTTTTATTTCTAAATGGGCTGCAAAATTAGAGATTAAAGGATTAAATTAAAACTACTGCCAAAGAAGTTCCTACATTGCTGAAGACCCAGGAAAGACAGGTCACCCTCACAATACCAGGTGCTACATTGAAGTCTTTATCTTACCAAGCACTACCTCACACCTGGAGCTCTTCTGTACTTCATATACGGCCCAGGCATTTTCCATGATTCAGGTCAACAAGCACAATCTCACACGTATTATGGACTAGATACCATGTTAGATGTTGGGGCACATACTCAATTCTGAGAACACCCACAATCTTAGGGGAGGAACTTGATGGAACAAACATGGAAAAATTCAACTTAACATAAAAAGCTATTAATACAAATTAATACAGAAGATCTGTTTTCATTATATCCTAGCACAGGATACAAAGATTTATTCTTGTTTGAGAAGAGGGTACAGAGAAAGCTTTCTGGAGAAGATGGGATATAAAAGATCTGAATGAAAAGTAACGTTAAGTGGGCATAGAAAGAAAGGACGTCTGTGGTTTATTGAGTAGCATGGTTTTTGCAGGGCTCTTGAGAGAGTGACAGATTGGCAGTTGCAGGAGACATGAGAGAGAGTTATAGGCCAAGTCTTGTTCAAGAATCTGGGACTTACTGGGTGGATGAGGGAGAGCCAGTGAGGGCTTCTAAGCAAGGAATTTGTGCGAATTCACATGGAAAACGCTCTCTGTGATTATGAGGAAATAAATGTTTAAGAGAGTTACAGAAAGACCACTTTTGCAACAGTAAAGTATGATGCCAATATAGAAATTTTTTGTGCCCTCATGATTGGAAAAAAACCATGTTTTTTCTTCTGTTTAGGTATCAATAAATTATCAGTTATAACTCTATTTCCACCTGTAGGTACTAACTTTTCTTTAGTGCATGAAAGGACTTTCTTCCTTCTCCCCTCCTTCCCTTCCTTCCTTCCTTCTCCCCTTCATTCCTTCCTTCCTTTCTCCCTCCTTCCCTCCCTCCCTTCCTTCCCTTCCTTCCTTCCATCCTCTTTTTGTTCCTTCCTTCTTTCCTTCCTTCCCTTTCTTCCTCCCTTTCTCTGTTCTTCCATTTCTTTCTCTCTTCCTCTCCCCTTCCCTCCTCCCCTCCTCCCCTCCTCCCCTCCTCTCTTGCTTCTATTCTTTCTCTGTCCTTTCCTTTCTGTTTACCTTTCTTTCTTCTTCTGATATGCTGTAATATTCTTTCTTTGTCTCAAACCATATTCCAAAAGGAGAAATTGTTCATAGGTAAAATTCCTGTATTCTTATTCAATGTCTATCAGTTTATCTTTTATCATTTTCATGTATTTTTTTCTTCCACAGTTTTGGAGAACATTTCAAGTATGCTTGAAATTCTATTTCCACAAGGATTCGTTAAGATATTTTCTTTCTCTCAATACAGATTTAAAAATCTATGGTAGAGATAAAGTCTAAAGCAGAGTGGAGATAAAAACCAGTCTATGGTACAGAGAAATAAGCTGCTAGGTCTTTTTAATTTGATAGGTTGCTGGATTTCTGGAGAGTGAACAGAACAGGAACGCAGTGTCAAGCTGCCTTCTATGTTTCTTTTTCTTCGTCTTTGCTCTAACCCAGACTGGTCTACTTTATAAATATTGTTCAATCTACCATTTTTCTAACACTATTTTGTCTTTTAAAATTATTTATTTCCTACTTTTTAAGAGACAAGGGCTCACTCTGTCACCCATACTGGAATGCAGTGGTGCAATCATAACTCACTGCAAACTCAAACTCATTCCTGGGCTCAAGAGATCTTCTCGCCTCAGCCTTCTGAGTAGGTGGGACTATAGGTTCAGGCCACTGTACCCAACTAATTTATTTTTATTTTTTTCTCTTCTTTTTAGGAGAGGGATTCTCAGTAGATTGCCACACTGGTCTCAAACTCTTTGCTTTAAGTTGTCTTCCTGCCTCAGCCTCCCTAGTCACTGGGATTACAGGTATGAGCTACCATGCCGGGCGTTTTTTGCTTGTTTGTTTGTTTTTGTTTTTTGTCTTTAGGTTTTTTAAGTCATTGTTGCTGTTCTTTAAAATCATTTCTTCTTTGTGAATATATTTGTAGGAAGTAAACGGGTATTCCAACCTTCCAGCTAGATGCCATTTGAATTTAGATATCTGGGCATATGTATTTCAGAGAGAATGAATCAGATGTAGATTTTAATTTGAGAGAATGAGACATAGTTGGAAGTAATTGGCTTCAAAGGCTTACATGAAGTTCAGTGAGAAGTTATTTGGAGATCAACATTGGAATGGGGCATAGCTAAGCACTAGAGGACTACCCGTGCCCCCTGCCTTTACTATAGTCACCATTTTCCTGTAGTGCTCTGTCCACATTTATTTCTTCAGAGTAGTTTCTTAAAACCACAGAATCCAGACTATGAGGCTGGTATAGATAGGAGCCACAGGAGATGAAGACTTTCAGTGTCTAACATGGCCAATAACCTCCTGTCTTCACCAGGAGGTGAAGGCTTTCAGTGTCTACCCAAAAGAAAAAAAAAGGTCATTATATGGAAAAGACACATGCACACACATGTTTATAGCTAGCAGCACAATTCACAATTGCAAAGATATGGAACCAACCGAAGTGCCCATTAACCAATGAGTGGTAAAGAAAATGTGGTGTATATACACCATGGAATACTATTCAGCCACAAAAGGGAACTAAATAATGTCTTTTGCAACAATGTGGATGGAGCTGGAGGCCATTATTCTAAGGGAAGTAACTCAGAAATGGAAAACCAAACATCATGTGTTCTCACTTACAAGTGGAAGCTAAGCTATGAAGACACAAAGACATACAGAGTAATATAATGAACTTTGGGGACTCGGGAGGGGGTTGGGGGTACAGAGAAGTTTGGAGGAGGTTGAGGGATGAAAGACTATACTGCTCAGGTGACAAGTGCACTAAAATCTCAGACTTCACCGCTGAAGAACTCATCCGCGTAACCAAAAACCACCTGTATCCCCCAAACTGTTGAAATAAAAATAAAAATAATAAAATGGTCACCATAATCAGTCAACCTACACCACTGGGAGTGCCCAGTCTCCCTACACACACACACCCACACACCCACACACCCACACACACACACCACATGGGGGTCACAAGCCCACCAAGTCTGCTACTAGAGCCAGACAGAATGAAGCGTTAGCCCCTTGGGCCATCAGTTCTCTTAAACCTGATTTGCAGTAGTCGCCAATCTTTCTATTACTGTAATTGCTGGCTGAATGAACTGTAATTGTATTAAGAGGTAACTCTGAAATATGTATGTACTTTCTGCTAATTCTCAGAATATGCAAGGAGAGGGGATTGATTCATTGTGCTTGGAAGAACCATTTGGAGATGTTCCCCCTAAGGTCTGTCATTTGGAGGCCTCCTTTACATTTTGTAGAAAGTCAAGGCCAGATGCTTAAGAGTCTGGGAGACAGACATGCAGGAATCTCCAGGAATCCCAGGGGCTTCTCACAGTATGATTGTTTGTAGCAGTGATCTCCCAATGTCAAAGGAGCCAAAGATCAAGTCAGACTCCTCTTTAGTCTTGGACACAACAGAAGAGATTCAGATTAAAGTTCGTGTTCTGATAGCCTACTTTGCTAAGACTTGTGCAGGAGCTTTTCAAATATTCCTTTCAAAAGCCCCTGCAGTGTGACTATGCTTGTTTTAAAAGTGAGGAAACAAAGGATAGGAGATGATAAACAGCTTGTCAGTGCTTGCTTGCTGGTAATAGAAAATAGAGACTCATATCTTGGTCTGCTGAGTTCAAGTCCATAGCTACTACAGAGATATTTTCACTAACATGAAAGGCATTAAAAATACCTTCAGCTATGGCTCCGGCTAGAGAATAGTGGTGTAGGTTTATGTTTGGGTGAGTGTATGCTGAAAAATGAAGAATTTGTTATAAAGAGTTCTGTGTAGTACGTTTGTTTACGATTTTGAATAATTAAATATATCAGATAACCCATAATTTTCATCTCCACCTGCTTCTTTGATAAAATCTAAAATTCAAGTTTTGGAATTCCTGACTTCTCATTATGGCTGGCTATTGGGCATCCTCATCCTCTCTTCCCTTTAATTTGTGTAATGATACTGATGTCCTTACTTAAAAAGCCAAAAGGGATAAAGTGGGCTAGACTGTTCTGGGGGAAAAAAATAAACCTCAATGTATGAGTCACAGTGAGTAATAACACAGTAAAGCTAACCCAGTTCCTGTCTTCAAGGAACTAGAAATCTAGTGGGTGGGACACAGAATCAATAAATAAAAAAGAAATTAAAACTCTGACTTAAATATGTTTTTATATGGTATGGCAGAGATTGCTGGCTATCACACAACCTCTATGTACCTTTCCTTCCTTAAAACCAAGCACAATTGTATGTGGAACAATAATATGTCGAGCTAAAATATTGCATCTCCCAGCCTCCCTTCCAGCAAGATTGGTCATATGTCTGTTTCTGGTGAATGAATGTTCTGTGATACTTACAGGAAGGCTGATTAAACGAAGTGGACTCTTCTATGAGTGTTTCCTGCTGTCCACAAAGTAGCTGTGATAGCTGGAATGCCAGCAGCCATCTTAAACTGTGAGGTGACCTCAAAAATAGAAGCCACTTGCAAACACCTAGAACTTGTAGGTACTTGAAGAAGTTGTTATTTATACCCTTGCTTACCTCTAAGTTTATCTGAGGCTGCAGTGGATCACTCCTTGCATAATTCAATGGCTTGAATGTTTCTGCTTTTCTACCTGAGCAGGGCCACAGGGGCTTGCCCTACTCAGAGCAGACCAGTCCATTGAAGAGGGGATTTGATGCCCCTGCGGGCAACTGCCAAGCAATTAGGAGCCGAAATCACTGCACAAATCCCTGGGCTCTACCCCTCCCTCAGTGGAACAATTCTAGATACATTCTATGGATCCCTCTGGAGGATCTCCGTTTGCTCACTGCCTCATTCATGTATCCTCTATTCGCTTCTGCTATTCCTGCCTCACTGTTCTGACCCCCTTCCTTGTTCTTCCTAGGGCTACCTCTCAAACAAACTACCACTACTCAACCTCTGTTGCTGAGGTTGGCTTTGGGAGGAATCCGCAGTATGACAGTATAGATTAAATACCGGCTTTGGTTGACCAAATGACTTCCTCTTTGCCAGATCGATTTACTTTGGTTTGACCTTCCTCTTCCTCATTCCTTCTATAGTTTGTGCCAGCATTGATCTTTTCTTCTCTATTAAAATTCTTGTTCCCTTTGACTTCCACTGTCACCTGTGTGTTCATGCCTCCTTTACTTATTTTAGACCAGGAGTCCCCATCCCCCAGGCTGTGGACTGGTACTGGTCCACAGCCTGTTAGCAACCAGGCTGCACAGCAGGAGGTGAGCTGCCAGCGAGCAGTACCACCTGAGCTCCTCCTCCTGTCAGATCAATGGTGGCATTAGATTCTCATAGGAGCACAAGCCCTATTGTAACAGCACATGCAACGGATCTAGGTTGCACGCTCCTTATGAGAATCTAACTGAAGTGGAACAGTTTTATCCCAAAACCATCCCCCCACACTGTGGAAAAATTGTCTTCCATGAAACTGGTCCAAGGTTCAAAAAGTCTGGGGACTGTTGTTTTAGATCACTGCCATATCAATCACTCTAACTGATGGTCCACCTTTGAGATCTCTTCATTCTATTCCAATATATACACACTCATATGTTTTGACATTCACTGAAACAATAAACACCTTGATTCTCTTTCCATAGCTCCAACCTACCATTCCAGATTACTTTTCCGCATCCTCTATAGTATCCGAAGTGCCAAATATTTTTTGGCATTTCATTGAACAATGCCTACCTTTTCCTTCCAATGAGCCTATAGCCTTTCTATTTCTTGTTGCTAGCCCCTTCCTTTCAACATCGATTTATACCTATCCAAATCCTACCTGCTCTGAATGGTCTGCATCATCTCTTTCTTCCCCCAGGATGCTTTCATATTCTCCATCAAAAAGTGGCATGTGTTCCTTGGCATCATACTGTTCTTTGTACCTTCTTACCGTTAAAAAATATTTACTTTTTTGACCCTGAGTGAGTCACCGATAAATATTGGTTGAAAAGAATTATAATTATTTTTAATAAGACTTGCCTCTTATTTTACCAACTTCTAGAGGAGATAGCGTTGCCCGTAGAGTTTCTACTATCTGAATTTCAGAATCACATACAGGCAAATCATATTTCATCCTATGAAAAGGTAGTTTGAAATATCAGCACGTTAAATCCTTTTGCTTAAATTTTTTTCCATGCAGATGCATATGGAAAATCCTTCCCATGAACTTCTATTTTTATTTTATGTTTCCCCTTACAACCAACTAACTACTAATGATCATTCTGTCTCATCCATGAAATAAAATGTAGAGTGAAACTGACAGATGATAGAAAACAAATTTTATGTCTAACGAGTGGCAAAACATTTGAGTTACCAAAAATTTAGTTAAATGTTTCAAATCTTTAAATATCTGGGATAGTTTGAGGCAGGAAGTCTCTCTCTCCATTTTGAAATAAGTGTACTCATGTCACTCCCTTGTATACCATGCATTTCTGAGTTCCTTAAGAGTTATGATTATTGTGCTCAGGGATATGTGGGAAAAAGAATTATCAATTACAGAAATCAATTTTCTTTCAATCTGACCTTCCTTCTCAAATGTAGCATTAAGGTTTCAATTAAAACCTATTTAATTTCCTTGTTCTGGATATGACTCTTTGTGTGAAATATTGTGGACTATTTTCTGATGCATGCTCCTGGTAAAATTAAATATCATACCCACTGGTCACTGGTTCTCCAAGGAGTGCAGAATAGTCTCTCTTCTGACACTGCCTTCTTCCCCCATCTCCTGAAGGAGCTGCAGTTATGTTCAGTGAAAGAAGCTTCTATTGTTTGAAAGGGATATGAGGGGAAAGTAAAACATGAAGGTAACTGAGCCAGGAGGCAATCAAAGAGTACTGACATTTTGGATGGACACAAGCCAAGGATGGGGGTGGGGCTCAGCAGTTAAAGACAAGAATCTTATGAACTTGAACTTATTCCTCTTGCTTGATAGATCTGGATTCTTGTGTAAGTGACATATTGAGGGGTTGCTTTCAAGAGAAACCTGTAAGGCTACAGGGGAACAGGATAGAAAAGAAAGAGTCCAGAAGGAGATTCACCTTACTCCGATGCCACAGAGAGAACCAGAGAATGAATTCTACTCAGAGAGCTCCCCCATCACTTTTCCACTCCCAGGGAAAGGGGGTTACACTCTTGCACACCTACATCGGCCCTACTGGCAATGGGCCACCTCCAGGAAAAGGAATAAAAGTTTCCAGGTATATGCACAAGGCAGGCCCTATCAGCTGTGGAAAATCCTCCAGAAGAGGATAAAAGTGTGAGCCATGAGCAGCTAACACCCCCAGAAGAACGAAGTTAAGGGCACCAGTCTGGTAAAGAGAAACTAGGTGGAGGATCACCATCACCTGTCACAGTAATGTATTGCTGAAATAAACTGGGCTGAGTGAGTTCATGCTGGCATTCCTACTGAAACTCATTAGTAGCTAGAGCTACAAATATCTGAGCACATCAATAGTAACTAACAAAATTGCTTGCTCCATAAGAGAGCATCCCACCACTCATCTCTATGCACATTGGGAGGGTCCTAGGAAAGTAAGTTATGGCATTGCTCTGCCAGCAAAGGTTACTTTTCACACATAGGGAAGCTTCTGATCTTCCTAAGGATGTGTGCTTAAACCACTGACAGCCGAATTCTCAAAGCTGATCAATGGCTAGGCTCCAGTTCAGGTTATGGTCAACAAACACTATGTCAGGCCGTCTGACTTCTGTTACTGTGTCTTGTCTCTTATGATTGATTCTGGAGATTCTTGCCAGGCTATCACAAAGACATCCCAAACTGCATCAGGAGTGGTATTCTCCAGTGTCTGGGAAGTAATCATTTCATCACAGTTCTGTCTTTGGGAAATGATGGTTTAAACTTACTTACCAGCTATGCCCACAGGGATCACAAGCTGAACTTGTCAGAAATACATTGAGGGTATAGATATGTACTCTGCATATACACAGATGTTGCCTTTTGCTGAGCTGAAAGAAACACCGTGGTCAGAAAGGGCTACGAAAGCCAGTTTTCCTCTGTGGCAGCATATTTCTTATATGCTCAACCAAAAATCAATTAATCAATCATTAATCAAGCCAGAAATTCAAAATTTACAGTTTACAGAATGCCAGAGGTGACAAGAGTTCTGGGGTTACCCACTACAACCTTCTCATTTTGCAGATAAGGGCATTGCCATTACTGGCCGTTTGACTAGCTGTATGACTAGTATGACTATGTAAGTCTATTATAACTGTATGACTTTTGCCAAGTTACTTCAACTCTCTACGCCTTGGTTTCCTCTTGTATAAATGGAGTACTTAGCTCATTGAGTTGAAATATGAATTAAATGTGTAAAACTTACAGACTCCTTAGGACAGTGTCTAGCACAAAGGCCATATGTGTTAATTAAATATAAATAAATAAATAACTTGCCCAGGGTCACTTAGTTAATTGGCTTATGTTATTAGAGGTTTATTAAGAGTTTTATTGAATTAATATAAAATATGAATATACATCAATATTTAATAACTTAATTATAAATAATTAATAGAAATGAACAAACATAAAAACATGTCAAGATATTTTTATATTAAGACCCATCAAAGTTAGCCATAGTTAAAAGCCCTGGCTTTAGGTTCACACAGGGAAGAATTTTATTTCTTGTTCATGGTACTCACTGTGTGATCTTGGGCAAGAGGTTCGACTTCTCTAAGATTCAATGTCCTCAAATGTAAAATAGAGATAATAATAACAAAAAAATACCCAATAATAGTTACCCATGGGATTGCTTAAAGATCAAATGTGAGAGCATACTCTTAGCATATAGAACAAGTTTAATCAGTGGCAGCTGTTATTGTTACTATTATAATAATCTATAGTATCTTTCAAAGAATTTCTATTACTCATCTGTGAGCAAGAACTATACACGCTTAAATGTTTGATGTTTAGGATAGTAAAATAATATAAATTTAGCAAGCTCAGAACCTTTGGCCATATAAATCGCTGGTCACTGGCTTATTTGTTCTGAATGCTTTATTCTATAAGTAAGCAAGAATGGAGTCACCAGAGACATCATCCTTAAAACTCAGAGACAGGCAGTAGCTGCAGCCATAACTTAGAACAAACTGCATGGACACCTGTAGTCCTCTTTCCATGTTGGGCTGGCTATGGACTGGCCTGTCAATATTGTGAGCATTCATATTTGAATAAATTTGAATTCACACCATAAGCATTTAAATCTCTTTCAATTAGAGGAAGAATACAGAGGCTGCCCACCCACAATATATATATATATTTAGATGGGAAAGAGACCACTTTGGGCCTTCCTAAATTTACCTCTGGCCTGATGGGAGTGAGTAAAAAATAAAAAATGATCTCTATCTTCAGGAAAGACAATCTACACATACCATATTCAATGAGCAGAATGTTGATCAAAGTGTGATGCCCATGCTGATGGTGGCACATGAAGTGATTTTAAGTAGGACAGAGATAAATGTCTCAGTGAGAACTACACTGGCCTCTAGTAACAGAAAACCTGATTTAGAAGTTGCTTAAACAAGTGGAGAGTTCATTTTTTTCTTGCACAATAATCGAAGACCCTATTCTGACTATATTTCTGTTTGGCCATCTTTTAAAACAATTCTATTGACAAATAAAAAAATATATACATATTTATCATGTAAAACATGGTCTCTTGAAATATTTTTATACATTTTGGAATGCCCAAATTGAGCAAATAAACATAAATTACTTCACATACTTATCTTTTTATGTGGTGAGAGCACTCAAAATCTACTCTCTTGACAATCATCAAGAATAAAGCATGTTATTAACTATAGGTGCCATGTTGTACAGTAGATATCTTGAAATTCCTCTGACCTGAGTGTGACTTTCAACCTCATGCTTGTTGCCTCATTGACCCAAAATTGCCACTTCATCTTTAACACTGTGACCATTTTCAGGGCAGGAAAAAAGAGGACAGGCAAAGGTATATGTCAGTTGCCTCACCCTCCTCTTATGGTTTTCCCAGAATCTCTTTTGAGCATCATCTTTTTATTCTTGTCACCCAGGACCATATCCATGGCCATCCTAACTGCAAAGGAGGTTGGAAAATGTAGTTTATATCTGTTCACATTGCTACTCTGGAAACAAGCAAAGCAAAACGAAACAAAGCAAAACATGGTTCTGTTAATATATTAGGTTAGAAAGTATATTGGTTAGGGAAACAGCAATTAATAGTTACGTGTTTATTTAAATATATTTTTAATCTTATCTTTTATTAATGGTAGTAAGATTACATTTCCTTTCTGAAAAATATTTTTTAAAAAATATGAATTGGTTTAAGAAAATAATTAATTAATTACTTGAAAGTGCAAGTAATTTGGTAGTAGATGGAAAGTGCAAATTTATGGAGATGGTCTATGAATGATTGGGATTGAGTGAATAAATCCCATCAGAAAACAACAACTATGGTGGGCTTCTAAAGAATACAAGAACCAAAAAGACTTTCAAATTTGTGCTTTGGTCTTTTTTTCGTGCTTAAGACAAGTGGCAGGAAATACATCCATGAAAACAACCACTTTTGCACTAGACTGTGGAGAGCAGCAAAAATGTTTGAGGGTGCAGGCTTTGCAAACAACAGGCTAAAACAAAAGCCTCTATAAACTGGATTTCTGAGTCTACAAATCTGTCCTTGAGTGCCTTATGCATTATGACTGAAGGCCAGTCTCTGGTAAATGTCAGTGCTTGCCCAGTAATTTCCACTTTCATTGGGTAGCTATGGAGTCTGCTAAATCTCGATAAGAGGTAATGGAGAGGTTCTCCTCATTAGCTCGGCCTGGAGAGGCATCATCCAGTCACCTGAAGTGTCAATAAACACTGGCCTTTAATGGTGTTGGCTTAGTGATAACGACGCTGCACATTTCTGTTTGTCATTATGAGATTTAACACTGGCCGATTCCCTCTGGGTATGGGCTCATTATCAGGCAGGGGAATAGAGCAATTGGTGTCTCTTGGAATCAATCGTTGGCCCCTCTAGTCCATCTCTTCAGTAATGAATTTGTAAAAGCAAGCCAAGGATGTGTTTCTTACATTCACAGAAATAAACTATAAGGCATTTAAAATGTGGTGGTTTGAATTAAATCTGAGTGGAGGATAAAATTTAAACTAGGCATGAACTACTGAAGGTATGGTCTCAAGGAAACAGCAAGAACCTAATTAAGAGGATACAACGAAGATATTAAGTCAAAAGTGCATCTGGAGTATGCAGAAGGAAAGAAAATAATAAGGTGATCACCTCACCACATGCTGACTAGAAATGAAATATGTATTGCCTAATAGGAACGAGCAGCATTATTTGAATTGTTTTGGGAAGAAAACAACTCCAACGTTAGCAGTTTTAACACAGTCCTGACTAGAGTTCTAGATCTCATTTAACTTTAAAAAAAAAAAACTGCTTCATTAAGGTATAATTTACATACCATAAAAACCACCAATTTTGTGTTCAGTGTTTTTAAATTAATGTATACGTTTGTACAACCATCCCTCACTCCAATTTTTAGGACATTTCTATCATTTAAAAACTCTACATGTGCCTATTTGTCATCAATCCCCATTCTAATCCCCAGTCTCCAACAATCGCTAATCTGTTTTTTTCTACATATAGATTTCTCTTTTCTAGGAATTTCTTATAAATGCAACCTTACACTATGCAATTTTTATGTCTGGTTTCTTTCACATAGCACAGTGAAATAAGGCTAACTCAAAATGTGGTATGTATCAATAATCTGTCCTTTTTATTGCTGAGTAGTATTCCATTGTATGGATCACACTTTATCTGTTGACTGGTTGATGAGCATTTGCATTTTTTCTCACATTTTGGCTATTATGAATGATGTTGCTTTGAATGTTGCTTACAAGTCTATATGTGAACATGTTTTCATATTTCTGGGGTGTATACCTAGAAGTGGAATTACTGGTTTGTAAGGTAAGAATAATTTTAGCTTCTTAAGCAATTATCAAACTGTTTTCCAAAATGGCTGTATCATATCTTACATGGTGTCTATTGGTTAGGATTTAGGGTTCTCTCTCTTTCCTCCAACATGACTATATCATTTTACATTTCCACTAGAAATATATGAGAGTTCTAGCTTCTCTATGTCTTCACCGATGTTTGTTATTGTCAGTCTTTTGGATTATAACTTTTCTAATGAGTATGGAGTGGTATTTTCCTAATTGCTAATAATGTTGTGCAGGTTTTCATGTGGTTATTAACCATGTGTACCTTTGTTTGGCAAAATGTCCATTTAAATGTTTTGGTTATTTTAAATTTGGGTTGTTTTCTTCTTTTTGAATTGTAAGAGTTCCTTATGTGTTCTGGATACAAGTCCTTTAACAGATACATGATATACACATATTTTGTCCCAGTCTTTGACTTGCATTTTCATTTTAATAGTGTTCTTAGAAGAGCAAAATGTTTTCATTTTGATGAAGTCCAATTTTTTATGTTTTTAATTTTATGAATCATACTTTTTGGTGTTATATCTAAGAAACTATTGCATAACCCAAATGCACAAATATATTCTCCTATGTTTCTTTTTCGTTTAGTCACTACTTTTAGCAAATAAAATGGTAAAACAACAATTTTTCTGAGGTTTGGATCCAATGGAGAAAGTGTAGAGTAATTGACACCTAGTTTTCAGGAGGCCAGGGTGAATTATTTTCTATCTGTAAATCTATGAATGTTTTTATAAAGTGTTTTATGAGGATGCTCAGAAGCATGTATTCTCAGTGCTTGCAGAAACAGAGACAAGAGGGAAGCCTTTCATGGTTCTTCGTGGCATTTTCTTCTCATGGCAATTTCAGAGGAAAGAGAATAAAGGAGATAATGGTCTGTCCTAAGTGAAAACCTTTTCCTGACCAAGGAAATCTTGTGTAATGTGACTTAGAAATGATTAGGACTCCTGTAGATCATCTACGAGGAAATGGATGGTTGGATGAATGGATGATGATAATGAGACCATAACCAATAACACTCATTTATTATTAAAATCATATGCTTTAAAATATTCGGTATTAACAAGACCGAACAAGACAGTTTACTATATGTTTTGCAAACACTGCAAAAGGCTTTCAAAACATAATATCTTGTTTAGTCCTACAACATCTCTCTGAATTAGAAGTTTTACTCTTTTTATAAAGAAGCTTAAAATCCATGAAATTACAGTAACTAAGTACATATCTCATATTTAAGACATAAGAGTTGAGATTTGAATCCTGGCTGGTTTCATTTCCGAGCCTGTATAATCAACCACTTCACTCTACTACCTCCAGTATAAACCGAGGACCTCTCAGAGTCACCCTCAAGGCTGATGACTCTAGGAAAAAGTCAGTCTTTCACAGGCTAGTTAACACACGCACACCCACCCACATCCACACCCACACACACATTGTGAGAGTAAAGAGGGTGGATTAAGCTCTGTTCTCATAACGAATTAATTGTTAAAGAAACAAGGCCCAGCAACACACAGACATGTGAGAACAACTGAACTCCTTGGTGCTCATCTTGGGTGAGACAATAAACAGGAACAAACCTGACCCTGACTTCAACCCATTTGCTGAATGTGTTATATATTTATCTTGGAGATAAAACTAGACTAATGATATGGGTGGGGCTCCTTTAATAAAATTCAAACACATATGGATTCCGTTTTTAAGAAAAGATATGGGCAGATAATGACATTATTTGATTTTTCACTTATTCCTATAACCACTCTTTTTTTCTGTATGACTTTGCAGTTCCTTTCACCAAAGTTCCTTAAAGTCAACAGGTCAACTCTATCTCTTGCTTTTGGGTTTGCCCATGTAACTTCCTTTAGCTAAGTGAAGGAAGTAGAACTGTTGGATTTCTACTTCCTCAAGTGGTCTTACACATGCCTGCTTGCTTTCTTGAGCCTTTGTCATCAGCAAGGATCTGCCTAGACTAGCCTGCTAGTTCCAGGAGAAGGATGAGACACAGACCCAAGCCATTCCAGATATCTCAAAGGAGGCTAGCCTAGATAGGCAGACAACCAATCCTCAGACGCATAAATCCAAGAATGCCAGATTTATTTAGCTGATCACTTCAGACACATGAACAATAAACACTTATTGTGGTATGCCATTGTGTTTTGTGTTTGTTTGTTACACAGCATCATTGTTGCAATAACTTATGCAAGATGGAAGTGAGTGTTGCTTTGGTATTTTATCTCTGAGAGATGTGCTGTAACTACTTTTCCCAAGGTATTAATATAAAATATCTTTCCCATAAAGAAGCTGCTAAATACTAGAGTGACATGACTTCAGGGGCAGGTTCTTGTGCTGCACTGTATGCAAATAATTAGCAGCAGCTTCCTATCATGAAAAAATCTCAGCTTAGGTGAATTGTGGGCCCAAGCCCATCAGAGAAGTTGGACCTTGTACAGTCAATATTTTAAACTTTCCTTCGCTACATCCTTGCTGATGAATAGGATCTCCTTTCCTTTATTCTACACTTAATGCTGTTGTATAATCTGTACTTCTGAATCTAAGTAAGAAACTTTCCACAATTATCTGATTGTGATGGTGATGCTAATGAAAATAACCACAACAATAGCAGCTAAAAATTACTTCTGAGCAGCTATTTACATTTAACATCTCATTAAATCATCACATGGACTCTATAAGATCATTATGATTCAGTAATTTATAGAATGGATTTGGCATTATATTAGCCAGACTCCTATCCTAACTCTTCAGTTTACCGTTTGTGTAACTTTGGAAGAGTTATTTAGCCATTTAGACACTCAATTTGCTTATCTGTAAAACATAGACACCTAATCTGCCTACCTCACAGGATGATTAGGAGTGTGATACATGCTGATGCAGGTGAGGTTCTAGGCACAGTGTTGGCACGTGATCTCTGTTCCCTACGTGATAGCTATTACCATCTTTATTTCACAAGTAAGGAAGCTGAGATGTAGAGGGGGTAAGTAACTTGCCCATGTTCATAGGGCACGTAAGAAAGATTTGACCATCCCAATGAGGTACCTCCTACAAATGTGGGTTTTATCACACCCCCTTTCATCTGTTCAGACTGAGATGCCAGGCCTAATCGATCTGGCCTCATATGATTAAAACCATGCCTACACAGCTTCATAAACCTTCTCCTTGCTCATCTAACCCAGTGATGGCAATTACTAAGTTCAACAAAGGCTTGTTGTGTTTACTGCTTTTATATTCATTCCTCTCTAATATTCTCCAGTTTCTCAGGGCATCTTACAAAAGGCAGATTTCCACGGCCGCAGTGTGGTCTCTGAGAGGTCAGCCAGTTACAATGCGTAGCACTAGAATGAGGTGGTGCCCTACAGCACTTTGCCTCCTGCAATCTCGGTGAACCCAGATGAGCCCCTCCTCTTAAAGAGGGCTCACGAGCTAATCCTTAGCTTGCCAGGTCAAGAAGATGTGACTAAAGGAATAATCTAGAGCCTGCTATGACCTCTATGACCTCTAGAAAGCCAGATAGATTGCATATACAAGGACTCATCACACCCAACTGTGAGCATTTCAGGTAAGAGTAGAAAACTTAAGTAATTTCAGGAAGAGGGACCAAAAAATGAAAGTGGCAGAATTGAGAAGCCTTCGATTCAACCATGTGGAGCAGACCTGCAGCCCTTATGATTTTATGGAGCAATCAGCTGATTAGGCTTCTCACATCTGTTGTCACTATTCTAGAAGGAAGAAAAGGCCTAGATGAGTTTCATTGCTATGTGCTTGGGTCGCACCAGCCCCAGGTTGCAGTTCCCAAAGCTGCTCCTGTGCTCAGCGGGAATAAGAAAGAATGGATCCAATATTTACTAAGTCGCTTTCCTGCAACCAATATGGGCTCCAGATCATTTCATAGTTTATCTTTACAAAAACACCACTGAGGAAGTTTGTATGACCTTTATTTTATAGATTAATAAGCATAGATACAGAAAACCCACCAGACATACGTAGCTCCTCCCATATCCCCTATATGTAATCCCATACTATCCTGTGATTTCTCCCCTTCAAAGCAATGCATTCCCTTATGAATACATTTAATGGCTGTCTCTCCAATTAGTAGGGAGTTCCTTGAGGACAGGTTTCTGTTGGCCATCTCTGCCACTAATTTCCAGAGTCTAGCCTAGGACCTGGCATAAATTAGGAACTCAAGCAATGACTACTGCCTAAATAAATGAATGAATGATAAATAATTCTCTCAAAGTCACATACCTAACAGGGAAAACCTGAAATTTGAATTCTGAAACATCTAACTGTAAAAGTAACAGCTTTAGATGAATTATTGAGTCAAGTCCCATGCCCTTTCCACTATCTTTAGATAGATCTGGACCCTGAGCAGAAGCTCTTGTCATGTGGACACTCACTGGACCTCATATAAGTCACATACTTATTCAAGCATGTATTCATTAATCCATTCCTTTGGTCAACAAATAGAATGCCTAATAAAAAGCATAGGTTTAAATCTGGAGATGTAACAGCTAACAAAGTATATAAGTCCCCTGAATTCGTGGGTCTTGCATTCTAGTGGAAAGCAACAAAAAACAAACAGGTAAATTAACAATAAACAAACATCAGACAGGAATAAATGCTATGCAGGGAATTAGCTTCATAGGAAGCTACTTTCTTCCCCAGAGAAATTGATAAAAACTTTATCTGTTGACCATCCCCTTTTTCTTTGCATTTTCTTTGGGTTGCCCTTTCAAAACACATATAAGAAGCTTATAAAGCCCATATTCCAATGTTAGAGTACTAGACAGGCTTGCCATCCTCATCAGAAGTTGTACCATGCTCCCCTTAATTTAATGTGCAGGAAAATTGCAGCAATATATGAGTGGTCCCAATAAGTTTGTTTTTCTAAAGAGTAGAAGATTAGTTGCTTTAACCAGAATCTATTTGATAGATAAGGTATTTGAAATTAAATGTTTTATTTTCTTATATGTTTAAATGTATTCTTGTCTAATTTTATAATATTTATATTTAAGATTGATACAATCAAACACTCCTAGATATAGAAAGTATTTTAGAAGTAATATTTACTTTATTTTTTTCCCACTGTAAGCATACTTTATAAATCATCCTTGACAAATAGTTGAACAAGACCTACTGAAATTTATGGTCTGGGTGATTTAGAGGTTGAAGGTGTCACTAACAGGCAAGAGGACACAGGAAAATGATCAGATTTAGGCCATAGAGGAAATACAGGGAGGGCATGGTGAGATTTGTTTCAGAGCAGAGCTTCTCAGCTTCAGAACTGTTGGCCAGATAATTCTTTGTTGTAAGAGGCTCTTCTGTTCTTTTACGATGGTTAGCAACATCACTGGCCTCTACTCACTGGATGCTAGGAGGATCTCCAACCCCAGTTGTGATAATAAGAAAATGTCTCCAGAATTGTCAAATGTCCCTGGGGAACAAAATCACCCCCAGTTGAAAACCACTGATTTAGGCATTTTCAGATTGAGAAGCAGGAGGAGAATCCAAGTGGGTATGTCTAGCGAAGAGTTGGTAGTGTTAGAATGGGGCAGTAAAAGAAGTTAGGATGTAAAGATGAGGAGATGGTTACCTGAAAATAATAGTTGAAGCCAGGAAATGATGAGACACTAAGGGAGAACTTGCAAATAGACAAGAGAATAAGTCCAAGGTCAGTTTGCAGAACATTACTTACTTTTGGAAGATGAGTAGAAAAAGGAGAGGCAAAGAAGGGAAAGGAAGGGGTGGTGCTGGGCTGAGGAGTCAGAAAAGAGGAGAGTTCAAGGTCAGAAAAGCCAAGAGGGAAGGGAGTTTCAATTATATTATTATGTATGTTCCAAGCATTTTAGAATATTGGAGCAAACTTCTCTAGATTTGTGATTTTTGTTTTATAATCAGATGGGAAAAAATGTATGGCTAAATATCATTTCAGTAAATGACAGTTGGTATGTAGGTCCTAAAACAAGTAGGACTCCCAGTGTCACAAATATAGAAATCTAACTCCAGGTTGTTAAATTAAAAAGGGTGCCCAGGCATGGTGGCTCACACCTGTAATCCCAGCACTTTGGGAGGCTGAGGCAGGAAGATCACGAGGTCAAGAGATGGAGACCATCCTGGCCAACATGGTGAAACTCCATCTCTACTAAAAATACAAAAAATTAGCTGGACATGGTGGTGCATGCCTGCAGTCCCAGCTACTCAGGAGGCTGAAGCAAGGGAATCGCTTAAACCCTGGAAGTGGAGATTGTGGTGAGCCGAGATTGTGGCATTGCATTCCAGCCTGGCAACAGAGTGAGTCGTCTCCTAAAAAAAAAAAAGCGGGGGGGATAACTTATCTTAGCAGACCAATGACAAATAAAAAAAAATTAAGGCCTCAGAAAAAAGCAGAATGGGGAGTCACTCTCTCTTCTCTCTCTACTTATCTATATTGTTCTTGTTTTTACATTGATATCCTTCTTCTTTCACATTCCAGATAGATTTTCTGCATTTTGAAGTTCATAGGGCAGAAAAATGGCTGCCACCCTTGGGACATTATATTTTCTTCATTCAACAAAGCATCAGGCAGATCTATACCTTCTTAACCATGATTCTAGATTCTCAGGGAAAGATTCTAATTGGCTCATGGTGGTGCCCGTCCATGAACCAATGAACCAAGGCAATGAATTCACAAGAAAATGTTCATGGTAATTTTGCCAATGGGAGGTTTATGATGGGCATAAAAAGAAAAAGAAATAAGAGGCAATTCCAAAAAGAAGGACTGAATCTATCTTCAGAGTTGTTATGAAGAGCTGTAAAGAAGGAGAAAGTCATTGAAAGTTCTGATCTATGGAATAAGAGTATGATATCCTGAAAGTTGAGTTTAGAGAATATGAGATGAGAAGTTGTCTATGGTATCAATAGAGAAGAAAAAGGTGCTGAGGAGAGGATATAGATCCCAGGAGGGGACAATGAGGGCCTGCGTGTGGTGAACGGCAGTAGGAATGGAGAAGAACGGATGTTGACCAGGGACAAGTTCCACAGGGCTTGATGACTGACTGTCGGGTGTGAACAGGAGCAAGTATTCAAAGAAGCCTTCAAGGCATCTAAACTGAGTGATTTGTAGGAAGATGATTATTTGAACTTAGTAATGAGATAGAGGAACTAGAGAATGAATCAATTTGGAGAGTAAAGGCATACAGGTGTAAAGGATCCATATTTTTAATACGTGAAAATTCCAAATAAGAAAAATGGCCCCGCTTCAAACACAGATAGTCATTACAATTTCTTCTATTAATTGGAACTTTGCAGTTGCTTGAGAAGGGCTTTTCATATGTCATCTTACCTGATGAAGGTAATGAGGTAAATGAAACTCAGAGAGGTGAAGTTACTTGAAAAAATTTAGAAAGCCAGTAAAGGGTTGATGAAAGAAATAAAGCTGGCTAATCTGACTGTAAGGCGCTACCTCTTTCCTTGAAAACACAACTACCCTCACTGAAAACAAAACTGCAGACTTTCCCGCATATTAATCCTAAAAGTAGGTCGCCTGGGGAGGAAATTTCAGCTGGGCAAGAAAAGATACTCTCTGTTTTAAAGTTACTAAGTTCATAGTAGGAGGGTCAGGCAGCTTGCCACCCTGAGAGCTTCAGGAGGGGTAACCACAAGGCCATGATAAATATGCTCATTTATCTTAATTGCCAATTTACCCAAAGGCAACAGCCATCTAAGGACATGAAGATCTGGCCAAGGATATGGTCATGTGGAAAGGAAGGGGTAGAAAGATGGCCACAGGAATGCCAGCTGTTTTGCCTAAGGCTCATAAATCTGTCTGCATGGTGACTCTGCTGGCCTAGAGATCAGAGGTCTCTGGCCCAGGGCACTGTCTCCAGGTCCTGTCCAGACATCCCTGAGCTCTCTTTAAGGACAGACTGTAGAAGCTAACCTCCAGGGCTTGGCTTGGCCCCAGGGTATGTCACAAGACCCAAGTGGGGAAGCACTGGAACAGCCGCACAGCCCCTCACCCGATAAGTGACAAGAGTCTAATAGCAGGTTATGCTTCTTGGGATTTGGCTTGAGTGGATATTCAACCCTGAAAGTCCTCCAGGCTGGAATAAAAAGCAAGCCAGGCAGGCCAAAACTGGGTGGTCAACATGACCTAGCCTCTTTGTTAGAAAATAGGAAGCATAGCTTTCAGTCGAAGGACTACGTTCCCCTGGACTGTCCTGGCTCTGTGGAAGAAGCTTTCTGTCCTTTCAGCTGGGTAGAAGAAACAAGTAGAAGTGCCTTTAATGTTCTGGTGCTTCAGAATCTGTGTCTCAGTGGATAACATACACATTTATGCACGTCCCCATCACGCCTAATGCTGGCTTCATCAGTCCTCTCCATATGGAACCTAGAAGACATTACTTTTTATCTATCAATTTATTTTCAGTGGCTGTATAACACACATATTATAAAGGGCACAAATCTTAAGTATGGATTCCTAACTTTTTTGTGGACATATATCCTGGTAAACACTCAAGTGAAGATATAGAACATTCCACCAATGTACAATGTTTTATCATACACTTCCGTAATGAATACGCTCCCCCTATGCAAAGGGAACTGCTATTTTAATTTCTGTCATCATAAATCACGTTTACATATTCTAGAACTTCATATAAGTGAAATAAGACATTTTTTATTTTGGCTTATTTCAGGCAGCATACTGTCTATGTGATTCATGATACTGTGGCATGTATCAGTGGGTTGCTCATTCTTACAGCGACATAGCAATTCATTAGATAAATATGTAATGATACATGTATCCATTTCCCTTTTTATGGACATTTGGGTCATTTCCAGTTTTAGGGAGTTATGACTATGGCTGCTATACACATTCTTGTATAGATCTTTTGGAAGACATGTACTCTTATTTCTCTTAGGTATTTACCTAGGTTTGAAATTTCTGGGCTATAAGACTTAGGAGTAGGTTTAACTTTAATAAATATTTGGACATTACCAAACAGTCCTCCAAACTGGTTAAACCAATGTATACCCCATTAGCAATGGATGAGACTTAGAATTACTTCATCTCCTCACCAATACTTGATCCTAGCTTTTAAAATTTTAGTCATTTCACAAGACATGTTTCAAAGCTAGAAGAGATCTCATGTTATCAGCCTCTTTATTCCTTCTTGACACATCTCTTTTATTTTTCTCTAGTTATTTTTCTCTTCTTTGGTGGCAATTAAATTTTTTAATTCAAATATAATTGATCCATTTTTTGTAACCACAATATAATATGGATAGAAAAGTTGTTACTTTGTTAATGTAATGTTTGACAAATTAAGAAATAAATCACTAATTGAATGGATCCAGACTTAACAGAAAATAAAAACTGCCAATATGCTATTGAGTTATACCCAGGGTTCATCAACTGGGACAAATCTTGGTCTTTGTGTCTGACAAATATTCTATTAGATCAAACCTTAAAGAGTAAGATCATTTTAAATTACATTAGAGACATGGACAAAAGTTAAAGTTTAAATGCTAGCAACTATGGTTAAGACTTTGCATAAATTATGTTATTTAATCCTCTCGATAACACTGTGAGTTTGGAATTTTTTTCCTTAACTTACACAGGAGGCTTAGGGTTTATGTAATCTACAAAGATCCCTCAGGTAGTGTGAAAACAGAGCTGCAACTTTAACTTTTTATCAGTGTAAATGTAAAATTATTCATCTGGAAAAAAAGAGAAAGAGAAAAAAAGAGCTTTACTATTATCTTGCTCATGGAGATTCAGTCACTATTCATCAACTGTGAACATGTGATTAAGTATGTTGGGTAGCTAGATATTAAATCAACTTCATGAGGCTTTAGATCATTTCAGGGCAGTTGTAACTATTGCCATTAAATTGATTTGCATTGTAAATGAATAAGTTATCATTTCAATTTTGTTAAAAAGGCTATCATAACACTATGGATTGATTTCAGATCATTAAACTGTACATAGTTGTTTCAGTTATTTATTACTGTGTAACAAATCACCCGAAAATTTAGTGGCTTAAAAGAACAACAACCTTATTTGCTCATGATTCTGTCATCTGGACTGGGCTCAGCTGGGCGGCTTGTCTCTGCTCCATGTGGCATTAGCTGGATTGACTCATGTGTCTGCAGTCAGTTGGCAGCTCTACTAGGCCTAGATGATGCAAGATGGCCTCAATCACAAGTCTGGCACCTCAGTTGGGATGACTGGAACAGCTAGGGTCTGGCTGTTTTTTCCTCCCTTTCAGGGCTTCCATACCCACATGGCCTCTCATGCTTAAGGAGTTTATGTCAGATTTTCTCACGACATGAGGCATCTCACTTCCATTATATTCCCAATACAATGTATTCAAATTTTCATGAACAGCACACTTAAAATTGTTATGGGACTCTAAATTATTGTTTAGGAAGATGATCACATCTTTTGCAACCTAACAGGTAATAGGTCTTCCAGCAAAGAAAGCATCCCATCTTCAGCCGCTAGCCATAAAAATGGGTGTATATAGAGCATAATGACTGTATCTCCTTCACCTTTCCTGTAATGATCCCGTCTTCATACGGACCATATGCAAGGGAATGATTGCATCTCTTTCTGTAACGTAATTATAACAAGGTTATCAGCAATGCAACAATCCTAATTTCCACCTGAAATGCAATTGATATCATCATTATGGGCAATATAAGGAGCATATCTCTACCATAAATGTAGATAACACATTGTCTTTTGCACACTAGAGATTGCATTTCTTCAGGAAATGCAATAACAGATCTATCTGTAGTGCAATGATCCCATCTATTCGTGCAAGTTAATTATCACTTTTCCACTTGCCAAGCCATAATGATAAGTATTCCTATAGGCCAATGATTGCATCTCTGCCCTCAGGGTAATGATCACATATGCAATGTGAGATAACAAAATTATCTTCAGGGCAATGATCAGATTCTTTTGCATAGGGTAATGATAACGTATCCACTTTAACCTAAAGATAGTAGGCATATCGTCAGTGCTGTGATGCCAACTTCCCCTGCAGTGACTATGGGTGACAGACATTACTGCAGCATGTATTCACATCTACCTGGATGTGTAACAGTGAATTTTGTAGGAAGTCAAAGTCCTACTTAGAGGTAGCATAGCGACCACAACAAAAGTGCTAAGAACAAATAAATATGAATTTAAATAGATGCCACCATGTAGTCCATGTGGCTTGGGGTCTATGGCTTAGCTTCTCTGAATCAGGTTGCAAAACTGAGAATGATAACACCTTTTTCTGTAAAAATATTAGCATAAACATTACATTTCTCAACTTAGAGGCTAGTCCTTAAGTCAAGTTTATTAATTTTCTTCTCCTCCCATTGATCTCTGGACCATATCCTTGTCCAGATTCCCCCAGGATCTGAATCCATTAGCACCTCTCCCCAGTCCAGCATCAACTAAAATTTGCACATACTTATTCTTAAGCTCTTCCTCTTATCCTTTCTTCTGATATTATTTTTTTCCCCATTTCTGCCTGCAGATGTGCTTCTGCCTCTGTATTAGTCCGTTCATGCACTGATAAATATCTGAAACAGGGTAATTTATTTTAAAAAGAGGTTTAATTGGCTGACAGTTCCATGGGCTGTACAGAAAGCATGGCTGGGGGCGCCTCAGGAAACTTTCAATCATGGTGAAAGGAGAAGCAGTCACATCTTGCATGGTCAGAGCAGGAGGAAAAGACAGAAGGGGGAGGTGCTACACACTTTTAAACAACCAGATCTCATGAGAACCCACTGTCATGAGAACAGCAAAGGGAAAATCCAGCTCCATGATCCAATTACCCCCCACTAGGCCTCTTCTCCAACATTGGAGATATAATTTGACATGAGATTTAGGCAGGGACACAAATCCAAACCATATCAGCCTCCTATATCTTACAATGCTATTTACAGACTCTGATTTAATTAGTTCCATTGGAAATACATTTTCTTAGTTTCTAAAATTGTTCTGCCTGTTTTCTTGCTTGCTGACCATCATCTGTCTACATATCCAAGATAGAAATCTGGACAGCAACTCACTTCTCACTGTAATTTACTCTGTATTTCCAATCAGGTACTATGTGCTGTTGATTCAACCCCCTTAATGTTGACTGTTATGCTGACCTTTAGTCTGTCTCCATTGCTACCATCCTAGTCCAGGCCTTCAGCACTGTTCCCATAAGTGGATATTTAACTTGTCTTGAGTTGTGAAAATATTTTCTAAGGAAAAAGGAAGAGATTTATGGATATTAGTGTATTAAAGTTCTGAAATGTCATTAAGTCATAAATAACAGGAAACAGTGGAACATTTTTAAATGGACAAAAAGTCTTTGCTAGGCATTTTCCAGAAAAAGTATTAATATTCTTGGTAAGCAAAGAAGGTTTGAAAATTAACTATAAAATTATGAATGCCTCAAGAGAAAAAATAGGAAAATACATCAACAGGCAATTTATTAAAGAAATTCCAATAATGAATGTGAAACCATTTTAATGCCTATATTAATTTTTTAAAGTTCATATATATAATATCAGTTATCACATTTTCAAAGATGAAAATAGACAATATTTCACAAAAAAAACTGTCCAATAACTTCCTTGCAAGTAACTTGTCCAAGTCTTTCTCTCTACAAAGATAGATACACAGATAGACAAGTAGATATAGACATAAACATACGTGTAAAGAGAACTTACAAGGCTCAATAGATAGGAAAGATAAGTTTCAGAAATCTCAAAAAAAGTAAGCTACTGTCAGTAATTGCAGTATTCAAAAGAAAATTTTAAGAAACTATTATACTCAAATATGTAGAAAGATATGACCCTTAAATGTAGAGAAAAGAAATAATTAAGGAGACAGTGTGTGTTCCTTAATTATTTCTTTTCCCTACATTTCCCTACACTCACCCACACACACATTTTTAGAGATAAACTGAATTAAGGATTAGTGAACATTTTTAAAATCCCAGCAATATTCACATCGAGCACAGAGAAGAGTATAATTGAGATTGTAGGGATGTTGAATCAGTAGCGAGGAGGATATTTTGAGAAAACATCTGAGAATAAAAAGTAGGAGAACAATGAGATAAAAATGGCAAGAAAGAAAATTTTAGAATGAACAAAGAATAGAGACCTAAAATAGAAATAATAGGTTCTCCTGAGGAAAGAGTCTTGGAAAGATTAGGAAAATGAAAAGAAAGACAATAACCACATTCGTAATAAGAGACATTTCCATAATATGGGGGAGAAACTGTATTGGTAAATTGCAGAGATTTACTGAGAAGTACATAAAAATAATAGAATTAATGGTCTATATTCTTTACCTTTTTAATGATAAGGATTTTTAAATGCTAAAATCATTTTGGCAGAAAATAATAAAACTTACAAGAATTTTTAAAATATATAAATACAAATATGTTGGCATCTTGGGAGGAACAAAAATTTGTCTAATCTGAGGCTTTTAATCTAAAACCTGAAACGCTAGAAGAGAAAATAGCCATGTCGATAAAGTTTTTACAAGAATAAGCTGTGTACTTTTTTGTTTGCTTTTTAAAAATGTGTTTTATTTATTTTTGCTTTTCTTTTTAATGAATGAAAGCAGTTGCTTTACCCTAAAGGAAAAGATAATTCTTTGTAAAATAAAAAAATATAGAAAATTATGCTGTTCTTGGTTGCAAGGAGCCAAAGTATGGGAAGAGAAGAAAATTTGAAAAATGTGCTTCCTTTTGGTTAAGGGACAAAATTCATATCAAATAAAGGTGAAAGGGGGAAAACAACTTTCAGTAAAGCACCAAAAACAGTTTTTAAAAATCCATTCCTATTTTTTTCTACCTGGCTAAAATAAGTGCAAATTTCAGCATTTTGCAAAGATATGTAATATAAAATTAATGTTAAAGTAACACAAATATGTCCCTAAACCTTTAATTTTCAAAACTTAGAACTGTATGTTTGTTTCTACATGTACATAAAGAAAGAAAAATAAAAGCGAACTACATACCTTGTCTCAGCAGGACACCAAATGGTAGTTTCTTCTAAAATGACAATGAAGGTGAGAGAGGTTAAATCATTATTTTCAAATGGCTAAGATAATGGCCATTATCCTTAGCAAACTAACGCAGGAACAGAAAACCAAATACTGCATGTTGTCATTTATAAGTGCGAGCTAAATGATGAGAACACATGGACACACAGAGGGGAACAACACACACTGGGACCTTTCAGAGGGTGGAGGATGGGAGGAGGGAGAGGATTGGGAAACAAACAACTAATGGGTACTAGGGTTAATACCTGGGTGATGAAATAATCTGTACAACAAACCCCCATGACATGTTTACCTAAGTAAAAATCCTGAGCTTGTACCCCTGAATTTAAAAGTTAAAAGTTAAAAAAAGAAATGGCTAAGATACTTTTTAAGTAGTAGTAACAGTATGCTGGAGAAGTGTATGGTTTTCAAAGCAAAAGGAAAAACTAGGAAAAAAAGATAGGAGGGATTATATATACGAATGTGTGTGTGTGTGTGTGTGTGTGTGTACATTATACCATTTAAAGCATTGCACAAGGCAAAAATGCTGCTATCACCATGATAATTCACCAGAAGGTTAAAACAATCACAAAAAATCTTAGAAGAAAGGAGAAAAAAGTCACAATCATTGAAGGGCAACAACTTTGCCTAAATGGAAGCCCTCACCAAATCATGTGTTTATCAACTCTATGACTTATTTTCTTTTACTCCTGAATAGAAGTCCATCCTGTCATGGCCTCTTGGTGAGCTAATGATTTCTGAAACATGCATCTTGTCTTTATAAGAGGTCTTGTGTCTCACTACACCTCCCATCTCCCTTCCCCTCCCTTTAACTGTGAACTAGACTTAGTAACCTTCTTATAAATATTAATAACAGGGTAGAGAAAGGGGGAAATAATAACTTTACAGAAGGGAATTTGGAGACATTCATTAACTACATAATCAAAGTTAATATCACCAGTAATAAGACATTTTAATATCACGTGCCACTGATAAGATGTGATGAGATGATGTATTAGGCCATTCTCACATTGCTATAAGGAAATACATGAGACTGGATAATTTATAAAGAGAAGAGATTTAATTGGCTCATAGTTCTGCAAGTTGTACAGGAAGCATGATTCTGGCATCTGCTCAGCTTCTGGGGAGGCCTCAAGGAACGCAATCATAGTGGAAGGCAAAGGGGGAGCAGGCATATCACATGGCCAGAGCAGGAGCAAGAGAGAGAAGGAGAGGTGTTACACATTTTTAAATGACCAGATCTCAGGATAAGTCACTCATGTCCTCCTAGGACAATACCAAGGGGGCTGGTGCTAAATCACTCATGAGAAATCTGCCCCTATGATCCGGTCACTTCCACCAGGCCCCACCTCCAACACTGGGGATTATATTCTAATACAAGATTTGGGCAGGGACTCACATCCAAACTATATCAGAAGGGTACATGACCTCTGTGGTATTCATTCCCCCAAATTAATAACCTCAGTCTGTTCATGAGAAAACATCAGATAAACTCAAAATTAAGGACATTATACAAAATATCAGACTGGTACTTTTCAAAAGCATTAAGGTCATGAAATTCAAGGAAAGACAGAAACTCTTCTAGACTGGAGAAGACTAAGCATACATTACTAAATGCAATATGTCTTGGATTAGATCCAGGTCCAGAAAAACCAAAGAGGGGAGATCCAAAGAATGCCTATTACACTTAGTTAATAGTGTACATGAATGTTAATGTCTTAGTTTTGATAAATTTACTGTGGTTATAGAAGATGTTAACATTAGAAGCTAGGTGAAGGCTGTATGACAACACTACACTTCCTTTGCAACTCTTCTGTAAACCAAAAATAATGGCAAAACAATCTTTTTTTTAACAATTCATAGAAGGCAACCTACGATTATGATGATGATTATTATTATTTAATTCCGGTATACAAGTGCAGAACGTGTAGGTTTGTTATGTAGGCATAGGTGAGCCATGGTGGTTTGCTGCACTTATCAACCCATCATCTAGGTTTAAAGCCTCGCATGCATTGGCTGTTTGCCCTAATGCTCTTCCTCCCATCAGCCCCCATCCCCCTACTGGCCTTGGTGTGTGTTGTTCCCCTCCCTGTGTCCATGTGTTCTCATTGTTCAACTCCCACTTATGAGTGAGAACATGAGGTGTTTTGTTTTCTGTTCCTGTGTTAGTTTGCTGAGGATGATGGCTTCCAGATTCATCTGTGTTGTTTTAAGATATGCATGTGTGTACATGCTTGAGCCTCCCAGACCTCCCATGGACCTGCACAATGCTAGAGACAAGGCAACTTTTGGTTAAATAAACAGACTTTTTAGTAACCAACACACCATTCCTAAAAAATCAAGAAGCACCAGGAAAAGGGCAAGTTTTGAAATTGGCCTCTTCATAACTTTTCTCACTGCACTCTTTATTATATTTATGTGTATGTATATATTTTCCTTGTCTTTTATTTTATTTAGGCACTTTCTAGAGTTCAACTGTCGCTCAGGGCATCAAACTAATTTTCTCCTCAGCAATGATTGCAGAGCTGCATGCATAATGAACCCCGTTACTGCTCTTGTTATTAAGTAGGCCGTTTGGGGACATGGATGGGGGGAGGTCACAATCTAAAAGGCAATGGCTCTTCCTAGCACTGCCTGCCCCCACTCATAGACTGAGACCATTGCACAAAGAAAAAAATAACACATAGAGAAAGAGGCAAATGATCCTGCTCCTTGATGTGAGGAAATGTCAAGGGTTTGCATTGGCTTTAAGGCACTGACTTTTGTTATTTATTTCATGCAAAATAGAATCATTCTTTATTGACCACTTGAAAAGACTGCATATATTGAAAACCAACACCGTGTCAGCATTTGCCTTGGGTATTTTATGAATGTTATCTCATTTAATCCTCACAGCAAGTCTATGAAGACAATGTACTCATCCTGTTTATAGTTAGGAAATTGAGACTGAGAGATGCTAAACGACCTGTCTAAAGTTTTCTACATGGTCCGCAAGCAGTAAAGTCCAGTAGAGTGGTAGACTATAGTCTAGACATCCCAAGGATGTGCTTTCATACCTTTGTAGTTACAGGAGCAGGAAGCAATCCTGTTTCCTGTTTTTCTATGTGGTCATAAACAGCAGGGTTCCCAAATTTTAATGTGTATTTGAATAAGCTGAGACCTAATTAAACTGAAGATTCTGATGAAGTAGGTGTAGGGTGGGTCCTGACTTTCCCATTTCTAATAAGCTCCCAGGTGATGCCAATGCTATTGGGCCATGGTTCACACTTCCAGTAGCAAGGATGAAAGACAAGACTGAAATCTATTGTTATGGAGTCACACCTTAGATTTAAAAGGGAAAAGTGGAAATTAATGGTAAAATTCAAATATAGTGGTTAAACATTATCTAGTATTAAATTATTGGCTGTACAGCCTGGCCAACATGGCTAAAACCTGTCTCTACTAAAAATACAAAAGTTAGTCAGGAGTGGTGCCAGGCACTGTAATCCCAGCTACTCAGGAGGCTGAGGCAGGAGAATCATTTGAACCCCAGAGGCAGAGGTTGCAGTGAACCGAGATCACGTTGCTGCACTCCAGCCTGGGCGATAGAGTGATACTTGGTCTCAAAAAAAAAAAATTACCAACTCTAGTTAGATTTTATAGATTGAATAGACTTATCCTAGGGCTTACAGCTTAGGGTAGACCTCAAAATAAATCAGGAAGAATAAAAACCACTATAAATGCATATGGTTTCAGGGACAGAATAAGAAGGAAAAGGATTTCTATAAGTGTCTTCGTGATCTCACATGTAGCCATGCCCAGCTTCCTATCCTCTAGTCTTCCTTAAAAAAACACTAAAGGACCAACTTGTTCCCTTATTAGTAATATTTTAGTAAGACCAAGGGAGACTCATCTGTTAAAGAATGGAAGGAAAGACTGAATACCTTAGTTGTCACACTTTGGGAAAGCTTCTCTAAGCTCCAATAGTTTATCTTTAAAAACAAAGTTAAGTACAGTATCAGATACATAAAAAGTGTTCAGCAAATTCTTGTTCTCTAGCATGTCTCTCCTCCCCAGTTAATTTTTTGTACTCCTCACTCTGTCTTTCTCAGATATATATGTTACAGACATTTTCTTCCAGTCTGTACCTTTGCCTTTTCATTATCTTTCAATGGCACTTTCTGAAAAGAAGTCTAATTTTTATAAGTCCAGTTTATCATTTTATTTTCTTTTATAGTTAGCGTAAACCATTTTCTATCAAAGAAATTTTTGCCAAATTCAAGTACTTAAAGATTTTATCTTGTATTCTCTTTTAAAACTTTTGTAGTTTTAGGTTTTATATAGGTATATGATCCATTTTGAGTGATTTTACACAGAGGATGAAGTAAAATTTGAGATTTATTTTCATGTGGATGTTATTTCAGCACCATTTTTTGAACAACTATCATTTCCCCCATTAAATCACCTTGGTATCATTGTCAAAAATCTGTTTAGCTCACATGTGTTAATATATTTCTGGGCTCACTATTCTTCTATTGATTTACATATCTATGCTTACATCAATATCATGCCATCTTGATAACTATTTTTATAGTAAATCTAGAAATCAAATAATGTATTAAGTAGCTCTCCAACTTTGTTATTCTTTTACAACAGTGCTTTGGCTATTCTTTAACTTTCCATATAAATTAAAAAATAAAATTTTAAATATCTGTAAAATAGCCATGTGGAGATTTTGAATGGGATTGTGTTGAATCTCTAGATCAACTTGAGTAAAACTGGCATCTAAAAAAATTTAGCCTTAATATCCACCAAGATTTATTTAGTGTTTTTCAGTATATAGGGTTTGCACATATTTTGTCAATTTTCTTCTCAATATTACATTCTTCTTGAAGCTATTGTGACTGGTGTGGTCTTAAATTTTGTTTCCATGTGTCCTCAGCTATTATGTAAAATACTATTGATTTGTGTGTATTGACTTTGTATCCTACAATGTCACTAAATTCACTTGTAGGTTTTAGTATTTAAAAAAATTTTTTTAGAGTTTTCTATGTGGAGTCTCATGGATAGGCTCTCCAGGATTACGTTGCATGTAGGTGGTTAGAGGGGTATGCCCTTATATTTCACCATGAAGAGTGTTGTAACCTCTAGATGTTTCTTAACACTTAACCAGATCACTGAAATTAAAATCCTTTTTTTTCTTTGCTAGTATAAGAAGTTGAAGCTATGAATTTCCCTCTAGTACAGATTTAGTTACATCCCACAAATTTTGTCATTCTGTGTTTTCAGTATCATTTAATTCAAAATATATGTTATGTTTTATGCTGCTTTTTACTTGAACCATGTATTTAGAAGTATAATATTTACATTTCAAATATTTAGTGATTTTTTCAGAAATCTCTGTGCTATTAATTTTTTAATACTGTTGTGTTAGAGAACATACTATGTAAAATTTCAAATATTTTAAACTTACTGAGAATTGTTATGAACTCATTATATATAATATATAATCTATATTGGTGGATGTTCTGTGAGCATTTGAAATGATGTGTCTTTGTTATTATTCAGTTTAAAATATATTTTAATCTTCCTTGTTTTATCCTGTGTGTTCTCACTGTTCAACTCCCACTTATGAGTGAGAACATGTAATGTTTGGTTTTCTGTTTCTGTGTTAGTTTGCTGAAGATGATGGCTTCCGGCTTCATCCATCTCCTTGCAAAGGACATGATCTCATTCTTTTTTATGGCTGTGTAGTATTCCATGGTGTATATGTACCACATTATCTTTATCCAGTCTATCATTGATGGGCATTTGGGTCTTTGCTATTGTAAATAGTGCTGCAATAAACATATATGTACATGTGTCTTTATAGTAGAATAATTTATATTCCAAATATTCACAGTATTCCATGATATATATATATATATATATATATATATATATCACATTATCTTTATCCAGACTATCTCTGATTGTCATTTGATGTCTTTGCTATTGTAAATAATGCTGCAGTAAACATACATGTACATGTGTCTTTATAGTAGAATAATTTATATTCCTTTGGATATACACCCATTAATGGAATTGCTGGGTCAAATGGTATTTCTGGTTCTTGATCATTGAGGACTTGCCACACTGTCTTCCACAATGGTTGGACTAATTTCTATTCCCACCAAAAGTGTAAAGGTGTTTTCCTATTTCTCCACAGCCTCACCAGCATCTATTGTTTCTTGACTTTTTAATAATCACCATTCTGACTGGCTTGAGATTGTATCTCACTGTGGTTTTGATTTGCATTGCTCAAATGATCCGTTATGTTGAGCTTTTTTCATGTTCATCGACTGAATAAATGTCTTCTTTTGAGAAGTGTCTGTCCATACCTTCTGCCCACTTTTAAATGGGATTGTTTGTTTTTTTTCTTATAAATTTGTGTAAGTTCCTTGTAGATTCTGGATATTAGACCTTTGTTAGACGGGTAGATTGCAAACATTTTCTCCCATTCTGTAGGCTGCCTGTTCACTCTGATGCTAGTTTATTTTGCTGTGCAGAAGCTCTTTAATTAGATCCCATTTGTCAATTTTGGCTTTTGTTGCAATTGCTTTTGGTGTTTTTGTCATGTAGTCTTTGCCCATGCCTATGTCCTGAATGGTATTGCCTAGGTTTTCTTCTAGGGTTTGTATGGTTTTGGGTTTTACATTTAAGTCTTTAATCCATCTTGGGTTAATTTTTGTAAAAGGTGTAAGGAAGCCCTCCAGTTTCAGTTTTCTGCATATGGCTAGCCAGTTTTCCCAGTACCATTGATTAAATAGGGAATTCTTTCCCCATTCCTTGTTTTTGTCAGGTTTGTCAAAGATCAGATGGTTGTAGATGTGTGGTGTTATTTCTGAGGTCTCTGTTCTGTTTCCTTGGTCTATATATCTGTTTTGATACCAGTATCATGCTGTTTTGGTTACTGTAGCCTTGCAGTGTAGTTTAAAGTCAGGTAGCATGATGCCTCCAGCTTTGTTCTTTTTGCTTAGGATTGTCTTGGCTATATTGGCTCTTTTTTCATTCCATATGAAATTTAAAGCAGTATTTTCTAATTCTGTGAAGAATGTCAGTGGTAGTTTGATGGGAATAGCGTTGAATCTATAAATTACTTTAGGCAGTATGGCCATTTTCACCATATTGATTCTTCCTATCCATGAGGATGTAATATTTTAGCCAATATCATATACTGAATAGGCAAAAGCTGGAAGCACTCCCTTTGAAAACCGTCATAAGACAGGATGCTCTCTCTCATCACTCCTATTCAACATAGTATTGGAAGTTCTGGGCGAGACAATCAGGCAAGAGAAAGAAATACAGGCTATACAAATAGGAAGTCAAATTTTCTGTTTGAAGATGACATGATTTTGTATTTAGAAAACCCTATCATCTCAACCAAAAATCTCCTTAAGCTGATAAGAAACTTCAGCAAAGTCTCAGGATACAGAATCAGTGTGCAAAAATCACAAGTATTCCTATACACCAATAATAGACAAGCAGAGAGCCAAATCATGAATGAACTCCCATTCACAATTGCTACAAAGAGAATAAAATACCTAGGAATGCAGCTTACAAGGGATGTGAAGGACCTGTTCAAGGAGGACTGCAAAACACTGCTCAAGGAAATAAGAGAGGACACAAACAAATGGAAAAACATATTTGAGTATTTTCTGGAAAGCTTTCTGTTATTGATTTTTAGTTTAATTTTATTGTGGCTAAAGAACGTGCTCTAAGATCTCAATTTTTAAAAAATTGAGAAAGATTTTATAATCTATTTTGGTAAGTATTCAATGTACACTTTAAAATGTGTGTGTGTTTGTGTGTTTGTTGAGAGTGTTTTTTGTTTGTTTTTTTTTTCTTACTGCTTTGTCATGTGTTGCATCTCCTCCTTTTCTGGAACTCCAACTGGATTCAAGAGTGTCTGACATTTTCACCATGTCCTATGTGTATTTTGTGCATCAATCTTACCAATTAATTTCCTGTATTTATTGATCATAATCATTTTTAAATTTGTTATCTATTAATTCCAATATTTGGCTCTCCTATTGGTCTGCTTCTAGTCTCTTTCTTTCTCTCTCTCTGTCTTGATCATTAGTTATTTGTCCTTCTATCCCTATATGCCCAGTAATTATATTTTATTAAATAATGGATATTGAGTTTGAAAAAGTGTAATAATTAAGGCTCTGCATGGCTTTATATTCTTCTAGAGAAGATCTAATTGTGTACCTGGTAGGCATTTAGGTTAGGGAAAAATCACCTTAATCCAAGCAGAGAGCAAACAGTCCATTCACGAAGATCAGTCTTTGTAAGAGCTGAATCATCTCAAACCCTAATTCTTGAGTAGTCGTCCTTGTGGGGTATCAACAGAATGCCCAGGGCATTCTTCTCTTTACTAGGCCATGTAGAGAAAAATTACGAAAAGTTATAAAATATTTTTAAATCCAGCTGCCCAGCCTCGGCAATATCAACCCCCAGCATTCTGATTCTGGTACCTTTAGATTCCTCATTTCAAAGCTGTTCTAGGACCAACTCATATTTGTTGTTGGTTCCTTTATTTCTTGTTTGTTTGCTGTGTGTGTGTGTGTGTGTGTGTGTGTGTGTGTGTGTGTGTGTGTCTGTGTCTGTGTGTAGGGGAGGGAAACTGGGGGGTGCCTCTGGCATCTTTCCTAATAATTGTGGAATCAGCATTTTCTCTAAAATATTTGCCTTCATAGACTGTTCATTTTATAGCAGGAGGGTCTCTCAGAACTTCTTGAGATTTATAGTTCTAAAAATAGAAATCTCTCCAAATACCAGAATTTGTCAATTTCATGTATATCTAGTTGTTTTTCTTATGTTTTGTTTATGTCTGCTTCTGTAATGTAAGCTCCATGAGGTCATAAAGTGTGTCTATGTTGTTTTATTTTTTCTCCACAGTCTAGCATAAACACTTAGTACATGATCATCATTCATTAAATATCTGAATTGGATGAATGGGTGAAAGGATAGATGTGCAGATGAATGGACAGAGACTAACAGCACTCTTTATTCCCACTGCCTAGCAATGTAGTTAATATCTTATAGGCACTTAAATGTATGTGCTGGACAACTCAATTGCACACAGATGAAGGAAAAATTGATGGCACATTCTAAGAGGACTGCAGAGTCTTTTCCCACTAGGCTGATCCCATTTAGAATGGGGCCCTATGAATGAATCTCAGCACTTTTGTGGCTCACCAAAGACAAAGCATAGGTAGTTATTCAGTAGGTGTTTGTGATTATGGAAATCAGCTGAATTCAGTCAAACTTCTCATAGAGATGCCTTCAGTTAGAAGCTCTTTTCTTAGCATTTTGCTTTAGACGCAATCTATTGCTTCTAGTTTTCCCATGTGTGCATAAACACAAAAGTACATTGAAAGTCACCACTTGTTGAGTATGAGCCTGCAAGCAGAGACTAATGCTCTTACTTATCACTATATCCCAAGGACCAGGACAATAAATAGTTTTAAACAAAATTAATAAATGTGTGACTGGTAATGAATAAATGAAGATTCCCTATTTAGTAATAGCAGATAAAACAGTTATCTGAACAATAAACAAGGCTCTTTACTCAAAAGCATTTAAAAAATTCCAGAAACAAAATAGTATGTAAGCTTGCAAAAAAAAAAAGTGTGGCTATGGCTCAAGTCACAAGGGAGCCTGGGCTATTCAGCCTTTAAGATTCTGTTTACTTTTGGAATATCACCTATATAGAATACAAGGGTTTCATTTATTTCTAGTAATCTACGGTAATCTATTTATGTCAATGGCTGCTGATGTTGGCAAGAGTCTGCTGTTATAAACACTTTACATCTAATATTATAAATACCCATAGCAGGTGACCATATGTGTATGTTTCTTTCTTCCAAACTTGAATTTGTTGCTCATAAAACTTACATATCTATTTTTCTATCATTGATATGAACAGGGTAGTCTACACTGAATGTATGTTTAAAATATTCCTGAAATTCTCTTACCTTTACAGAGACACTGCATATGACTTTCATTTTCTAAGTTTGTACCCCATTTCTCCTACTCTTTGCTTTACACTCCTTGATGAAAGGGACCCTCATTGCCCAGGCTTTCTCCTCTTTCATCAACTATGATTATCTTAATTTTCAAATCATATGATGGGATAAACAACGTCTGGTAGTTACTTAAATGATCTGGAAATTATGCATCCCACCCACTACCACTTTTGTCATCTCTACAAATGAAAGAATCAAAAAAACTTCCCTCTTTGGGTTCTGACCTTGGAAACACACCTACAGCTTTTATCATCTCCCACATCCTTTCCTGCTGGGAACAGCCCAGCAGAGTCCCCCAGACAGCTGTTAGAGCTCAGAATCAATTTACTTTGGGGTGAGGACTTGAGGGACACAGATGGGTGAATTACAGGTGTTCAGCTTAGTGGCAGGCCCTGCTTGGCACAGTTTAATATGAGCTCCCACTTGTTTCAACTGCAGGACAGCAAAGCTGTCACTCTTTGCCCTGGAGAGGGCTGGCGGGTTTTGGCTGGGTGCCATATGCAATCCTAGTTACAAGGTCAACTGCACATTTTTGGTTTTTGGAAGCTGTTAGAAGTTGAGCTAGTCGCTGACTATACCTTTAACTTGGATCAGGTTTCTCTCTTTAGATTTTTACTGAGACTCCAGAGTGACTATTTGTCCCATTCAGAGGCACTATCCAAGAACCTATTGTTGTAGTTTCTGCTCCACGTTTATGTCAACCATGCATGTTTGCTTCATTGCTTTTTCTGTTTTCTACTTATTTTCTGTTTCCAGTCTTTTATTCCGTAACATACTTCACTTCTTCCCCACAATCAGTCCTGATCCTTTCAGGCATTCACTTCATGTATAATTGATGTAAGAACTCTGAAAATAAGGGGAACTCAGTTCTATGAAAATATTTTAGGGAGAGGGAGAATGGTTTAGGTTCCAATGGGTTGAATACTTTTCCAAATCAAAATCTACAAAGAATTGGACAGTGGAAATAACAAAATAAAATGCCCCAGTGTCTTAGCCATTCTAGACCTCAGTTGGTCTCATCAGCATATAGGGATTGAGTTCCAGGCAAATTATTCTGAAAACCAGAATTGCTTTGGAAATAGAAAAACCATTTCTAAGGCAATGAAGATATAGGCCCTGGAATAGGATTCATTTCCTTACATTCGCATGCATTTATGGTTTGAAATCAGGCCAGGCATGCCCTATCCAGGCCATAGCATGACCTCTGCAAAATCATATCTATCATTGAAAAGGCCCTGCTTTCCGTAACTCCTTCTGATACGCTGCCAAAAATTCAAACAGCTATTCCGATTACACTTTAATTGGTACTTTATATTCAACACATAGGAAAACTCACCATAAACAAAAGCTGTTCTTTCCTGAACTCTGTGAAGTTAAAGTATCTGGATCGTGTGTTAACTATATAATATTTATGGAGTTCAGCTTGTGGGTGAAGTCAGCCAAAGCCCATTTCTCCTCCTTAAGACCTTATATACTAAAGAATGCTTTATATAATGATCTTGAAATAGCTTTGAAATTCCCACCCCTCAGAAATTCTTACAATTTTAAAGAACAGAAGAAATAATAAATAGCTGATTGAGTTGACCTTTTTTTTGGTTTTTCTTTTTATTCTTTGAGAAATCAATACTAATATAGTTGGCATTTATGTAATCAACCTTCTTCCAAGAATCTCGAAACACGTCTAAACTCTGCTGGTTGGTTACTTAAAAGTAATCACTTGCCCTGAAACCATAAACCAGGTCACATATGGAACTGGTTGTAAGAGTCAAATACTAAGCCCTAACGTTTCTACCAGTGGTTTATGCCAATCTGTTACACTCCTCATTCACCTACATCCATGCAAGTAGGCAAGGACCATTAGGGAGTTTGAGATGAAGACAGCAATTTATGATGTGTGGACACATTCAACCAAATTACTGAGCATCTCCTCTGTGCTAGATCCTGTAGTATGCATAAGGGACAGTGATAAATAATAGCTGGGCTTTTCTGTCTAGAAATTCACCATCTCTAATGAGTAACAATTATGAAAATCAGCATGTAATGAGCACCTACTCTGTCCTTTAAGCCTTTTATATGCATTAATTCACTTAGTCCTCACAGTTACTTTATAAAGTAAGGTCTAATATTATACCTAATAAACACTGTCTACCTAAATATTAAAATGCTTATATTGAGCCTTGGTTGCTTCAAATCATTTTTAAATATTTCTTTTCAGACAGACTTCATGTCCCCATTGTATCCCTTCTTGATCTCCTTTCCTAGTCTCCTTCCCAGGAGACAATTGCCTTTCTACAGTTGATGTATAAATATGCTCTATATATCTACACACACACACACAGCATATTGTATTGTGTCTTGTGTGTTTTTTAAATTTGCACAAATAGTATAATTTTTTAATGTTCTTCGGCACCTTGGTTTATTTACTTGATTTTGCATTTTTGAAATGTGTGTATGTTGAGTCAAAAAGAAATTGTGCATAAATGGTAACAGGTATATAGTATGCCATTATATTAATACACACAAGTTATCAATCCATTCCACTATTACTGGGCATTACTCTAGTGGATATTTCCAAATCACTCCCAAAAATGGTTGTACTGTTTAAACTCCTATTGGGAATAGATGAATGTTCCAGATACCCTATAACTTCAGTGGCACTGGGAGTTGCTAGAAATTTAATTTATGTGAGTTTGATGGATATGAGAAGTATTTTGTTAATAACTGATATTTTCATCCATGTTTCTACCTAATATTGACTAATATATACTTTCTTATGCTGTCTTTTTTCTGGTTTTTGATATAAAGGCTACATTATTTTCAGAAAATTTGTTAAAGGACATTTCTTTATATTATGTACAATGGTTTTAGAAAATAAGAATTTTTGTTTTTTGAAAGTGTAGTTAGCCCTTTATAAAACTATTTTATAGGGTGAAAAGGTATAGATTAATTAATTATTGGCATTTTGTAGTTTCTATTATTTCATAATTCAATGTTATTTTTATTATAAAATTTTAATATATTATCAATTTATTGTATTTCTTGACTATGTCAAGATTTTAAATCAATTTCTTTTATTTCTTATTTGTGCAAGTTTTTATAGTTCAACTTGTGCCTTCTCTTTCTTTGGCCAGTCTCTCAAGGGACTGTTTTATTAATAATTCTGAAGAATGAGCTTTTGTTTTTGATACTTTTCTCCATTGTTTGATGTTTCCTATATATTTCTTCTTTTCTGTCATTAGCAGCTTCTGTACATTTGGGAGGAGGATCTTGAGAGGACACTAACACTTTGGACTGAAACTTTAAGGGTTGAAGTCTGGTAGTTAAGATGACAGTTTTGCATCATTCTACTCTACAGAAAACCTAAAGCATGAACCTGTATTAAATGGTCAAAAATAGTGTGCCCAGGATTCTGGCAAAAGCAATGAATATATTTGTTGGTGGAAGACAACTTTAATCAAGTCTTGAATTTATTACTGAAAGTTAGTTTTTAGAAACAATGTCCAGCACATACTCAGAAATAACTGAATACATGAAGAGTTGAAATACCATAAGAAAAAAAAAAACAGCAAAAATAATACAGTATAGGAGCAAACACAATGAAGTCCAAAAAATAGAATTACCAGGCAGACTATGTAACAACTGTGCTCACTATATACAATGAGATGAAAGTCAAGATTTAAAATGTTGGCAGGGAACCAGCAACCATAAAATGTGATATCATAGATTAAAAAATTAACAAAATATACATTCTAGAATTAAAGTAAAATAACTAAAAAGATCAAATTAACAGCAAATTAGGAAGAGTTGATAGAGAACTATTGAACAAAAAGATTGGTCAAAAATCTAAGAAAAATCAGAAATGAAGAATAAACGAAAGATTGAAAATATACCAGAACACCTAACAGATATAGATCAGTGCAATAGAAATTTCTGCAATAATAAAAACATTCTGTATCTGTGCTGTCCAATTCAGTAGCCACTATACACATGCAGCTGTTGGGTACTTGATATGTGGCTATTGAGATTGAAAAACTGACTGTTAAATTTTATTTAATTTTACTTAGTTAAGTTTAACTTTATATACCCCCATGTGGCTAGGGACTAATATATTGAACAGTACAAATATGGCGGAGACATATAGAGATTCTAACATATAAGAAATAAAAACACCGAAAGCAAAAGAAGAGAGAAAGTGAAGCAGACGTAATGTTTGAAGAGGTAAGGGTGTAAAAGATTTCATAGCTGATGAAAGACACTAATTCACACATTCAGAAAACCCAAAAATATCAAATGATATTAAAAAATCTTTCAGGCATATCATAGTGATTCTAAAGAGAACCCAGTACAAAGAGAAAAATTTTAAGAGGAGGCAGAGAAAAGAGGAGAGATTACTTTCAAACAAATAGCATTTACTGACAGTTGACTTCTCAATTACAATGGAAACAAAAAATAGATACAATGTGCTAAAAAAAAAAAAGGAAAACAACAACAAAAAACTCCCGTCCTGTAGTTTAATGCCCAGATAAATAACTTTCAAGAATAAAAGTAAAATAAAGTCATTTTATCATCAAAATCAACAAAGACAGTTTAACACTAGCAGATGCTACCAATGGGAATTATAAAATATTCCCGGATGAAAGGTAAGACATGTAAGAAGCAAAAAGAACTATGAAAATGATAAATATGTGGGTAAACTATAAGAGAAAAAATACTATAAAACACAAATGATAATTTCTTGCAGACTCTCATGTTTTTTCTCTCTCTCCCTCTGTACTCCATATGTTATGTTGAAGTTGTTTACCTACACTACTGAAATTTGTGCTTTTTTTGGACAGGGATCTATGTTAAAGTGTCCAATAAGGCAGCACAACATTAATGCTGCTTGTAAGGAGAAATGGATGAATGAAATAAAGCAAAGGAAGTTATTTAGTTGTTCCCTGGCAATGGGGCAAGAATATTAAAGCACAATGAGTTTCAGAGAGAGGTGACAACTTTGAGGAGTTCAGTCTCAAAATGGTCACTTGTGGCACTTCAGCATTTTCAAATAATATTACAGACTTGATATTTCTGATTTATGATTCTGATAATAAAATTCCTGAGATCCCATTCTAGATCTAGGCTTTGGTCAAGCTAACAAAACTTTCCAATCCTCATTTTCTTAACCTTTGAACTCATTTTGCATGGCTGCTGTGCAGGGAACCACACTTGGCTCCTCTTCACTAACTTCCCTGAAATGCTATTGACTCCTTGGCAATGTGCTCTCAGACCTTTTCTCTGACTTTATTTATTTATTTATTTTTGTTGTTTCCTTTCAGTTTGGGTACTTCCTGCGGAATACATTCAAGTCTATGGTTTGTATCCTGTTTCTCTCCCTCCCTTTGTCTTTCTCATCAATGTTTTTTGAGAACTTTTCAAATTGTACTTTATGTTCACATCTTAAGTTCAAGTAGTGTTAATTCTTTATTTACCACCTCAAATGCAGACTGTTTTTGCATGATTTGGAGTTTTGTCTGATCCTTTTACTTTTTCTTATGTCATTTTTAAGACTTGTCTTTGAAGATTACTTTGTAGGTGTATTTTATAGCCAATTAAATATATTTTAAAATATTTTTCAGTTTACTCATCCATGAATGAGTAAACTGGACATTTATCAAGAGCTGGTGTTTGTCAATAAGGGTACATGGTCTTCATTTGTGAAAAGAAACTCATTTAGATATTAAGGTTTATTAGCTTATTGTTCATTTCCTTACTCTCTTCCACGGGAGGAGTATATTTCCCTTCCCCAGAAGACAGGTTAATTGTACAATAACTAGAACAACTTCCAATATCATATTGGAAAATAATCAACTTTCATATTATTGAGCTCTGCTGCAGAGGTGGCTTTTTCAACTCCAACTGCCATTCTGAAGAAAAGAAATGCACAACAAACTACTACCTCTGCAATATACTGTTACCATGAGTTTTCCTGTCCACATTCTTGCCAAAGCAGTGTAATTTTTCAGTGTACCATGGCAATATGTGCTAAGAGCTCTTCTTTTCTAATTATCTGGTTGTTTTCTGGAAGTCAAAGTCTCCAAAAGTTGTAATAAGAAAATAAAAATACTTTGTCTCACCAGCTGGGTGCTATGGCTCACACCTGTAATCCCAGCACTTTGCGAGGCTGAGGCGGGTGGATCACAAGGTCAGGAGTTCGAGACCAGCCTGGCCAATATGGTGAAACCCTGTCTTTACTAAAAATACAAAAATTAGCCAGGCATGGTGACGGACGCCTGTAGTCTCAGCTACTCGGGAGGCTGAGGCAGGAGAATCACTTGAACCCGGGAGGCGGAGGTTGTAGTGAGCCGAGATCGAGCCACTGCACTCCAGCTTGGGAGACTGAGTGACACTCTGTCTCAGAAAAAAAAAAAAAAAGAAAGAAAGAAAGAAAGAAAAGACCTTGCCTCAAAAAGGTAGCATTCATAGAAGAATTCTCCAGTTTTTTTCCTTGTTTCAGACTTTTCTGGGTATTCGTTTGTTTGTTTGTTTGTTTCAACAGTAACTGTGGGTTCACTAAGGTTGGACTTTCTCACCCCAGGCCCATTTGAATTCATCCTATGTGGGTTTTGGTCATTGTATGCCCTTTACTGTTCTTCATTTGTGTTTTATATATTGGATTAGAGAGCTGCATTAAGAACTTCTAGTTACATGCCATTTAAATTGAAGAAGGTTCTTATGTGTCTAACTAATAAAATTTCCCTCTCTCTTAGAATATTCTGTATTTTGTACTTTTTACTGGGTCAAGGATACTGTTTTCCTTGTTGTCATAAATTATTGCAATTTAACTCTATATAAATATAGATTTTTAAAAATAAAATTTGGGTGGAATACAGGATTTTAGAAGCTGTGGCTCTCTGATGTTTCCAAGGATTCAGTGTGGGTCACCAAGAGAGCATTTATTCTAATAATTTATTGTAAAAATATTCAAACTTGCAGCAAAGTTGAAGTAATTTTGCAGGGAACAGACTTGTACCTACCATCTATATTTTGCCTTTAACATTTTTTTTCTACTTGTTTTATCACGTCTGTCCATCTATCCATCAATTAATTTATCACAGTTTTGGATGCATTTCAAAGTAAATTGAGAAAACTAGTATACTTCTTCTTAAATAGTTCTGTATAAATATTATTAGAGTTCATTATTAGTTTACTTTTTTCTTTATGTAAAAACTTACATGTAAGGTACATATACATTTATTGAGTTTTGCAAACACATACACGTGTGTAACACAGACCCCTATCAAGTTACAGAATATTGCCATCACCCTCTTACTCTTTCAAAAAGTACAATTTCAGGATATTATAATCTGACAAAGTTAGAAAGGAGGCAATTTCCTCCAGAAATACCCCCAAGGCTAACTCAGTTTCCCCACTACATTTATGTGCTGGTAGAAAAGGAACTCTTTCTTCCCTGCAGTTTCTTAGATTTTGTACTTTTGCCACAGAAGTTAGTGCTTGGGAGTGTGGAGAGTAAAGAGCCAAATGGAAACAGAAAAAGCCATGTCATCATTAAAAATAAACAGAGACACAAATATGTCAGAGGGCAGAGGCAGACACTTCATTGTGCAAGTGATTTATGAGGAAGCTAATTTTAAACAAGCCTGGGCTGCGTGGTGCCTTTCAGCCAAACAAACAGGCAAAGCGCCCTTTCGACAGCAGCCGAGAGCTGCTGATCTCCTCAAGGAATAATCTCATTTTCTTGGTGGTGTAAAAGGCACTAAGTGGCTGTTTTCTGTCTAAGGAAACCCGGCTGAGTCACTGAAGGCAGGCCCTGTTAAATGCCAGAGAGTAACAAGACAAAGACCTGCCTTCTACAAGTTAAACCCACAAAACAAAACACTGACACATTAACAACAAATCAAGCAGGTTTCCCTCTGTTTATTCCATGTCCTACATTTCTTTTCCCTTAAAATGGCACTAGGATATGAGAGAGAGGGATTGGCCACCCAGGAAATTAGTACATGGCTCTCTGGCCTGGCTATTCATGTCTGCTTTGTAACACAGATCAGGCAGGCACTGAGAGTTATCCCTGGGGGAGCCAGCCAAGGAACTGAGAATGTAGAAACAGGAGAGGCAAGCGGGCCAGGCTCACATGTGGAGGAGACATTGCAAAGCTGTACAAGGCAGCCAGCCTAGGATTAGTAGAATCTATCTTTAGATTGGAGGCCTTAGGCTATTAGTTTTCTCTGCCTTCAGGTTTGAGCCTTTTCCAAATGCCAATGCTGAAAAATCTGTAGTTCAATAGTCTGCTGCATGGGAAATTCTTATAGCCAAGCACATTTAGGTGTGTGTGTGTGTGTGGTGTGTGTGTGTGTGTGTGGTGTGTAGGGATTGATTGTCAGCAGTAATTTCAGTGAATGAACATTTAATACGGACCCTCAATATATAAGGTTCAAAAGCCACATGAAAGGTATAAAAAGATTGAGGTGCTAGATTAAAGAGAGAATTTCTTTGGGAAAATGTGTTGGAGTATTTTTCCTACTGCCATTCCAAGAAGGGGTGGGTAGGGGATGTGGTCCCCTTGCCTCAAGTCTAGTGAGAGAGGCTGGAAAAACCCAATTAGGGAGTTAGATTGCTTCCTTTGGATGTAATGAATAGTGCGGATGTTTCACAGGGTTCCAACAACTAGTGAGGCCCGAGCACTGACAAATGAGAACTGAAATCATTTGTGCATTTGGAGTCAGCTCTTGCAGGGTCTGGCTTTGCCAAGTATTTTCTTTTAGGTTCCTGAATAGTGGGAGGTCTGGAGGTCCTGGGAAGAGGCTGAGGAGGCAAGGGTATTGGCAGAGGATTTGACGGGAGCTCAGAGCAGAAGTTATTTACCAATTGTTACAAGAGGACTTCAAACATGCAAAGCCAGTTCGCCCTACTAGGGCATACCAGTTAACTAGCAGACCTGAACAGCGGATGGAGTAGGGGCTGCTGGGGTTACAGAGTACCTGCACTTCTGCCAAGCACTGGTAAAGGTGCATGTTTCCCATGGAGATGTCAGCCATATGAGCAGGAGGAAGAGAACTGGCCCTTATCACCTTAAAGGGACTTTACCCAAGAAGGTTGTCTGGAAGGGAGATAGGACAACAGTTGAGACATTATATGGTGGAGAAGAAACCCCCAAAACCAAGGTGCTTTTATGCTATAAACTCTCTCAGCAGTCTTTGGCAATAGATGACCCCTTCTTAGGTTACTGTTTTTAAGTACATAAATTAAATCCATAGAATTGCCAAAGGAATCCTCTTTAAGTAGAGTTATCAAAATATTTCAAAATTTTTATAACATTAAATAACCAGATTTAGCATCAGTCCTAATAACTATCATTATTTTCATAATTTTAAAACATTGATAAGTGTAAACAACATTTTGAAATACCTTCACAATTGCAATGTAATATGAAACGATCTGTATATGGGTGCTCATCAATTAAGGTATTTTTAAGCCTCCACCTCTTTTCTCTCCTGGCTTCAACCAGGAGGTTCGAAGTCAACACCAGGCTGTGGTAGGGGATGGAAGGAGACAACAGAGTAGAAAAGACAAAGTCCCTCTTTCCCCATCAGTGGATTTCCAACCTATTGCAGGTTCAAGTGAAGGGACAGGCTTTAACTTTGAGTGAAACTCAGAATTTCAAATATTACACTGGACTCGGGATATTCATCAGTGAACAGACACTATTTTAGGCAACTAAAATGCCTGGAGTTTCTTTGGTTATTTCAGAGGGAATCTGGAAGCTGTGTGGTCTTTTCTGCCCAGGAGTTCATCCAGGGTTAGGGAAAGGTCTGATCCATGGCACAGGTTTGAGTGAGCAATTACGGGGGAAATGAAGTTGCTTTGGTATTGCATCCTGTGAGTCCTGCTGGTCCAATGTACTAATCCCATGAAGATGTAAGGTGTGTGTGTGCGTGTGTGTGTGTGAGTGTGTGTCTGTGTGTATGTGTGTGTGTGTGCAATTAAAAAAATAAACACTTTCTCTGCCTGAAAAATAGTACGTTATGGTGAGTAGGAGCATGGTCAATGAAACAAAACTGCCTGTGAAAAAATTCTAGTTGGACCACTTACTGCAAAACCTTGAGTAATTTCCTTAACCCCTCTTTGTCTTAGTTTACTCATCTGTAAAATGAGGCTATTGATAATGTTATATGTAGCCCATAAGGATAAAAACATGATTAAATGTGTTAATTTACACAAAATTCTTAGAACACTGCCTGGTGATATTCAATTATAAGCTATGTTGTTATCGTTGTTGTTGTTAATTGAATTACTTTTCCCCCTGACATTTGCAATGGCCTCTCAGGAACCTCTGTTGAATCCTAGAAATCTGAAAAGTAAGAGTTGGATACCACAATTTTAGAACATCTGTATTTCCTTCCTAGAGGTTGGGTATTTTGGCTAATTCTACACTCCATGCTCTAGTGAAAGAAATGTCTCAACCATCTGGAACATCTGTGTCCCCAGCACTTCCCAAGAGACTACACCTGACCAACCACCTCCCGGGCAGGCTCTAGGTCATAGTCCAGGCATTTTTGTTGTTTCATCATCTCAGATAAAAGCTGTCATGAACCCACTATGCTGTAAGATAAAACCTTCAGAAGCTATTTATGTAGAAAGTAGTTGTTAAATATTGCAGGTAGCTAAGGGCCTTTTCAGTTGCTAAGGGAGGTGTTATACTTAAATTTCAGCAACAACAAACCAAACAGCTGTGGATACACCTGATGTGTGGATAGATGTTTCTGGCAGTTGTGGTGGAATCGAAAGATTATTGGGCCAGGGTCAGGCAATCTTGGATTTAAAATACTGTTTATCACTCACCAACTGAGTGAAATTTAGTATGCTCCTTAATGTCTCTGAAACTTAGTTTCCTTTTAAGCATAATCCGGATAACAAATAATTTCTTTGTGCAGTTGTCAGAATTACATGAGATAAGGCTTAGGTGTTCAGTTGGTGTTGACACATTCCCTCCACCCTTTACATGAGAGGAATGCTATTCAGATGCCAGCTGCAGATCTCTGTTCCACTGGAGAGGAAGCTAAACATGACTCAACCTCCCTTCTTCCCACCTAATGGGTTCAATGGTCTGTGGAAGTCTTAACACTCTTCAGTATTCCTTGTGAATTCCGTGTGAGGGGATGGAAATGGAGAGTCATATTCCTCCAGGTGGCTCAGCATTGTAGGGTCTTATGTCCAAGCATGCTATCTTTGTATCACATCACTTTACCCAGTAGAAATGATCAGCCCTCTCTTTAGTTTTCACAAACAAGGACAGGATCTCTATCTATTCTTGTGCTGCATTAATCAGTTACATATATTGTGTTAAAAACACAGAAGGCAAAGTGGAGTGGATGCTCACTTTCTGGCAACACAATAACTCATCATTCTTACATACCTTTTGGCCGTCCTGTCACTGTTAACAGTCCCTGGGCCCCCCAAATATAATCACATATACTCCCCATTTTGTTAGATCTTCTCCCCTTCTCATCCTCATCTCTTTTCTTTATGCCACCTTGAGCAACTATCAGCAACAGCCAACATGATTCCCCTGTTGCTACTGTAGAGTAGCTTCCCACAGTCTTTGATATCCTGATACTTACTGCTATTCCTGCTTGTGAGTGTATCTGTTAGTTAATGCTGAGTAATAAACCATGCCAAATTTCAGGGACTTTAAAATAAACCCTTATTGTTGGTCACTAATCTATTTGTGAGTTGCATGTCTCTAGGTTGGGCTCAGCTGATCCCAGCTGGCTTTGCTCACTTTCGCAGTCAGGTAGGAGTTGGCTAATCTAGAATGGCCTCAATGGAATGGTTGGCTGAATACTGGCTATGGAAATGCACATGCTTGGGTCATGGGTTGCACCTCCTCCAGCAGAGTAGCCTGGACTGATCCACATAGCAGAACAGGGTTTCAAGAGAGCCAGCACAATGCATGAAGAAGCCTTTGAGACCTAGCCTCGGAGTGGTAGATTGTCACTTTCACCACATTCTATTGCCAAAGGAAGTCACAAAACCAGTTTAGATTTAATGGTGGACAAATAGAGTTTTGTCTCGAGGGGAGGAGCTGCAAAGTCATATTGCAAGGGGATGAGTACAGGGAGGGGAAATGTTTGTGCTATTTTTTGCAATCAATCTACCACACTCCGGCTCATCCACGCCAAAATGCCTCTTGAAGGTATTTTCACAAGAAAAACTTCCTCCATGGGAGAAGTTATGGTGCTTACTCTCGATATAATAAAAACATCTTTTTTTTAAACCAAATTAGAGAAAAATGACTCAGCTTCCTTTGAGAAAGACAGTTGCAAAGGTCACTTTGCTTGTTATCTTGTGTCCTGTTTCTGGAGAAGTGATAGCTGACACCTAAGACCTACTCGTTCCCAAAGCTAGAGAAGTTTGCTTTCCCTTGAGAGAAGGATAGACTGAGAAAAGTATATGAAGACTTTAAGGATAAGTGATTCTGTGGGATCTGGAGCACTACTGTATTGCTCCCCAAGGTGCAAAATAATGGCTTATGGATTTGAAAGATGACATAATAACACTTTGTCAAGTTGTAAAGAATCACTGAAATACTGTGTCTTCTCCCTCCTCTTCTCTGCCTCATTTCTTGAAGCTTAACACAATGGTAGGTATTAAAGATTCATAGTCGTTAGGGTGCCAGTTGGGACATCAGTGTCTATTGTTTTAAAATTTTGCTGCTACTATCACAGATTTTCTGTATGATAATTGAACCCAACTATCTTATCCAAGAAATTTTTTGAAGTGTAGTTAAAAATTAGTAAAGCCTGTTTCATTAGCCATGATATATAGTTTCAGTGAATTTGATGTAAACTATTAAAACATTTTTTGTTAAGGAAAAGATATCCCTTTGACCTAAGAAATAATTTAAAGAGGATGCAGGCAAATTGGCCCTCTCATAGATAAAAACTAGAAAACTTACTGGGAAACAATTTAGCTATAAACTATTTAGCTAAAAACTGGCCCAATAATTCAAATTCTGATTATAAATAGGAAATATATCTAAATATGTAAATAAACTATATGCACACAGCATACCCTGAAAAATAAATTCATTACTATGAAAAAGTACAGCTTGACACACAACTTAAATTATATTTTGTGATGATTTTAATGTATAATTTTCATTAGAATAAATTAACCAGAATTAAGAATATAGCATGAATTTTAAGACATCTATTCATCCTGCCTATAATGTACCTAACATTTTTCTGTGGTGAGAAATGGTTTCCAAGAAATAAATGAATAAATAAATCTAGACACATATTATTCCTCTGTCTTGTTTTATTTCTATTATTTATCTATTCGTTTATTTGCTCATTCATTAAATTCTCATTGAGGCCCTACTATGTGTCAAACACAGTGTTCTATATTTTAAGAAGAAACTTTATTTAGTCATTCTAATAACTGAAGGTTAAGTATTGCTCCTCCATCTTAAGAGACAAAACAATAGAAGCTCAGAAAATATAAATAACTTTCCTAAGCAAGTAACTAAGCTAGGCAGAATGCTAGTTTGGATCTTGCTGACTTCAAAACCTGAGGTTTAATGATAAATACATAGAAAATGAACTTAGTTTCATACTATGTACATGCGTGCTCTGACACACTAAACATATTACATGCAAAATTGAGAGACTGCCAAGGTCCCTATATAGCAATGTGATCTTTCCAGTACTCAGATGGTATAATAAAAAATAAGACATAATTTACTAATGAGCAATAACAGGAACTTATTGAAAATGCAAATCTGTTGCCTAACTCAAGTAGATAGCAAAAATTCTTTTTTTCTTTTTCTTTTTTCTTTCTTTTTTGTTTTTTATCTATTTATTTTTTTTGAGACAGGGTTTCCCTTTGTCACCCAGGCTGGAGTGCAGTGTCAGGATCACAGCTCACTGTAGCCTCTCAACCTCCTGCAGGCTCAAGAGATCCTTCTGCCTCAGCCCTCCAAGTAGTGGGGACCACAGGCATGTGCCCTCATGCCTAGCTAATTTTTGTATTTTTTGTAGAGACAGTGTCTCACTGTGTTGCCCAATCTAGGCTTGAACTCCTGAGCTCAAGTGATCCTCCTGCCTTGGCCTCATAAATTGCTGGGATTACAGGGATGAGCCACTGTGCCCCATCAGCAAAGGTTCTTTGTTAATGTATAGTTCAGTGTAATTATCTTGGCCTGATATTTTGGTTTTCCACTAAAAAAAATTACTTTCAGTGGTCTACTTTCCAGCTCAGTTTATGATTGCCAGTTCAAGGAATCAGTTACCAGTTCGTGGCACTTAGACATTCAATAAATGTTTGTTGAATACCATAAAATCAAGAAAAAAAATTGGTTAACTTGTGTTTTCTTAGGTTCCAACACCTTCTTTTTGTGGTTCAGGTTCTAATATCTACCCATTCAATACCATTAATATTATCACCTCTGATTTTATTGTCTACCCATCCGAACCCATTAATATTATCACTTCTGCTTTTCATAATTGTTTTAGCATTTCTTAAAGTTCTAAGTCAGCTCAGAAAACTTCCCAGATTTTTGGTATTTATATATTAATTTATTACTTGATTATTCTTTATAATTTTCATTTTTATTTCTTATAGTTATCTCTATTTAGTAGCCTTTCATCAGATGTTAAAATATCCTCCCTGGTATTCATCTTTTTTTTTTTTTTTGGTTTTGTGACTTTAATAAAATTATTTAATATTGCCTGAAGAGTCCATTTCCTCATCTGTCAAATGGGGATAATAGTATCTGATTTGTACATCTGTTGCATGAAGTGTCTTTTTTTTTTTTTTGAATTTTTTTTATTATACTTTAAGTTTTAGGGTACATGTGCACATTGTGCAGGTTAGTTACATATGTATACATGTGCCATGCTGGTGTGCTACACCCACTAACTCGTCATCTATCATTAGGTATATCTCCCAATGCTATCCCTCCCCCCTCCCCCCACCCCACAACAGTCCCCAGAGTGTGATATTCCCCTTCCTGTGTCCATGTGATCTCATTGTTCAATTCCCACCTATGAGTGAGAATATGCGGTGTTTGGTTTTTTGTTCTTGCGATAGTTTACTGAGAATGATGATTTCCAATTTCATCCATGTCCCTACAAAGGACATGAATTCATCATTTTTTATGGCTGCATAGTATTCCATGGTGCATATGTGCCACATTTTCGTAATCCAGTCTATCATTGTTGGACATTTGGGTTGGTTCCAAGTCCTTGCTATTGTGAATAATGCCGCAATAAACATACGTGTGCATGTGTCTTTATAGCAGCATGATTTATAGTCCTTTGGGTATATACCCAGTAATGGGATGGCTGGGTCAAATGGTATTTCTAGTTCTAGATCCCTGAGGAATCGCCACACTGATTTCCACAATGGTTGAACTAGTTTACAGTCCCTCCAACAGTGTAAAAGTGTTCCTATTTCTCCACATCCTCTCCAGCACCTGTTGTTTCCTGACTTTTTAATGATTGCCATTCTAACTGGTGTGAGATGGTATCTCATTGTGGTTTTGATTTGCATTTCTCTGATGGCCAGTGATGATGAGCATTTTTTCATGTGTTTTTTGGCTGCATAAATGTCTTCTTTTGAGAAGTGTCTGTTCATGTCCTTCGCCCACTTTTTGATGGGGTTGTTTGTTTTTTTCTTGTAAATTTGTTTGAGTTCATTGTAGATTCTGGATATTAGCCCTTTGTCAGATGAGTAGGTTGTGAAAATTTTCTCCCATTTTGTAGGTTGCCTGTTCACTCTGATGGTAGTTTCTTTTGCTGTGCAGAAGCTCTTTAGTTTAATTAGATCCCATTTGTCAATTTTGGCTTTTGTTGCCATTGCTTTTGGTGTTTTAGACATGAAGTCCTTGCCCATGCCTATGTCCTGAATGGTATTGCCTAGGTTTTCTTCTAGGGTTTTTATGGTTTTAGGTCTAACGTTTAAGTCTTTAATCCATCTTGAATTGATTTTTGTATAAGTTGTAAGGAAGGGATCCAGTTTCAGCTTTCTACATATGGCTAGCCAGTTTTCCCAGCACCATTAAATAGGGAATCCTTTCCCCATTGCTTGTTTTTCTCAGGTTTGTCAAAGATCAGATAGTTGTAGATATGCGGCATTATTTCTGAGGGCTCTGTTCTGTTCCATTGATCTATATCTCTGTTTTGGTACCAGTACCATGCTGTTTTGGTTACTGTAGCCTTGTAGTATAGTTTGAAGTCAGGTAGTGTGATGCCTCCAGCTTTGTTCTTTTGGCTTAGGAGTGACATGGTGATGCGGGCTCTTTTTTGGTTCCATATGAACTTTAAAGTAGTTTTTTCCAATTCTGTGAAGAAAGGCATTGGTAGCTCGATGGGGATGGCATTGAATCTGTAAATTACCTTGGGCAGTATGGCCATTTTCACGATATTGATTCTTCCTACCCATGAGCATGGAATGTTCTTCCATTTGTTTGTATCCTCTTTTATTTCCTTGAGCATTGGTTTGTAGTTCTCCTTGAAGAGGTCCTTCACATCCCTTGTAAGTTGGATTCCTAGGTATTTTATTCTCTTTGAAGCAATTGTGAATGGGAGTTCACTCATGATTTGGCTGTCTGTTTTTAAGCCCGTCGGAAAAGCGCAGTATTCGGGTGGGAGTGACCCGATTTTCCAGGTGCCGTCCATCACCCCTTTCTTTGACTAGGAAAGGGAACTCCCTGACCCCTTGCGCTTCCCAAGTGAGGCAATGCCTCACCCTGCTTCGGCTCGCGCATGGTGCGCACACCTACTGACCTGCGCCCACTGTCTGGCACTCCCTAGTGAGATGAACTGGGTACCTCAGATGGAAATGCAGAAATCACCGTCTTCTGCGTCGCTCACGCTGGGAGCTGTAGACCGGAGCTGTTCCTATTCAGCCATCTTGGCTCCAAAAACCGGTATTCATCTTTTGAACAGGCATGATTGGTCAGATGATGAGACAACTTCTTTTGTGGGTGCCCAGACATTTGCATATTAGCAAATCAAGTTCTGGAAAATAAATCATTTGGCCTAATCAGAAATGGAGATCTCTCAAGGACAGACACAAGCTATCTGACAAATCAGAAGATCCAGGAAGAAAGTGTCTGAAGCCAATAGGAATCCAGAAAACCCTAAGCCTCACACCATATCCTTTTGGAAATTTCTGCTGATGTCTCTACATATTGAAGTGATTTCCCATCTAGCTTTTCTTCAAACATGAACACTAAGGATAATCCCTCACTTTTTGCTTTTATTGCAATCCATCGATACCCCAGATACAGCACTAGTTATTCTAATTATTTACTCATAGTTCTGTGTCCTCCGTTGAGAGTACCTTGAGGGTAGAGAGTGTGCTTTCTTTCCATTAATATCTCTTAATCCTAGCCATGACTGGGCACCCAGCTTGTTCAGAAAATATTTGTTGGAAGGGTGAATGAAATGTCCTTTCCTGCCAGAAGTCACATGAAATATCCCCTTAGAACTTCATTGGTAGTGATTTTGTTATATCTCCAACTTTGAGCCAATCACAGTGATTAAAAAAAAAAAAATCTGGACCAAGTGTGGCAGCTCACACCTGTAATGCCAGAACTTTGGGAGGCTGAGCTCAGGAGTTTGAGATCAGTTTGGGCAACATGGTGAAACCCCGCCTCTACAAAAAATACAAAAATTAGCTGGTAGTGGTGGTGTGAACCTGTGTCCTCAGCTACTTGGGAGGCTGAGGTGGGGGAATGGCTTGAGCCTGGTAGGGGGAGGTTGCAGTGAGGAGAGATCATGCCACTCCACTCCAGCCTGGGCAACAGAACAAGACTGTGTCTCAAAAAAAATTAAAACAAGACAAAACAATAAAAAAATTAATCTTATTGACTTAAGCCAGTATAAGCCCACATCTACATTTGAGGCTGGAGTCCCTCGCTATCTAATTACGAAAGCGGGAATGGAAAAGAGGTTAATCCCCAAAGTAGAATCAGGACACTATGATTACTTGAAGAGAACTAAATGTGGGGGCAGCAAATAGCAGACATCTAATACAGTAGGTTACGAGGTAAGTATGATGTTAATTGACCTACTCAGATGTGCATACACCTAGGAGCTTCTAATTTTGTTAATAATTGGAATCAGTTCACCAATAAATGTTATAATCTGACCTCCATATTCCATGTTTTGTAAAAATTAGTTTTATGTTGGTATTTCCCATAAATTGCCACTCCTAAACAAGTTTTACATCAATTATTATACTTTGCAGGAAGGCTCAATTAGTTACTGTGTCTTTGGTCTGTGTTTAGCCTGCTATTCCAAGATCTGGCTGGAGCTCTTTGCTGATGAGTGCAGGTCCATATTCTACATGATATCTCCCCATCGTCCTCTTTGTTGCTCTTCCCCATGGCAGCTGTCCTGGCCCTTTCCCCCTGGGCTGCCAATCTTCCAGCCACCAATAAACCACTCTTAATGACTCACATTAAGACTCCGGAATGTGGTCCTAGATCAATCTCAATCTGTGAATCAGTTACCAAATTTACAATAAAATAAAACACTTTCTTTACCAACCACACTTTCTCTACCAACCTTAAGATGTCACAGAATACAGAAATAACATTTAAGTTTTTTCAGATTCATCAACAGCATCAAGTTAAGCTCATCCATGTAAAAATTTTTTAAATATTAAGGGATTTTTAAATGCATATACTGATAAGAATAGAAGTGTTACTATTAGCAATAGAACAATGTCAAAGTGGCATAAGAAGTGGAGAATCTGACAATGTTAAGGAAAATGTCCTTGGAGTAGAAAAAAACAGGTGTTTAAAAATGCAGTTCACAGGGATGGGGCCAAGATGGCGGACTAGAAGCAATGCGATCAGAGGCTCCCATTGAAAAGAACCGTAATGGTCTGCAAATCCTGCACCAGCAACCGAGGTATCCAGGTTCTCTCATCAGAACTGACTAAGCGGCTGGCATTATCCACAGAGAGGAAAGAAGACCAGTGTGGTGTAGTGGATCATCTGACAGCCACATGGGGCAGGGGAGCAGTCAGCCCCCAGGCAAGAGAGGCAGTGAGTGAGCATGCTACCTAGCCTGGGAAAACAGGTTTTTCCACAGAACTGTGCAATCCATGGATCAGAAGATCACACTCATGAGCTCATGCCACCAGGGCCTAGGGTCCCAGCCACGGAGCCATGCAGATTCTCAACAGCGACTCAGCTAGAATCTGCTTAAGCTTGCCAAGGTCCCAGTGGGGAGGGGTGACCAGCACCACAGCTGTGGCTGCTTGCTGTGTAAGCCATTTGAGCTCCTTCAGGGAGGGGCAACAGCCAACACTGAGACTGATAGCTGCCTAACACACTAAGCTCCCAGGGTAGGGGAAGGGCGGCAGACATTTCTAAAGCTCCAGGCCCCGCTTTTCCCCTGCTGGAGCCAGGGAGGCTGGACCGCTTAGTACCAAGAGGTATCCCCCAAAGCCCAACACACTAGCTGTGGCAGACTGCAGACAGAGTGCCTCTTCAGGCCCTAAACCTGACTCATCCCTCCTCACTGAGCATGGACTCCCTGCAGGAACTTTAACAACTTCAGCCAGGGACTCAGGGACAGAACTCTGATCTCCCTGGGCCTGAGCCCCTAGGGGAAGAGGTGGCAGCAATCTCCACAGACCAGCAGACTTAGTCTTTCCTTCTGCTAGTTCTGAGGAATCCAGGGAGCCCAGACGAGTGGGTTTCCCCCCAGCAAAGCACACCCCTTCCATGGAGGGACAAAGTGCTACATTAAGCAGGTCTTGCTCCCCATGCCACCCAACTGGGTGAGACCCTCCAAGAGGGGTGGTCAGACACCCTATACAAAAGCATTCCTACTAGCATCATGTTGGTGCCCCTTGAGGTCAGAGATCCCAGAGGAAGGAGCGGGCAATCATCTTTGCTGTTCTCCAACCTTCTCCTGTGGCATCTCCCAGTGCAGGAATGAGCCAGATGAATAGCATCTGAAGTGAACCCCCAGCGAACAACAGCAGCCCTACAGAAGAGGGACCTGCACATTGCAAGTAAAACAAACAGAAAGCAACAACAGCCTCAACAAAAAAAGTCCCCACAAAAACTTCATCCAAGAGTCAGCAGCCACAAAAATTGATACTAGACAAACTCATAAAGCTGAGAAAGAATCAACGAAAAAAACACTGAAAACCCAAAAGGCCAGAGTGCCTCTTTTCCTCCAAATGATCACAATGCCTCTACAGCAAGGACGTAAAACTGGACGGAAGATGAGATAGATGAATTAACAGAAGGAGGCTTCAGAAGCTGTGTAATAACAGACTCCACTGAGCTGAAATAACATGCTCTAACCCAATGCAAAGAAGCTAAAAACCTTGATAAAAGGATACAGGAGCTGCTAACTAGAATAACCAAGTTAGAGAGGAACATAAATGAACTGATGGAGCTGAAATACAGAGCACAAGAACTTCGTGAAGCATAGCTGAATCGACCAACTGGAAGAAAGAGTATCAGAGTTTGAAAACCATCTGGCTGAAATAAGGCATGCAGATAAGATTAGAGAAAAAAAAATGAAAAGGAACTAACAAAACCTCCAAGAAGTATGAGACTATGTAAAAAGACCGAACCTATGATTGATTATAGTACCTGAAAGAGATGGGGAGAATGAAACCAAGTTGGAAAACATACTTCAGGATATTTTCCAGAAGAACTTCCCCAACATAGCAAGATAGGCCAAATTCAACTTCAGGAAATACAGAGAACACCACTAAGATACTCCACGAGAAGATCAACCCCAAGAAACCTAATCCTCAGATTTTCCAAGGTTGAAATGAAGGAAAAAATGTTAAGGGCAGCCAGAGAGAAAGGCCAGGTAACCTACAAAGGGAAGCCCATCAGACTAACTGCAGACATCTCAGCAGAAACTCTAAGTCAGAAGTGAGTGGTGGCCAATATTCAAAATTCTTAAAGAAAAGAATTTTCAACCCAGAATTTCATATTCAACCAAACTAAGCTTCATAAGCAAAGGAAAAATAAAATCTTCTCCAGATAAACAAATGCTAAGGAATTTTGTCACCACCAGGCCTGCCTTGCGAGAGCTCCTGAAGGAAGCACTAAATATGGAAAGGAAAAGCTGGTAGCAGCCACTGAAAAAACACACCAAAATATAAAGACCAACAACAGCATGAAGAAAATGCATCAACTAGTGTGCAAAATAACCAGATAGCATCATGATGACAGAATCAAGTTCACACATAACAATATTAACCTGAAATGTAAATGGGATAAATGCCCCAATTAAAAGACACAGACTGGAAAATTAGATAAAGAGTGAAGACCCATCAGTGTGTTGTATTCAGGAGACCCATCTCATGTGCAAAGATACACATAGGCTCAAAATAAAGAGATGAAGGAAAATATACCAAGCAAGTGGAAAGCAAAAAAAAAAAAGCAGGGGTTGTAATCCTAGTCTCTGACAAAACAGACTTTAACCAACAAAGATCAAAAAAGACAAAGAAGAGCATTATATAATGGTAAAGGGATCAATTCAACAAAAATAGCTAACTATCCTAAATATGCATACACTCAATTCAGGAGAACCCAGATTCATAAAGCAAATTCTTAGAGACCTACAAAGAGACTTAGACTCTCACACAATAATAGTGGGAGACTTTTACACCCCACTGTCAATATTAGACAGATCAACAAGAGAGAAAATTAACGAAGATATTCAGGACTTGAACTCAGCTCTGGATCAAGTGAACCTAGTAGATTTCTACAGACCTCTCCACCCAAAGTCAACAGAATATACTTTCTTCTCAGTGCCACATGGCACTTATTCTAAAATTGACCACATAATTGGAAGTAAAACACTCCTTAGCAAATGCAAAAGAACTGAAATCATAACAAACAATCTCTCAGACCACAGTGCAGTAAAATTAGAACTCGGATTGAGAAACTCACTCAAAACCACACAACTACATGGAAATTGAACAACCTGCTCCTGAATGACTCCTAGGTAAATGATGAAATTAAGGAGGAAATCAAGAAGTTCTTTGAAATCAATGAGAACAAAGAGACAACATACCAGAATCTCTGGGACAGAGCTAAAGCAGTGTTAAGAGGGAAATTTGTAGCATTAAATGCTCACATAAGAAAGCTAGAACTATCTCAAATCAATTCCCTAACATTACAATTAAAAGAGCTAGAGAAGCAAGAGCAAACAAATCCAAAAGCTAGCAGAAGACAAGAAATAGCTAAGATTAGAGCAGAACCGAAGGAGACAGAGACACAAAAAATCCTTCAAAAAATAAATGAACCCTGAAGTTGGTTTTTTGAAAAAATTAACAAAATAGATAGATTGCTAGCTAGACTAATAAACAAGAAAAGAGAGAAGAATCAAATAAACACAATAAACAATGATAAAGGGGATATCGCCACTGACACCATAGAAATACAAACTACAATCAGAGAATACTATAAACACCTCTATGCAAATAAACTAGAAAATCTAGAAGAAATAGATACATTCATGGACACATACACCCTCCCACACTAAACCAGGAAGAAGTCAAATACCTGAATAGACAAATAACAAGTTCTGAAATTGAGGCAGTAATTAATATCCTACCAACTAAAGAAAAGCCCAGGACCAGAGAGATTCACAGTTGAATTCAGCCAGAGGTACAAAGAGAAACTGGTACCATTTCTTCTGAAACTATCCAATCAATAGAAAAAGAAGGAATCTTCCCTAACTCATTTTATGAGGCCAGCTTCATCCTGATACCAAAACCTGGCAGAGACACAACAACAAAAATGAACACTTCAGGCCAATATCCCTGATGAACATTGATGCAAAAATCCTCAATAAAATACTGGCAAACTGAATCTACCACCACATCAAAAAGCTTATTCACCATAATCAAGTTGGCTTCATCCCTGGGATGCAAGGCTGGTTCAATATATGCAAATCAATAAATGTAATCCATCACATAAACAGAACCAGTGACAAAAACCCCATAATCATCTCAATAGATGCAGAAAAGGCCTTCAATAAAATTCAACATGGCTTCATGTTAAAAGCTCTCAATAAACTAAGTATTGATGGAATATATCTCAAAATAATAAGAGCTATTTATGGCAACCCACAGCCAATATCATACTGAATGGGCAAGAGCTGGAAGCATTCCCTTAAAAAACTGGCACAAGACAAGGATAACCTCTCTCACTACTCCTATTCAACATAGTATTGGAAGTTCTGGCCAGGCCAATAAGGCAAGAGAAAAAGTGTTTAAATAGGAAGAGAGGAAGTCAAATTGTCTCTATTTGCAGATGACCTGTTTCTATATTTAGAAAACTCCATAGTCTCAGCCAAAAAACTCCTTAAGCTGATAAGCAGCTTCAGTGTAGTCTCAGGATACAAAATCAATGTGCAAAAATCACAAGGATACCTATTCACCAACAATAGACAAGCAGAGAGCCAAATCGTGAGTGAACTCCCATTCACGATTGCCACAAAGAGAATAAAATACCTAGGAATAGAGCTAACAAGAGATGTGAAGGACCTCTTCAAGGAGAGCTGGAAACCACTGCTCAAGAAAATAAGAGAGGACACAAACAAATGGAAAAACATTCCATCCTCATAACTAGGAAGAAGCAATATCATGAAAATGGCCATACTGGCCAAAGTAATTTATAGATTCAATGCTATTCCCATCAAACTACCATTGACAGTCTTCACAGAATTATAAAAAACTACTTTAAATTTCACAGGGGACCAAAAAAGAGCATGTATAGCCAAGACAATTCTAAGCAAAAAGAACAAAGCTGGAGGCATCAAGCTACCTGACTTCAAACTATGCCACAAGACTACAATAACCAAAACAGCATGGTACTGATACCAAAACAGGCATATAGACCAATGTAACAGAACAGAGACCTCAGAAATAACACCACACATCTACAACCATCTGATCTTTGGTAAACAAGCAATGGGGAAAAAATTCCCTATTTAATAAATGGTGCTGGGAAAACTGGCTAGCCATATTCAGAAAACTGAAACTGGACCCCTTCCTCACACCTTATACAAAAATTAACTCAAGATGGATTAGAGACATAAATGTAAAAACCAAAGCCATAAAAACCCTAGAAGAAAACCTAGGCAATACCATTCAGGACATAGGCATGGGCAAAGATTTCATGACGAAGATGCCAAAAGCAATTGCAACAAAAGCGAAAATTGACAAATGGGATCTAATTAAACTAAAGAGCTTCTGCACAGCAAAAGAAACTAGCATCAGAGTGAACATGCAACCTACAGAATGGGAGAAAAATTTTGCAATCTACCCCTCTGACAAAGGTCTAGTATCCAGAATCAAACAAATTTACGAGAAAAAACAAACAACCCCATCAAAAAATGGGCAAAGGATATGAACAGACATTTCTCAAAAGAAGACATTTATGCAGCCGACAAACATATGAAAAAAAGCTCAACATAACTGATATTAGAGAAATGCAAATCAAAACCATGATGAGATACCATCTCATGCCGGTCAGAATGGTGATTATTAAAAAGTCAAGAAACAATAGCTGCTGGTGAGGCTGTGGAGAAATAGGAATGCTTTTACACTTTTGGTGGGAATGTAAATTAGTTCAACCATTGTGGAAGATGGTGTGACAATTCCTCAAGGATCTAGAATCAGAAATACCATTTGACCCAGCAATCCCTTTACTGTGTATTTACCCAAAGGAATATAAATCTTTCTACTATAAAGACACTTGCATATGTATATTTATTGCAGCACTATTTACAATAGCAAAGACACGGAACGGACCCAAATGCCCATCAGTGATAGATCGGATAAAGAAAATGTGGTACATATACACCATGAAATACTATGCAGCCATAAAAAAGAATGAGATCATGTCTTTTGCAGGGACATGGATGAAGCTGAATGTCATCATCTTCAGCAAACTAATATAGAAATAAAAAACCAAACACTGCATGTTCTCACTCATAAGTTGGAGTTGAATAATGAGAACACATGGACATAGGGAGGGGAACAACACACACTGGGGCCAGTTGGGAGGTGGAGGGCGAGGGGAGGGAGAGCATTAGGACAAATAGCTAATGCAAGTGGGGCTTAAAAACCAAGATGATGGGTTGATAGGCACAGCAAACCACCATGGCACATGTATATCTATGTAACAAACATACATGTTCTTCACTTGTATCCCAGAACTTAAAATAAAAAAAATGCAACCTTTCAGCTCCAAATGAGGGATCGATCTTTTGAAACTGTGTTATAAACACAAGGTGGGAATGGCATGGAGTGAGAATAGAGATTTTATTGGTGAGGGTTCCTAACATACTTTGAAAAGCATGTGTGGAGGTCATACTTTCAGTTATTGGATTTGATTCTTTGGGCATGAAGCCTCAGTAAACATACCCTTCATGGGGACCAAGGAAGATTGCTTGCCCTTTAGAATGAGGCTTCTATGGACAAAACCCTGTTTCTCTGGGTAAGATGTGGTTTTGAACATCCTGGAAAAATACACCTACACCTGATTCATTGGAGCAGCTCTGGCCAGGATAGAGTTTCAGCCTTGCTTGAAATGGCAGCCCAGATGTTCCCCCAGGACCCAGCATAACCCCATGGTGCTAAGGAGTCACTCACCATGCCCCACAATCCAAACAAAACCTTCTTTGTGAAATGGGAAGGGAGCGTCAGGTTGCGCTCCCAGCCAGCTGCCAATCCCTCTCAGCTTGGGACCCTTTCCTCCTCTCCCCAGGGCTCCATCAAAACTTTTAGCAGAAATATTTGCCTCTAGGCATCTACTGTGTCAGAAGCCTGACAGCTTGTTTTTACATATATTTTGTTACACTCAAGCATGGGTACTGTTTTAGGAGAGAAATAAAGAAATAAGATGAAAAGTCTGTTAGTTAAGCTTTGGTTAACTTTCTGTGTTATTGTTATTTTTTTTCTTTTTGTCCTAGCCAATGCACAGCTCTTAAATGAGTTTATTATATTCACTAAAGAGTGGTTTATCTGAGTTAATGGGTTATTCACAAGGAGACTAAGAATGCAATTATGGTGGTGAATGACTTAGGTACACAGAAGAAAGAAGTTCTTCCTCCAGGTAAGACTTTTTTCAGATCCTGGCTCAAGAAGTGTCAGAGGAAATATGTGACCTCTCTCTCTCTGATTTCTTTTATTCTTTTTGATGGTTGATTAAACCAGAGAGAACCTTATGGGAACTTGGCCATAGTAATATAAGCCACAAAGTTACAGTCATAAAATAGCAGTACCAGTTCTTCTTTGTCTTGTCTCTGTATCTTGAATCTCTTAGATCTCAGGAAATATATCATCTAGATATTGCTGTGTGACAAACCACATCAAAACTCAGTGGCTTAAAACAATAGCATTTATCATTCACAAGTATATGGGTCAAGTAGATGGATCTTCTGATTTCATCTCTGCTCACTGATACATTGGTTGCCAACTGTGGTAAACACCTCTTCTCATCTTGGCTGGACTGTTTCACATGGTTGGGATGACCTTGGATAGGACAACTTGGCTCTTTTCCTCTTGGTTTCTTATCCTCCACCAATGTAGCCCAGGCTTCTTTACAAAGTACCTGAGGTTTCAAAGGAGTGTTAAAAAAAAGAGCACAAGTCTTCCTGCGGCTGCGTGCAGATCCAATGTCATTTCCTGCACATCCTGTTGGTCAATGCAGAATGTAAGGCCAAGCCCAGAGTCTTCTATGAGGACACAACCAAGGTGCATGAACACAGGGGGCATGGAAAACTGTGGCCATAATACAGGGTTGGATGTGACTCCTCTTTAGAAGACTCCTTCTGTTTTTGACTGCCTGCCCTAGAGCTGAGTGGATAAGTTCAAACTGGAGTGAAAGAGAGGAAGCCCAGCTTTACTAGCGCATGATGTATTTTGGTTCACATCTGGCTTATGTACACTGATTAATTGGTTAGAAGCCATTAACAGAGGTGAGTGATTAGGCTCTGCCTAATCTCCAATATTTAGAAAGAAAAATGAGCAAAAAAACATCAAAGGAAATCAATGGTTCTTCATGCTCACTGGTGCCACTCTCACCTGGATGGTTGCCAAAGACCCCTGACAAGTCTCCTGTCTCTAGCTCTCCCTTTCTTTGTTCTCATAGTTGGCTCCCTTTCATTGAGACTTAATCCTATCATAGCACTCATTCCATATTAAATTTGCCTATTTACTTATATACTCCCTCTTCAGACCATACGCTCCATGTAGGCAGGGACTGCACCTGTTGGTTACATTTTTTTCCCCAACAATGAGGAGAATTTTTGTGATCCATATAGGAGGTAATCAATAAGAATTTGGCAAATGAGTGAATTCAAGGATAAATGAGTGACTAATCAAAGGTGCTGTTGATTTTGATTATTTCACATCCTTACAATGGGATTGGAAACTAGATGCATAGAAGAAAGGCAGGATTTCTCACTTAAGGAATTACAATAATGTTCTTGCCTCGCATCCCTCTAAAACAAAGCCCGAACAAATCAAAGAGCTCAAGGATCTCTTGTAATTACTGTGGTGATGTTTTCTAAACAAATAATTGGTACCCATGACCTAATAGGCCTTAGTACAATAAAGGGGTCCTAGTATAGAATATATGAGATCAAGAATGTCTCATAAAATTCTCATTTAAAATCCAACTCTACTTCCCTATGAGGCAGCATAACTCCAGGGATTAGAAGTGACTTGCTGTTCCTTCCACAGAGTCAGGCAGGTGTTTTTAAAATTTTATCTAACCTCTCTTCCACCCTGCATCTCTCTGTCAGCAGTGGTTCTCTCAGGACTACTGGTTAAATTCTTATCATCCCTTCATTTTCATTCCTAGAGAGGATCAGCAGGGGTGTTTGAGATCATTCATAAAATGTTTCATAAAATCATTTATTCTATGGTAGGTTCGGCCACCTAGAAGTCTTTTGTGTCATAGTTAATCTACTCAGAAATTCTCCTGACTTACGTGAATTTTACAGAAAGTGTTGGAAAGACAGAAGGGCCTAGAGTGGGGCAGAAATCTTCCCACATTTTAGGAGAAGCATTGATACCAGGTCAGCTTCCATTGTTTCTGGCACTTGAGTTTTGTATGCAGTTCCTCTGAGCCTGCAACATGAGGGGAGATGCTAGAGCAGTGAATAATGGTCAATAAGATTAACTAAGGGAAACAAAATCTAAGGTTCTTAAGCCTCCATTCCAGAAATTCTGCTTTGATATGCCTGGAATAAGACCAGGAATTGGCACTTAGCCAGATACCCAATGAATTTTGCTGCACTGACCCCATATTGAAAAATACTGGTACGAGGAAATTAAGTTATTTTTTCTTTGGCCTTTTAAAGTATAATGTTATGGTCATGTACATTTGACTGAAATAAGCACTTGGTGGGAAAAGTTATCTTCCACAGGCCCTTGAATTGTAGCTCTGATGTAATAAATTTCTAAATTTTCATTTATCTGGAAAAAGAATGAAACAAAACAAAACTAAAAGTGTATTGAACTTGATATATTTGACATGTTCTCTTACATTTTCATCCAACATAAGTTGTGATGGCTTTATTCAAGAACTTCCTTAGTCTAATAAATATATTTGTAACATTTCCTAAAAATATAGCATGACTTCTCATACTCTTATGGCCAGGAAATGGAAAGAGAGATAAATGGTTAGATAAATGATTGTTCTAAGGTTAGTGCTGTACCAGGAACATATGCTCATGTGGGCCAGTTGGTGGAAGGGTAGAGTTTGAATTGGACCTTAGTCCTTGGCTACTATTTGATGATAGTATTTATCATGAAGCTCTCAGGAAGACACTCTCATAAACGTGCTATTGGGAAGAAACCAAGTATGCTCAGTTGAGCCACTAGAAGTTTTTCCTTTCGCAAAGGGATCCGATGGCTTTTCTGAAAGAGTCAATGAAAAGAAAGCTTTAAACTTAAAATTGGATACCAAGTCAAATAATTTCAAATGGAGAAAGGAGCCAAAACCTGCCCCAGAGACTGAAGGAATGCCCAGGTGAATGAAGTCTCCTTTTGACAGAGGACACGCCTGAGATGCCCAGGGCTGGTGCTAAGTTCACAGTTGGCTAATAAAGATGGAGGATGTGTATAAGACACCATGGCACTCCACCTTATCCCCAACATATGGATTTGTTACAAGTTTCTGGGGAAGTAAAAATGGAGCTATTAACTGAAAGTTTACCAAAAGAGATAAACCACAGTGTGGCTGCGGAAATCAAAGCCTATTTTCATATATCCTAGGTTTGTGTCCATGAATGGGCTGTGTGGCCCGAGCAAGTTTCTAAGCCTATGTGCTTTTGTTTCATCACTCTTCAAGTGAGCATAATAATGTTATGAGGACTAAGTGAGATCATTTATACTGGAGTGCTTAGCACACTCTTTAGCATATAGTGAGAACTCAATAAATATTAGCTATGATATTGTAATATAATAAGAAATAGATATTTGGTCTCTGACTACAGTTCTTGGCATAGAGCTTCTAAAACTCTTATAATTTCCTAAGCAATAGTGGTGCTAGGACAATCTTTTGTTCTAGTATTTTGTCTTTGATCCCAGTTCCTGACACAGAGTTCTTAAATCCCTTGGTGTTTTCTGGGTGATAGGAGTATTTTCTTTCTAATGAGGGTACTATTTCTGGGCTCCTGGATGGGGGCTGTTCAACAGAAAGCCCAAGCCAGGATTAGAAGTTTGGGGCTTACAGCCTCCATTCCCATTCTCCAGAGGGAGGCAAGGGGCTAGAAATGGACTTAATAGTCGATCATGCCTGTGTGGTGAAGCCTCCATAAAAATCCCTGAACTATGGTTCAGCTGCCCAGATACCTGGACACATGGAGGTGCCTAGAGGGTGGCACCTAGAGAGGGGATGGGGGAGCCATGTCCCTTCTTCTAGACCTCTCCCTGTGCATCCCTCCCATCTGGTTGCTCACCTGTATCCTTTCTAATAGCTTTTATAACAAATGTGTAAACATAAGTCAAATGTTTCCCTGAGTTCTGAGAGTTGCTCTAGCAAATTAACCAAGCCTGAGAAGGGGGTCATGGGAACGAACCCCCAACTTATAGCTGATGGGTCAGAAATATAGGTGAAAACCTACTATGTGTGACTGGAATCTGAAGTGGGGATCAATCTTGTGGGACTGACTGAGCCCACGCTTGTGGGATTTGATGGTATCTCTGGGTATATAGTGTCAAAATTGACTTGAATTAGAAGACACCCACTTGGGAGTCTATGCAAAATTGCTTGGTTGATGTATTTTTCCCCCCAGAACTCCACACATCTAATATCAGAAGTGTTGTGTTGAGTGGTGAATGTGAATAGGAAAAAAACACTTTGGGTTTTTCTTATCTCTCTAGAGTAACTATTATTATTATTAATATTATTAGCAGAAGAAGCAGTAGCTTTAATGGTGGTATGTATATAGAGTATCCGGGGCCCTAAAACTCTAAGTCTCATTATCTTGCCAGAATCATAGTCTGCCTTTGAGAAAGCAACCCCAAGCAGCCAGAGAGATGTTCTTTTGTTGATTTTTTTTGAAAATGTTTCCACATTTAGAGAACCACGCCCGGTCTCTTCAGATTAAGGGGTCTGTTCTTCAGAAGTGCCTAGCTGACGTTTTACAACACAGCAATTATCTTTTAACAAGTGGCATTACGCCCCACCCTACCAGAAAATATAGTCTTTAATTTCAAGCACCCTCTTCCAGCTTGGTATGAATTACATTGTATCTGGATGGAATTCTTTGGAATTTCTAAAATAAAGTGGATTTGTTTTCCTAGAGTAAAATGTAATGAAAGTTGTTTTTTTAAAAAATTATTTTAATGAGTATCATATTCGATATCATAAAGAGTAAGAACTGGAGAAGATTTTAAATGTGCCTAAAATAAAAACAAATTTAAAAAAACAGTGATGTCCAGAGCTGACAAAATTTTTATAAGTTTTGTCTATTTATTCTTATGGTGACCTTGCTTTAAAACCCATGCAAGCCTTTATGGGAAGCAGCATGACAACATGTAACAAAAGTCACAGAATTAGTTTTATTTTATTCAGTCATTTTTCTCAATGGAATTTGTCCCAAGAAAATAATTCACCAGAACCAAAACTTGAATTCATAAGAACATATGGTTCACGGACAGAACCTAAAAATTTGATTACAAGAGAATGGCTGGAATGGTGGAATTTTCACTAACTGGAAAAATATGTATCAATTAAACACTGGTCACTCTGAAGACTCCAAATAGGTGAAAAATATGTAAACTGTGAAGTAAAATGAATGAAAAAGGCAATGAAATATAGAATACAAATTGCATTTACAATTATTTACAGTATATGTTCACATACATACAAACTCAATGGAAAACACAAATATCAAATCATCATTGTGCAGAAAAATATATTTTTCTCTTTTATAAACTTCCTTTTTTTGGCTGGGTGTGGTGGTTCATGCCTGTAATCCCAGCACTTTGGGAGGCCAAGGTGGGTGGAGCATGAGGTCAGGAGTTCGAGACCAGCCTGGCCAACATGGTGAAACCCCGTCTCTACTAAAAATACAAAAATTAGCTGGATGTGATGGCATGCACCTGTAATCCCAGCTACTCAAGAGGCTGAGGCAGGAGAATCACTTGAACCTGGGAGGTGGAGGTTACAGTGAGCTGAGATTATGCCACTGCACTACAGCCTGGGCAACAGAGCGAGATTCCGTCTCAAAAAAAAAAAAAAACTTCCTATTTTCCTACCAAATAAACCTAATTTTTTTGCCATTAAAAATTGCAATTAATTTTAGAAAACTAACAGCTGGCAATTATTTGAAAAATCAGTGCTGCTTATATTTATAAATGTATATTCTCCAAGATTGTGTGAACAAGGACTTCATAAAGGCCGAGACACAGGTTTTTGAAGACATCTTGTCGATTCCTGATTAATTATCTGTCTCTTTCCCCACTTCCCCCAAACCCACTAGGTAATTTAGTCTTATGTCACTTCTCTTTATGGCCCGGGACCAGGCCAGCCTGGTTATACCTCCACTGAGGCTGTGCAAATTCTCAACTCAGCCAACAGCTGGAATAATTATTAAAAAGCCCCACTGGGGCAAATCTCAGTGTAATGATGGTGAAATCACAGCCATGTTGGTATTTGGGTGGGGGACGTCTTTTGTTTTTCAAGTGAAAGATGTTTCTCCTTTTCCACTCCAATTTTCTGAGAGTAACAGTGGGCACTGGGTATGCACAATTTGGAACATGTAAGTAGATTCTGCTCCGACATCTGTAAGGCCTCAGGGAGCCTGCCTCCCGGGAACAGGATGGGGAGCCTTCCCATATGTGGATTTGTCTGCTTTATTTATTCATGTCTGCATCTGTGTCTGTGTTGTGTTTTGTTTTGTTTGTTTTCTGCTTGGCTTAAAAGCTTCTTGTCCTTAGGGATCCAGGCCCCGCCCCAAATGGCTTATGTCGCACTGGATCTCGGAGGTAGGAATCCAGAAGTCTCCATTCCATCCTTTGGTATAGTATGAATATCTGGGATGAAGCATTCCTCTCTCTGTCAAGCAGCAGGAGTTTCACTGAGTTTCTGCTCATGCTTTGTGGTGGCCAAGAATGCTAATGACTCCATGTGAAGATAGAGAAGTGACATAATAAGGGGCTTTCTAATCATTATAGATTCCTCTAAATGTTAGAATCCACTTAACTTGCTATTATGTGTGTTTTTTTCTTTTTTTATAACTTACTGGTTAGACTGCATTGCAAATGACTATGGCTTGCAGGCTGCTGGCTAAAAGAAAAGGAAGAATAGTATCGAAACAAGATGAGAAAAGAATGCTCAGCAGAGTGGCTTCATGACCAGAGAAGACAGAACAAAAGTTAAACATTCTAGGAGTGAAAAGGGTGTGGATGAATCTGAGCTCCTAGCTATGTGATTACAAGCAACTTAACCTCCAGAAACCCTGCTCCTCTTCCAAGCCTTTGCCCACTGGTGCTGATAGGGTTAATGCTTTCCTGCTCCAATGGAAGCAGAAGAGAGGCAGCTGGTGGGTGCTGGGCTTGGCACAGGGCAGCAGGGCTCACCGTACCCCTCCTCCTCTGGGGCTGCGGGATCATCTCATTGCTGAGCAGCTGTTGTGCTCTGGCTGCCAGAACAACCTTTGGAAACCTAGTCCCAGACGTAGCAGGGGTGCTGCTCCGGCCTATGAAAGGCGAGCTCAGGAAGACTTGGGAATTGCACCTTCTATGGGAAATGCAAAAGCAATATTTATCAAAGAGCCTCAGTCCCAGGCACCCCAGGCTCTCTTGTCACAGTGCAGCACTTGGCTGCTGGCTCCCCGCAGTGTCTTCACTCCTGTACTCATAGAGGAGGATTGATACAGTGATCAGATAAGTTCCCCAAAAGGAGAAGAGAATGAGGCACTTTCTAGGCTCCTGCTAATGCTGACTGGCATACAACCAACTCAGAATAGAATGAGTTTACAGAAGTAGGAAACATGCAGCAAAAATACTGCTAGGCTGGTCCTAGCCCAGCAAAGGGGTTTGAGAGTGACCAGTAGGATTCTCTAGCTTTTCTTTCTGGGCAATGACCTGGCTCAGACCCACCACAGTTCTGTGTCTGGCCAGGAGAGTGGATATGAGAATGAACTCAGAGCCAAGCCACTTAATTTGAATTTTGGCTCTGCCATTTACTAGCTGTGTGACCCTAGGCAAGTTACTTAACCTCTTTGGCTTTCGGTTTCTTCTTCCATCAAGTAGGAGTAATAGTCTCATAATCTCAAAGGATGAGCAAATGAGTTAATATATGTGAAGTGCCTAGACTGGAGCATTTTATAAATGCTTTTAAAAATAAAGTAAGAATCACCTCGTTTATGCAGGTAGTAAAGATAAGTCTCTATATGGAGCAAAGAGGGGACTAAGCCTGTACCTGTTGGGCTGATGGCACATTCCGAGCTGGAAAAAGGAGGCCAGCATGGAGGGAAAATAGTGGTGAATGGAGTAGTTGGAACAGAGTCGGTGAGAGTCAATTGTGCACACATCTTCCCAACTCCACGTTAAGTGACATCACCTTGGTAACTTGAAATTGAACATGGTGGAGGTATTTACACTACAGAAACTGGCAAGTGGCAGATGCTACACCATCATACAGCACCTTTATAGCACATATTTCTGAAGGCCTAGAAGACAGTGGATTTTCTGTCTCCCAGCAAAGTTTACCTCTGTCTGACTCAAATCTACTTCAGCATCTCTGGGCTAAGAAAAGAAATTCTAAACTTACCCTGTAATAAAAGGTAACATTTCTTGAGCACCTACAATAGACGAGGCATTGTGGTTTTTGTTTTTCTTTTTAAAGAGAGTCTTACTCTGTCGCATCCAGGCTGGAGTGTCGTGGCACGATCTCGGCTCACTGCAGCTTCTGCCTCCCAGGTTCAAGCGATTCTTGTGCCTCAGCCTTCCAAGTAGCTGAGATTACAGGCAGGTGCCACCATACCTGGCTAATTTATGTATTTTTATCAGAGACTGGGTTTTGCCATGTTGGCCAGGCTTGTCTCAAACTCCTGGCCTTAAGTGATCCACCCATCTCAATCTCCCAAAGTGCAGGGATTAGAGACATGAGCCACTGTGTCCAGCCCATTGTATAGATAAATTGCATTCATCGGATCATTTAATAATCACAGCAACCTTAGTAGTATTTCTATATACAAGTGAAGAAAATGAGGCCCAGATTGGGTAAATAACTTATGGAAGGGAGTGGCTGAGTTGTGATTTGAGTCCACCTAGTATGCGTTAGTGGGTTGGCAAAAGTAAATTCATTACCCACTTGAAATTTCATTATCTCATGGCATCTAGGAATTCCATATTGAACACACTGCTCTGTGGATTGTAATGGAATTAGAATGACCTTCTAAGGAAATATGTGGTGCTTCTGAGATCTGTTTTAACATGGCTAGAAGTTGTTCTTAACATAAATCAATCATTCAACATAAATATGTTGATATTTTCTATGTGCAGGACACTGTCCCAGGAACAGAGGTTACTAAAAAGAAGTGTGTGACTTGGTTCCCTGTCTTACGGACTTGCAGACTTTTCAGTGAGGAGTGGCTTGAAGGGTTATTCCTATCCCAAGGCAGGTCTTCTGGGTAATTTTTAAGTGGTTGAGTTCCCTGGGAATCAGGGTGAGTGAGGAAACTTGCCAAGTCTCAGATCCTTGTCTGCACAGCAGGATCACAGTTGTACGACTGCCTCAGAGCTTCATTGTGGGGATTGAATGAGAAGGTACATTTATAATCTTAGTTCAGTGCAAGGCAAATAGTAAAACCTTATGCCTCATCAATATTAACTGATATTCATTATTATTTTTTGAATTGTGAAAACAATACTATAAAATGTCTATTGAGACTTCTCATGTCAGAGCAAAGACAGAAACTACTAGACCATATTGAAAGGAAAAAGACTTGAAATAGCCTTTCATTGCTCCAGAACATTTAGAGCCAGAGGGGACATAGCATAAAACTTAGGAAGAAAATCAGCTTCAATTCTGGCCCTTACACTTGTATGGCCTTACAGATTAGGGTTTTGACTCTTCTCAGAGTAGTCCTTCTAAGAGGTTCAGTCAGATGAAGTTATGCATGTGATAAAAACTCTCTGATAGGTCTCAATTTCATTCAACTAAAATGTCCTGGCCAGGCACAATGCCTCACGCCTGTAATCCCAGCACTTTGGGAGGCTGAGATGGGTGGATCACCAGGTCAAGAGATCGAGACTATCCTGGCCAACGTGGTGAAACCCCATCTCTACTAAAAATATAAAAATTAGCTAGACGTGGTGGCGCATGCCTGTAGTCCCAGCTACTCGGGAGGTTGAGGTAGAATTGCTTGAACCCAGGAGGCGGAGGTTACAGTAAGCCGAGATTGTACCACTGCACTCCAGCCTAGTGACAGAGTGAGACTCCGTCTCAAAAACAAACCGAAAAAAAGAGTTCTGGCCAGGCACAGTGGCTCATGCCTGTAATCCTAGCACTTTGGTAGGCCAAGGCCGGCAGATCACCTGAGGTCAGGAGTTTGAGACCAGCCTGGCCAACATGGTAAATACCTGTCTCTACTAAAAATACAAAAATTAGCCAGGAGTGGTGGCACGTGCCTGTAATCCTAGCTACTCAGGAGGCTGAGGCACAAGAATCGCTTGAACTCGGGAGGTGGAGGTTGCAGTGTGCTGAGATCATGCCACTGTACTCCAGCCTGGGCAATAGAGTGAGACTCTGTCATAAATAAATAAATAAATAAATAAATAAATAAATAAGTCCTTATGATGGCCTTCAAGGTCCTGTGACCTGGTCCTGTTACTTCTCTGGCCTCTTTCCCTCTCTTTCCATCAGCCTTTCTGCTCCACCTACACTGGCCTCTGTGCTGTTGATCCTGCCTTGGGGCCTTTGCCTTTGCTATTTCCCCTGCCTGGAATCTTCTTCTCCCAGATACCCCCATGGTTCTTTCCTTCATCTCCTTGAAGCCTCTGCTGAAATATAACTATCTTAATGAAGCACACCCTGATGTCTCTATTTAAAATCACAATCCATCACTCCCGTCCACCCTGTGTCTACAGGTAGCCTCCACCCAGATCTCTTATTTCACTCCCATGGCACTGTTTGCTATCTAATACCATATCTAACTTACTAATTTGCCATGGTTATTATTTGTTTCCTGTTTTCCCTACTGGAACATACTTTCCATGAAGGCAAAGTGATCTCTGTCTATTTTGTTTGCTGACGTGTTCAAACTCCTAGAAAAGTGACTGAAATATAGCAGACACTCAATAAATGCTTGTGGAATGAACAAATGAATTACTTAACCTCTGTAAACCCCAATTTCCTCTTCTTTAAAACAGGAATAACAATCATACATACTTTATAGGCTTATCATGAGAATTAACTTAGATAATACATATAAAGTATAAGCACAGTGCTTGTTACCTGGTAAACATTCAAGTAATTATCATTACCATCGTTATTATTTCCTAACAGTTTTAATCTCAGACAGACACATTAACTCAGGTATAATCTCCATTTATAAAGGGGCTCATCTCTTAGGGAAGGATTGTTTTAATTAAACCAAAAAGGAAACTAGTCAATATTGATTTTTGACATGATCGATTACATGACCCTCAAAGACAGGAAGCATATTTGTAGCCAGGACACAGAGCTATCTGATTGAGAATCAGACAGTGAAGCTACCACTTCCACCTACTGAATGCCACAAGATGTCTTTGGCCTCTCTTCTACCCTGGGAAAATGCTCATCCTTTCACTCTTCTGAGCAGGCTCATAGCTTCTTCTTCCCCAGGAATTTTGAGTATATACAGCTGTGTCTGACCTGGTTGTCAACTCTTAGCACTCTTTACCAAACTGTACATTATATTCCATCATTATTTGCTCACTTCATGGCTCCATTCTGAATTTCCAGGAGAGAGCACATGGTTGACCTCGATAAGCCAGTTGCTCATCACTCTCCCATGTGGGCAGGACTGCTTGCATATAGGCTACCCCTTCCATTGGACTCTTGGGGCTCAGCAACAGGATATGGGACACCTGGAAGGCAGGAGGTCAGTCACTGTCACAGCCACCAAGACAGCAGTGTGAATAGTACTCTAGCCCAGAGCAGTGGTGTGACCTCAGGCACGTCACTTGACTATCTGTGCTTCAATATCTTCATTTTTAAAATGAGATAATGAAAATAATATGATTATAACCTCACACAATTGCTGCTTTAATTAAGTGAGCTGATTTTTAATGTGATATAGACTATAGATCAATGTATAATATGTATGTGATTTATTAGAACCCCATCTAGGAAGCTAATGAATACATCAAAAAGCAGCTCAAAACATATAGTAGGCAGTCAGCATACATTAGCATATATAAGTTGCATAGCTCCTAATTCTCTGTGCTTTCTTTATGTCATTTCTGATGAGTTTGCCCCTGAGTTTGTTCCTGGATAATCCAGGAAGCAAGGCACCTGTTTTCTGCTATTCTGAGAGATTAGTGTATCTCCCAGTACTCTCCAGTCTTACGGGAAAGATCAGGCCTTAGAGTTGAACTGTGTGCATTTATTGGGAACCGCACAATGGAATCCTCCACCATCAATATCCCTCACATATTGTACAGTTCTTTTCCTTCTCCTCAGTTAGCTCATATCCATTATCTTTGAATCACTGCCCTGTATCCCAGACCTGTGCCTCTTTTCCTGGCCTAAACTTAATCTCTGCACTTGAAGGCCATCAATTGCTCCATGGTGCCAGTTCGGCCAGCTGTTCCTGGAATGATGGTTTCCCCAGGCTCCTGAACATCACTCTCCAAAAATCTAACCCTGGAAGGAATCAGAGGTCAGATACCATCCATCTATCTATCCATCCATCCCTGCTTGCCTTTCAGCAGATGGCAGTCAGCCCCTGAGGGTCTTCCTGTTGGCAGAGTTGCATCTGTGACATATGCACCAACTCATGTAGTATGTTTCACAGCAGCCTTCTTATTCAACAAGTAGGCATGGCATCCTCCATTGCTCCACCAACAGAGGTCAAGTCTGGCTACTCCAGTGACTGGGAAGGGATTCAGACCCCTGCTGCTGAGCCCCAGGCTGCAATTAATCAGAGCCAAGGGCTGATTCAGGGTCTGAACTTTCAACTAGACAGTTAAGCAAAGGGAGCAATTAGGAGCCAGAATCCGGGTACTTGGCTGGGTCTGGAGGTGTGAAGGTCAGGGCCTAGGGGACACTCAGGCTAGAAATGGAATTCAAGGTCAGGAGTGTAAGAGAATAAAGTTTGCATGTCAATCAAAGTGAAGAGCATGGGGAGAGCAGAGTGAACAAGGGCAATGGTGACAGGTGTTTGGTTCATGAACTGAGTAAATGTAGAACCAGAAAGGCAGAGCCACAACTCAAAAGAGGGACTGGTACCCCATTGCCTATTAGTACTCCAACTTTCTTGGGAGTTCTCTTCTTAGTTTTTGTGCCTCCTGATCTTCAACTCTTGGGCAGCCCCAGCCCTCTGCTTTTCCCCTAGCCCTTCTGCCATGGAGGTACATGATAGAAGTATGAGCTGATAATGATGAGCATAAATCTAGAGTTCAGACAGCCTGAGTGCAAATCCTGCCTCTGCCCTGTACTAGCTGATTAACTTTGGAGAAGTTGCTAAATCTATTTTGCTTCAGTTTCCTCATCTGTTCAATGGGGATGAACATAGTGTTAAGTTGTAGGGTTTTTGAAGGAGATTGAATTTTAGTCAATGTATTGTAAAGCACTTAGAACAGAGTCTGGCACATAGAATGCATCATCTATGTGTTCGCTTATTATTATTATAGAATAAGTGGCTTGGACCTCAGAGAAAAGGGTCAGGCATAGGCCATCAGTGCTTGGATGTTTTCCAAATGTTTTAGAAGCAAAATTGTGCCAAGATTAAAAAAAAAGTTTTGAATTTGGGATATTGTTATTATTGTACATAAAGAAGCGGGGAAAAAAGTTCATCTTTCCAAGATTTTGCCTGATTGCCCCAGAAAGAAAACATTTTCATTGTGTGGTCATGATTGGGAACACATGTGGACCACACCCCACTTAGCTCAGCCCTTTCCCGTCCTTAGTCTCTCTCCCTCTCTCCCTCTCTCTGTTCCTAATTAGTAAGAAACCAAGTAGAATTTGGTGTTTCTTTCCCAGTTGTGGTAGGGGAGCCTGTGGTGGATTAATTACCTCAAGTAGTCCTGGCTTCCCTAAGGAAAAATCAGGGATAGGGCTATGGGTCCAGTGGCTTAGGGAGGCATGACAAATTTAAATCTCCACCTGAAGGGAACAGAAATTAATTTTAATAGGAGGCAGTGTGGTCTGAAGTTTAGTGGAGGAGGATAAGTAATCAAAAGTTATGTTTTCTGTCTCAGCTGAACCACTAACGTTTTGTGAGACTTGGCTCTATTGTAGAATTTAGCTTGTGGGGGAAATAAATCTACCTTTCAGCTAAGGAGCGCTGAGCTGATGGTGAGCAATGTCAACAGCTAATGTTTAATGAGTTTGTATGTTATACCAGGTGTGGTACTTACTGTTTAATAAGTAATTTAAATATATTTAAATTAAATATACTTATTTAACATATTTCACATATTAAATAAATTCAACATATATAAAATTATCATATATAAACTCAACATATATAAAGTTCTCACTAGCAGGGCTGTGATGATCCCCATTTTATAGATGAGAAAACCGCATCAGAAAAACTGGATGTGATTTGCCCAAGGACCTATATTTGGAAAATGACAGCAAACGTGTCCTATTCAATTCTGACTTACCTTGAGTCCAAGATCTTAAGGGCTCCATCATATTGCATATTAATGCAGGAAGGTGCTTACATTTTATAAGTATTTAAGAAAATAAAATCAAGGATCACATTTGAAGGGTTAATGAAATGGTTCAGTTGGCCGAACAATTCCTTCCTCAAATACCCCAGTTGCTCTGTGTTACTCTAGTAATTTACTTTGGATACAATTATATGTTTGCCTTTTAGCTTTCAAGAAGTGAAACTAATCTTTAGAAAGTTTCCAGAAATCCTCTAGCTGCTCCCATCCATATGGACATAATATTTCTCCTGGAGAAGGGCTAGGGGTTCTGTACCTAGAACAGATTCTAAGCAAGAGGCTGTCTGAAATCAGGCAGGCAGTTTTGTGGAGGGCAGTAGTGAGCAGTTCCATGGGAATCTATCAATGCCCTGTTTAGAACTGAGGAAGAGCCTAAGGCCGCCTGTCAAAGCAGAGTCGGAGACAGGAGTCAGGCTGGACTTCAAGAGAACAGAATTGGATATGAGTGGGTTTGGGCATTCTCTACAAATGAATGATTCCCTTTGGTCCAAGTGGCTTTTGACAGGTTTGGCCTCACATGCAAGTTCATTGCACGGCCCTGCCGTGGGCTTCACTCAATACAGGATTGGGGTGTGCATTTCTGTAGTGTTACCTCTGGCCTTAGATCTGGAGTCAATGGCCAGTGGCCAGACTCACAGTCGCTCTGAATCCCTTCTTTAAGGACGGCTCCTGGTCTCCCCTTCCTCTAAACCCTTGCAATAGGAATATTATATAGAGAGTCTCCGTTTTCCTCAACCTGCCCACTCATGCACTCAGGAGAACTCAAACAGAACTTTATTAAGGAATAAGGAATTCCCTGGGGACACTGAGAGAAACAAGGTAATTTCTTTAATGGTAGATATTGTATGCCCCCATTAAACAGCAGCGAGAACCCCAGAGAAGAAAGTCAACTTAACAGTCTAAAACACAGCTCCAAATGAAGGAGAAGGCAGGCTTGTTTCAATCATCTGCCCCTTGTTCTGTAATAAAAATGTATTTTTTTTTCCTGAGAACAATTTAGTGTGGCCAATAAAAGCCCGGCTAATTTCTAAATCAGCATGGAGCCAAGTCAGCCACCCAGGAGCTCTCTCCTAGGGCAATATTTCTGAGGCGCGCACAATCTATACTAAAGCGATCAACTTCCCTTCGTCCTGTCAAGGGGATGCGTTAGTGAAGCCCAAAATATGACAAGAGGAAATTTATGTGCAACTTTTACACATAGTATCTCATTATGACTCTTCCCAATCTTTCAATTTTAAAAATAAACGGCCTTTGTAATGATTTTACCAGGAGAACATCTAAAGTCAGATTAAAAAGGAAAGAGAAAAGTGGTTCAGCTGCCGTCATTTCTTTCTTTTCTCTGGGTCTTACTTGATGGAAATTCACCTTTCTTTCTTCCTTTCTTTTCTCACTCATTTCTTTTCATCTTTCTCCCTTTTCTTCCTTTCTCTTTCTCCTTCTTTCCTTCCTTCCTTCCTTCCTCCCTCCCTCCCTCCTTTCCTCACTCTCCCTCCCTCCCTTCCTCACCCCCTCCTTCCCTCCCTCCCTCCTTCCTTTTCTTGTGTGTCCACTCTTTTAAGGATAACTAGAAATTTTAGGGTCTGGCATTTCACTTAAGGGAACGAGATCTCTCATAGAAGCAAATATGTCTCTGACTATTTGGTACATGATCAAACTTCTCTCTTAGAATTCTGTGTCCTTTGCCCAAGATTCTGGTGTTAGTTTCTGCTAGAATCCCAAATTCTCCTGTCACAGTTTTCTCCCGTTGTTTCTCCCGTCCTCATCTCTTACAACACAGTCACAGACAGAGATGCAGGAGGAGATTCCCTGCGTCTCCTAGGGTCACACACTCCGTGTTTGGTGCTTTGCTTATGCTGGGCTCAGAACTCCTCACTGGACGCCCCTTGCTTTGTAGGGGAGCCAGCAGGGCAGGAGGAAATAATTGCTAGTCACTAGGGGGTTAGAGGACAGTTCTATGTAAAGACCCAGCATTTCTTCCTTTGGTGTTGGCCTGAAACTTTATGACTTGTCCAGTTTTTATTTCCGGGACATATCCAGCTCACGGGCTGTCATCTGCTTGTACATTTGTATTTCTCCCTTCCGCCTGGGAACCCACCTCCTGGAACTATATCCTGGGGCAAAGCTGCCCCAGAGAGTCCAACCTCTCCCAACAGCAAGGCTCTGGGGCTGATTGTTTATATTTCTTAATTTTTTTGTTCAGGCATTATCTACAGAAAGTTGACTCCACAGGATTAAAATTCACAGGTGAATTAAATAGAGGCACTGCCCTTGAAGAACTCACAGTCTGTTTGGGGAGATACATCCATAAGCAATTAACAGCATTACTGAAAAGTGTCAGAATGGAAGGTGGAGTGTAGAGGCAAGTGCAACTGGCTGTGCTTGAAAATGTCAGGCCAGCCTTGATTCAGAAATGATTTACCTGGAAGCCAAACTCTGGATGTAAGACTTTCTAAGGGGCATCTGCGGAAGAAGTACTAATGTACTTTTCTGAGCATTGTACCTCCTTAGCATTTATGGCTCTAAATTCTCAATCTGAGCTGGACTTTTGTGAGATGGGATCCACTTTCAACCTGGAAAAGCATGGTTTTCTGTGTGTATGACAAAAAGGATTATTTTTAAGGGCAGCCCTGGCATTAGAGCCTGTCAAATCAGAGACACACATGGAGGTGGAGACACTGGTGGTTTGACCCTTGACTTAGAGTCCAAAATACTTAGTTGAAGCCAGGAGAAAATCAGGATTATCAATGGACTGGACAATAAATGTTGTCTGGACCCTGATGGCAACCCTAAAGCCCTACAAAGTGTGACCTGTCCATCCCCCCACCACCCTGCAACATTCATCATCCTTCTTGCTGTCATAAACATGTGAGCCACAATTACTTATTGAGTAATTATCAATCACCAC